>NC_000003.12:44858484-45161515 GCF_000001405.40 Homo sapiens | reverse complement strand
GTGAAATGCATTTGGGAAATCTTTGAGTTTGACAAGCCTCCTTAACAAAGGACTTGTCAGAGCATTCAATACGCTCACATGCACTATGAGAAGAGGGAGCAAGGAATGACCTGTTCTCTGCATGCATTTCCACAGACCTCTTTCTACCAGAGCATCCCAGCAAGAACACATTCTGTAGAGTCAGCTGGGAAGAAGCTGATTTAAGAAACAGGGGTGCATACAGGGGACTGAGCCCAAAACCTGGGAGCATTTAAATCTGAAGAGAGAAACACCAAGACACATTGGAAGAAAGACCTCAGAAGGTAGACCTTTGGTGGGAACTAAGGCGAGGGCAAGGGCAGGAAGGGAAGAAGAGATGGAGAAAAACACAGGATTCTGATTCAAAGAGAAACTCAAACTCCACCCTCAAGGAGAGGGAGCGCAACTCTCCAAAATCTAAGATGGCCAGTTGGGTGTGTTTATTACTCAAGCGGAAAAGAAACAAAAAGCCCACTGACATAGCAGTAGATTTCAATTTGGCCAAGAACAGCTATAGAAATGTAATAAGGATGAGGAGAATCAAATTATTATTTTAAGAAAAAGGGATTGGTTTGGGTTTTCAAATATGCATTCCAACTAGACCTTGTTCCTGGTAAATGCTCAATAAATATACATATTGATTAACTGCTGGCTTCATTCCAACAACAAATATTTTTGAAATACCATGTAAGCACTGAGCTACATTCTTTGGGAAGGTCACCCAGATAAATAAAATGGGGTTCTTGCCACCCACATAACCAGAAACCTGTATTTCATTGATTCTAAGATGCACATTTTAAAAACTTTTTTTTTTCAGGTGGAGTCTCTGTCTGTCACCCAGGCTGGAGTGCAGTAGCATGATCTCAGCTCACTGCAAGATCCGCCTCCCAGGTTCAAGCTTTTCTCCTTCCTCAGCCTCCCAGGTAGCTGGGATTACAGGTGCCCGCCACCACGCCAGACTAAATTTTTTGTATTTTTAGTAGAGACGGGGATTCACCATGTTGGCCAGTCTGGTCTTGAACTCCTGGCCTCAGGTGATCCGCTCACCTTGGCCTCCCAAAGTGCTGGGATTACAGGTGTGAGCCACTGCGCCCAGCCTAAAAACTTGTAACATCTCCGAAATTGGGCAGCCTTTCACAGTTGGGCATCTCTGACGTGGTTGTTATGATAGTGTGTGCCAACATTTGGCCATAACTATTCATATTGGCATCATCTTCAATTGAAGTATGTGCATGGTTGGTTCTACAGCTATGGAGCTTAATTACCATTTAAAGTATCATCAGCTTTTTTCTTCCCTGGCTGTCTGAGATTAGACCGCCATCATGAACGACACGGTAGCTATCTGCACTAGAAAGTTCATGACCAACCGACTACTTAGAGGAAACAAATGGTCATTGATGTCATTCACCCCGGGAAGGCAACAGTGCCTAAGGCAGAAATTTGGGAAAAACTAGCCAAAATGTACAATACCACACTGGATGTCATCTTTGTATTTGGATTCAGAACTCATTTTGGTGGTGGCAAGACAACTGGCTTTGGCATGATTTATGATTCCCTGGATTATGCAAAGAAAAATGAACCCAAACATAGACTTGCAAGACTTGGCCTGTATGAGAAGAAAAATACCTCAAGAAAGCAATGAAAGGAACGCAAGAACAGAATGAAGAAAGTCAGGGGGACTGCAAAGGCCAATGTTGGTGCCGGCAAAAAAGCCAAAGGAGTAAAGGTGCTGCAATGATGTTCTCTGTGGCTGTTGTGGATTTTTCACAAGAAGATTAATAAACCATAAATTTTCATGTGAAAAAAAATCATTGAACAATTGCTATTATTAAAAAGTCAAAAATAATAGATGCTGGTGAGATTGCAGAGAAAAGGGAACACTTATACACTGCTGGTGGGAATGTAAATTAGTTCAGCCACAGTGAAAAGTACTGATGTTTTCTCAGAGAATTTAAAATAGAACCACCATTTGACCCAGCAATCCCACTATTGGGTATATACCCAGAGGAATATAAATCATTCTACTGTAAAGACACATGCACACGTATGTTCACTGCAGCACTCTTAACAATAGCAAAGCCATAGAATCAACCTAGATGTCCATCAATGGTGAACTAAATAAAGAAAATATGGTACATATACACCACAGAATACTATGCAGCCATAATAAAGAATGAAATCATGTCCTTTGCAGCAACATGGATGGAACTGGAGGCCATTACCCTAAGTGAATTAACACAGGAACAGAAAACCAAATCCACGTGTTCTCACTTATAAGTGGGAGCTAAGCATTGAGTACACGTGGACACAAAGAAGGGAACAACCAATACCAGGGCCTACTTGAGGGTGAAGAATGGGAGGAGGGTGGGATTGAAAAACTATCAGGCATTATGCCAATTACCTAGGTGACAAAATTATCTGTACACCAAACCCCCATGACATGCAATTTACCCATGTAACAAACCTGCACATGTACCCCTTGAACCTAAAATAAAATACCATCAAAAAGATTGTAACCCGATTCAATGTGGAAACTAAAAGTTGGTGTGGGTACAGCAAAGCATGGAAATGCAGCAGTGGGGCAGATATTTAATAGGAGAGTAGCAAATATTTCTCACTAAAGGAATGGCTGCAATTCTATACTTTCTTGCAAAGCTATAACCAAGTGCTTAGGGGACTTAGGCAAGAATGCTGAAGACACAGAATTAGAATAAGCTGTCTTGTCACAGAGAAGCGTGCAAAAGAACAGACCACACACCAAGCAATGCAAGGAAGGACAGGAGAAACTACTCAATCCATGGGGTAGATGAAGGAAGGGCCAAAGTCATGCAATAAAAGCTGGTGTGACCCAAGCCCATGCTGCACAGGCTGCCCATGTCAGCACACCAGACCTCCATCAGCAGAGGCTTCCCACTGATGTTGATTTGACTTCCAGAAAATGAGATTCAATTGAGGGAAAAATAAAACTATGAGTTTAGTTAAAAAGGAAAATGGTAACTCACCCTTGGTATTCTTCAGTTTGCCTCAAAATTATACTGACAGTGTAAGAAAGCGTTGTATTGTAGATTAATTTGCAGTGTTTTTTTCGTTCTTAATTGTACATAAAATAACGGTGTTCTTTACCATGGCAGTAACTTTGATTTGCTGAAGATACTATGTGCAATGGGGGTAGAAAATGAGTTGTCTTCACTTAGGAAAGTACTTTGATAAGGTTAAGTCCTGAGGGAACCTAAAGGTGTTATTAGAATCAAAGCAATACACTGAGAATCAATAGCTGCTAACTTCACAAAAAGAGACACCAGGAGCCTCCTGACAGAAGTCCACAACTCTACTCATGAATTGTTCCTGCTGAAGGAATAAAACAGGAAGGAGATCAGGCCTCCAGCTCCAAATACCAGCTTACAGGAAATACAGAGGGCAAGGGAAGATGTAAAATGACATTAGACTGCAGGACACAGTACGAGACAAATGAATGACCTGATTTCCTCAACAAGTAAATTTCAAAAAAAAAAAAAAATAGAAAGAGAAGGTTCCCCTCTATACAGACTTTATTTTATAAATTAAAATAGATTTACAGACATATCATGGACTTAGTGACGCACTTCCAAAGAACAGAGTATGGAAAGGTGAAATTTAGTAACTTAACAGTGGAGAAACCTAGCAGACACAACCTTAACCAAGTGATGAAGGTTAACATCACCAGAGATGCTGTGGGGACATCATGTACCCCTGATGCACTATGACAAGAAGGGCACATCACGTCTGTGAAATTCTTCCCAAATAGTCCCCCCTTTTTTTTTTTTTTTTGAGATAGAGTCTCGCTCTGTCACCCAGGCTGGAGTGCAGTGGTGTAATCTTGGCTCGCTGCAACCTCCACATCCCAGGTTCAAGCAATTATTGTGCCTTAGCCTCCCAAGTAGCTGGGATTACAGGCATGCGCCACCATACCTGGCTAACTTTTGTATTTTTAGTACAGATGGGGTTTTGCCATGTTGGCCAGGCTGGTCTCAAACTCCTGACCTCAAGTGATCCACCCACCTTAGCCTCCCAAAGTGCTGGGATTACAAGCGTGAGCCACCATGCCTGGCCTTCCCAAAGTGTCTTAATCCCAGCTAATCATGACAAAAATATTGGACAAACCCATATTGAGGGAAACTCTGCAAAATACCTGACCACGACGCCTCAAAATTTTCAAGATCATGAAAAACAAAACCTGAGGACCTGTCACCGATGGGAGGAGTCTGAGACACAATAACTAAATGCAGTGTGGGGTCCTGGATGGGATCTTGAAACAGAAAGAGGACATTCATAGAAAAAGGAGTGAAATTTGAATAAAGTCTGGAGTTTGCTCATAGTAAAGTGCTGATAATATTTTCTTAGTTTTGACAAATATACAGTAATATGCAAGATATTGACATTAGAACTAGCTAGCGAACGAGTGCATGAGCGTTCTCTGTAGTACCTTTGCAGTTTTTCTGTAAATATGACACCAAAATTAAGTTTATTTTTTTAGAAAGACATACCAACCAATTGTAATATAGGAACTTTATTTGGATTCTGATTCAAACAATGAAACTTTTATTTATTTATTTATTTATTTATTTATTTATTTATTTATCTATTTATCTTTTGAGACAGAGTCTTGCTCTGTCACCCAGGCTGGAGAGCAGTGGTGCGTTCTCAGCTCACTGCAGCCTCCACCTCCTGGGGTTCAAGCGATCCTCCCACCTCAGCTTCCCTAGTAGCTGGGACCACAGGCACACACTACCACCCCTGCCTACTTTTTGTATTTAGTAGAGACAGGGTTTACCATGTCGCCCAAGTTGGTCTTGAACTCCTGAGTTCAAACGATCCTCCTGCCTCAGCATCCCAAAGTGCTGGCATTACAGTCATGAGCCACCATGCCTGGCCTAAAATATTTTAAAAATAACATTGATAAGACAATTGGAAACCTCACAGTGACTGGACATTAAATGTGATTAAGGAGTCATGATTCATTCATTTGTAGGTGTGACAATGGCATTGTAGTTATGCTTTTTAAAAAGAGTACATATGAGGTTCCTCGAAGCATTAAGCATGGAATTATCATATGATCCAGCAATTCTACTCTGGGTATATACACAAAAGAACTGAAAACGGCATCTTGAAGAGATATTTGTACAACCATGGTTCAGAGCAGCATTACTCACAATAACTAAAGGGTAGAAACAATCCAAGTGTCCACTGATGGATAAATGGATAAACAAATTGTGGTGTGTATGTGTATCTACACAATGGAATATTATTCAGCTTTAGGAAGGAAGGAAATTGTGACATGCGACAACATGGATGGATCTGGAGGACCTTATGCTAAGTGAAGTAAGCCAGTCTCAAATGGACAAATATACAATTCCATTTACTACCTAGAATAGGCAAATTCATAGAGACAGAAAGTAGAGGCTGGGCGCAGCGGCTCACCCCTGTAATCCCAGCACTTTGGGAGGCCAAGGTGGGTGGATCATGAGGTCAGGAGATTGAGACTATCCAGGCTAACACGGTGAAACCCCATCTCTACTAAAAATATAAAAAATTAGCCGGCCATGGTGGCAGGCGCCTGTAGTCCCAGCTACTCTGGAGGCTGAGGCAGGAGAATGGCATGAACCCGGGAGGCAGAGCTTGCAGTGAGCCGAGATCGCACCACTGCACTCCAGCCTGGGAAACAGAGCGAGACTCCATTTCAAAAAAAAAAAAAAAGAAAGTAGAGTGGTGGATGACAGGGGCTGGAGGGAAGCAAGGAAGGGGAGTTATAGTTTAATGGTTGCAGAGTTTCAGTTCGGGAAGAAGGGAAAGCTCTGGAGATGGATGGTGGTGACAGCTGCAAGACAATATGAATGTACTAATGCCACTAAACTGCACACTTAAAAATGGTTAAAATGGCAAATGTTATGTTATATACATATTCTACCACAATTTTTAAAAAGGGGGTCAGGCACACACCTGGCTAATTTTTAAAATTTATTTGTAGAGACAGGATCTCACTATGTTGCCCAGGCTGGTCTCAAATTCCTAACATCAAGCTATCCTCCTGCCTCAGCCTCCCAAAGTGCTAGGATTATAGGCACAAGCCAGAGCATTCAGCCAGGAACCAAGATTTTTCAGAAAGGAAAGCTCATGAACTATTGGATGGACACCTGGCTTCTGCTCTGAAGGTCACCTGCTATTTGACTCAACTGTGTCACCCTTTCCAGGCCTGCGTCCATCAGGGAGATGTCAACCAGATGAGCTCCAAGTCCTCCTGCTCAACAATGATGTGACTCAATTCCCTCTCCAGGGGGAGGAAAATCCCTGAGAGCACGACTAAAGCTCTTTTCCTCCCAGATTTCAAGGAAACACACAGAAAAGAAAGAAGCAAGGCTGGCAAGCAGAGGCCTGACATGGGGATGGATCATATCCGAGGGTGATGCAGACTCCAGGGATGGGCAGGGTATGGCTCTCTCTACCCTGTGGGCAAGTGACTTACTGAGAGCTGGTTGCACAAGCTTAAGAAAGGAGTAGACATCTATACTCTTCCTCTCTTTTTGCCCCTGGGCATTTCAACTTGATATCTTAGATGGTACAGTTTGAGGAGGTGATGGTGCATGGATCCCAGGCCTCTGGTCGCTTTGGGGTGACCTCAGAAGGTGCTCAGCTACCTGCTGCCGAGTTCCTGAGTCATGCAGAACTGAGTTCATTCAGACTCCATCCGTGGCGGCATGACTAGCTGCTCTGCAAGGATTGTTGTTATTTGTCTTACTCATTCTAAGACTGAAATTATACCAAGTGGTTAACGTTGGGCAAATTACTTGGCAAAGTCAGTCATTCCCAAGGAACTTCTATCTCATCCTGAGACAATGGCAAACTCTTCTGTTTTGAGGCTCACAAAGAAGCTCTGCTCAAACTGTGAATGGGAAGTTTTCTCCCTCAAACAGTAGTTGACATTGACAGTGACACTAAGAGCTATTTGTGCACTGAAAGAATCTCAACTTTATTAACTTGCTTAATCACCGGAAAGGAAAGTTTCGGAGAAGTTACCTGATTTGGACAGATGTTCTGTCCATCCTCTGTTCAAACTGGATAAAGTCCTGGCCCACCGGACTCTGGCCCATCCTACAAGGCAAGGGAGGCTGCTAGACACCCAACATGGCCACAATGACTGCATTCGACCAGGGGCCCTACCCCCTCTTTAAAATGAGCTGTGCATTCATCTTTTCAGGGTCACAAGTTTCAAAGAGCTCCCTGGGCTCAGTGGCCCAGTTGGTGGGGTAATCCACACATCCTTGGCTAATGAGTTCATTCATTCCCCAACTATTTGTTAAGCATTTACTCAATCCTTATCTTCAGCTCCAGAAATATAAAGATGAATAAAACAGACACAGCTTCCTGCCTTGAGGAGCTGACACTTTCAGATTTGAATGAGACTATGAAGAAATTTGTCTGTAGCATTCTCTTTCCAGAACTCTGCACTCCACTTCCATAGCTTACCTCCCCACCAAGCTAATACCCACTCCTTTCATCCCTTGCTCACAACACAGGCAATCTCAGCTAACTTTACTGTGCATTTACTATGTGCCAAGCACTGTGCTAAATGTGTTACATATATTACCTCATTAATCTTTACAACACCCGATTCATGGACCCAGTTCATGGATGAGGAAAGTGAGGCACATGTAGGTGAAAGGAGTTGGCACAAGCCAGTAAAGTTGCAGAGGCAGTATTTGTATTTGTTTTTGTTTTTGTTTGAGATGGAGTCTCGCTTTGTCACCCAGGCTGGAGTGCAGTGGTGCAATCTCAGCTCACCACAACCTCCACCTCCCGGGTTTAGGTGATTCTCCTGCCTCATCCTCCTGAGTAGCTGGGACTACAGGATCATACCACCATGCCTGGCTAATTTTTGTATTTTTAGTAGAGACGGGGTTTCACCGTGTTGGCCAGGCTGGTCTTGAACTCCTGATCTTAGGTGATCTGCTTGCCTCAGCCTCCCAAATTGCTGGGATTACAGGCGTGAGCCACCGCACCCGGCAAGAGACAGTATTTGAATCCAGGACATCTGACTGCAGAATGCACATTCATAGTCGCTGAGCCATTCCATCTTACCCACTTAGGTCAAGTCCTTTATTTGCAGTGAATCACATGGGTTTGCTCTCCCTTCCATTTTCCATAGCAGCAGAAAAATCTCCTAAGCCTGCCTTAGGATGGGGTTCAGGCACAAGTGACTGGAAGCTTAAAAAAGAGACGTTTATTCTTCTTTCATGTAAAAAGCTAGGTAGGTATCCAGGGCTGGTGCAGGCTCCTTCTCTGTGCTTGTTCAGGTGTACGTGGCTCAAGGGCATTTGCAGAGCACAGGTTTGTGTCGGGGGCGGGGGGGGGGTGGTCTTAACCAAGCACCATTATTATTTGAGAATCTCATCACTAAAAGCAATGGCTCCATTTGATTTAACTCCGCCCATCTGTTCACTCAGGAGAGAAGGGTGGCTACGGAATTCAGGGCCCAGTGTAGTTGGCCATGTGTTTATGGCTTGACTCAGTCTGGATGCTGGGCTCTCTAAGTCTGGGGCACATCACCCTGGGAGTTCCTTGACTCTCCCTTGGGCTGTATCTGTACTTCATATATCTAGAGGCAAGTACACAAAGAAGCTAAGAAAGCTCCAGTGTGCTTCCCTGGTCATAGGTCTTTGTCAAATTTGCAAAGGCACGTATTCTGACTGCCAAAAAAAGCCTTCCCTCCACTTTCTTTCCATCAAACT
Source organism: Homo sapiens (assembly GCF_000001405.40). Taxonomy (NCBI): domain Eukaryota; kingdom Metazoa; phylum Chordata; class Mammalia; order Primates; family Hominidae; genus Homo; species Homo sapiens. The sequence goes on along the minus strand of NC_000003.12, from coordinate 45,152,735 downwards.
TCCCCTTATACAATGTAGCATTGATTGGCTGTGGGCATTTTGGGATCAGGCTAAAGGGATGTTAACTCAGACATACATTTATTATAATTGGGGTCTGGTGGGATATATTTATTTGATTCATGGTCACATTCATGTATAGTTAAGCCATTGCTTGTTCTCACATTGTAGTAATGGCTTCTAGGAATACTCCTCCCATCCACTGGGCTGACTCACAAGGTAAGGTGACCAGAAGGAGCAAGGCCAGAGGTGATATTACATTATGAACCTGTGCTACAGTGTCCAACACCCAGAGTATGTGCACAGTGGAGGAGGAGGAATAAAGTGAAATGTACAGATCCGGAAGAAGCTAGTCTGTGGAAAATTTTTCCAATTATCAAAGCTAAAATTTTAAGCAGAACATGCAACTCATCATGGCTTATCAAAAATGATGGGCTTTTTTTTCTGTCAGAAACAAATTGGTAATCAGCAGTATAATTTTGAATGCACTATACTATTTTGATCTTTATATTTAATAGGAATCACACAAATGGAATTTATAGGAATTTCTGTATTTGTAGGGCACAAAACTATAATGGTTCTATGGACAGTGAGTATTTCTGCATGTGAATTCACAGGTCTTACGGATCTCAACATATCAGTTGCATCTTATCTGATGCATCTTGCAAAATGACCTGGAGAATGACTTAGAGTTGAACCAGACAATTAACAGTAAAAATACTATGTTATTTTTTCTGGATTTTGGAACATTTGTGATATTTTTCCATTTGTAATTCATTGAGATTTCTTTCCTCAGTCTAAACACAGTAATCGTTTTCACACCTGATTTTCTTTTCTTTTCTTTCTCTCTCTCTCTCTTTTTTTTTTTTTTTTTTTTTTTTAGACAGGAGTCTTGCCCCGTCACCCGGGCTGGAGTGCAATGGTGCGATATCAGTTCACTGCAACCTCCGCCTCCCGGGTTCAAGCCATTCTCCTGCCTCAGCCTCCCAAGTAGCTAGGATTACAGGCATGTGCCACCATGCCTGGCTAATTTTTGTAGTTTTAGTAGAGACAGGGTTTCACTATGTTGGCCAGGCTGGTCTCGAACTCCTGACCTCAGGTGATCCGTCCACCCCTGCCTCCCAAAGTGCTGGGATTACAGGTATGAGCCACCATGCCTGGCCCCACACTTGATTTTCTATTTGCAACTTTGTATTATTTTTCTTAAGGTGATTATGTTTACCCCCCACAAACCTGTATCCACTCCTCCCTGTGTTGTAGGCATTTTTTGTTTTAATGCAACACATCTTCCAGTATTTTCTTGAGAAGAGGTATGTAGGAGGTTTGGAGGTTTTTTAAGATCTTGAACGTTTAAAAGTGCCCTTTTTCTACCTTATTGTTTAATTGGTAGTTTGGCTAGGTATAGAATTCTAATTTGGAAGTTATCTCTCTTCAGAATTTTGAAGGTATTGCTTCATTGTTTTCCAAATTCCAGTGTTGTTCTTGAGAAATCCAAAACCACTTTGATTTTTGTTATTTTCTGTGAGACCCTTTTCTTGCCTCTGGAAGCTACAGAATCTTCTTTTTTGTTGTTTGTTTGTTTCCATCACCCAGGCTGGAGTACAGTAGTGTAATCTCGGCTCACTGCAACCTCCACCTCCAGAGTTCAAGTGATTCTCGTGTCTAAGCCTCAGGAATAGTTGGGATTATAGGCGTGAGCCACCACGCCTGGCCTAGAATCTTCTTTTCGTTATTGGTTTCTGGTATTTCACCATGATGTGCCTGGACGTGAGTCTGCCTATATTATCCATTGTGCAGGGCACTCCATGACTCTTTTAATCTGGAAACTCATGTCATTCAGGCCTGGAGAATTTCTTCACTTATATTATTGATGATGTCGTCTCCTCTGTTTCATCTGCTCTCTCTTTTTAGGAAACTTATTTTTCAGATGTTGGATTTTCTGAACTGGACCTCAAATTTTCTTTACTTTTCCCTCCTACTTTTTATCTCTTTGTCTTTTTGCTTTACTTTCTGGGAGCACTTCTAACTCTTCTATTTATTTATTATTATTTTTTTTATCTACAATCACTTTTTTTCATTTCCAATAATTCTTTTGTGGTTCTCTGAATCTTTTTGTTTGTTTTGTTCTGTTTTTGAGATGGAGTTTCGCTCTTGTTGCCCAGGCTGGAGTGCAGTGGTGCAATCCTGGCTCACTGCAACCTCTGCCTACTGGGTTCTAGTGGTTCTCCTGCCTCAGCCTCCTGAGTAGCTGGGATTACAGGCACACACCACCACGCCTGGCTAATTTTTTGTATTTTTAGTAGAGACAGGGTTTCTCCATGTTGGTCAGGTCGGTCTCAAACTCCCAACCTTAGGTGATCCACCCGCCTCAGCCTCCCAAAGTGCTGGGATTACAGGTGTGAGCCACCACACCCGGCCTTGTTTTGTTTTTTATAACATGCTGTTCCTGCTTCACAGAGAGAATGTTGTCTGACACCAAATTATAGTTGCCTACATCACTCTAAGAGAGTTAGTAATTTTTTTGTTTTGCTTCCTTTTATTTTCTTCTCTTTGTATAGTCTTTCAGGTTGCTTCTTTCTTTCTTTCTTTCTTTCTTTCTTTCTTTCTTTTTTCTCGGTTTGGTTACTTGGTTGGCTTTGACTCTAATATGTTAGAAGCTCTCCTCAGATATCCTGAAATCCTGATTGCTCATGTTTAAAAGTGAGATATTGGCCAGGCACAGTGGCTCACGCCTGTAATCCCAGCACTATGGGAGGTTGAGGTGGGTGGATCACATGAGGTCAGGAGTTCGAGACCAGCCTGGCCAACATGGTGAAACCTCATCTCTACTAAAAATACAAAACTTAGCCAGGCGTGGTGGTGTGCAACTGTAGTCCCAGCTACTTGGGAGGCTGAGGCAGGAGAATCGCTTGAACCCGGGAGGCAGAGGTTGCAGTGAGCCGAGATCGCGCCATTGCACTCCAGCCTGGGTGACAGAGCGAGACTCCATCTCAAAAAAAATAAATAAATAAAAATTAAAATTAAAATGAGATATTAAAAAGCTAAGTTGGTGGGGCTTAATTGAAAGCCTCATGGTAGGAAGCTGGTTGGCCTGTTTATGAGGGTCTAATGTCCATATGTTTGGGTCTTTCCTCCTGTGCTGGTCAGACTCCCCAGAAGAAGACTTTTTCCATCCCCAATATGGATAACAAAGCCTTTTTGTCTCATCCTTGGATGCAGGTTGGGGCCAGACAGCTGGGGATCTCAGCATTCAGAATGCATATCTTCCCTTTATTTACCTACTTTTACAATGTTTCCTATGCTTTCAGCTATGCCTGGCATCCCTCAGCCCACATCCCTAGGTTTTAATCTCTCCAGAAGACAACACTAAAGTTGTTAAGCTTACCAACCCTCTAACTTGTCAAGATCTAAAGATCGATAATATAGGCAGACTCACATCAAGGCACATTATGGTGAAATTTCAGAAACCAATGAACAAAAAGAAGATTCTACAGCTTTAGAGGCAAGAAAAGGGTCTCAAAGAAAATAATAAAAATGAGAATGGTTTTGGATTTCTCAAGAACAACACTGGAAGCTGGACGAGGGACTGTTGCCCAGGCAAGGGTAATGATGGATGGGTTCTGGGATCTAACCACAGTACTTCTCAAACAGCTTTCTTCTAGCCTTTCTTGTTTAACTCCTCTTTCACCCTCCAGTTGCAGAATACCTTGTGCTGCCATTTCCTGAGGATCTTTTTTGAGGATTTCTGTGTTAATCGTGTTATTTCTGAGTTTTCCCCACTACTGGCTTAGGGTTCTGCCATCTCCAGGCTCCTAAGGCAGCTACCACTAGTCCAGCTGCTGTCTAGCTTCCAGGGTGATTTTGCTGTTGTCTTCTCTCTGTTCTTCCCACCTTTGTGGGCTTATGTAATTTTTTTTAATCCCTGTTTTACAGCCTTTGCAGGGTTTCAGAAGAGGTCAAAATTAGATGGGACAGTCTGTTTTAAGACTCACCTTCCTTTTTTTTTTTTTTCTTTTTTTAGAGAGAGAACTTTACTCTGTCGCCCAGGCTGGAGTGGAATGGTGCAATCTTAGCTCACTGCAACCTCCACCTCCCAGGTTCAAGCAATTCTCCTGTCTCAGCCTCCTGGGTAGCTGGGACTACAGGCGCCCGCCACCACAGCCGGCTAATTTTTGTGTTTTTAGTAGAGATGAGGTTTTGCCATGTTGGCCAGGCTGGTCTCCAACTCCTGACCTCAAGTTATCCACCCACCTTGTCCTCCCAAAGTGCTGGGATTACAGGCATGAGCTACTGCACCCAGCCGAAAATTTACCTTTCAATCTCTCATTTCTCTCTAGCACTAGATTATAGTTACCTACGTTGCTTTCCAGTTCAGAAATAACCTTTTAAAATTTACTCCTTCCATTCAGCCATGTTTGTAAAGACAAAACATGTCCATTCTTGGCAATGCTTTGTTCACACTCCACTTGGAGGACCAGGACAGTATGTCAGGACATCTTTACTTCAACTATGTAGTTGGGTTGTCACGCAAAGGATGCTGAAGTGCCTCCCTATTTTCTTCTTTCTCGTTGCTGCTACTTTCTGGAACCACCACCAATGCTTCATATTTGGGAATTAGTGACTCTCATTCCATTTTCAGAAAGCTGGTGTCAACTATCCCAAGAAAGACAGTTAAGCAAACTTTGGAGAGACGAAATAGTAAGGAAATAACTTGTTCCTTAGGCTTAACTTGTCAAGCAATATTTCTGATATTTTGCATTCAATACACTGCCATTCTAGTACTGTTGTGGGTATTACTGTATGTGGGAAACAATGGTGTCATGGATGTTAGGAAAAGATGCTGGGATATATATGCCTGCTTAGAATCAGGAGAAAAGACAAATCTCCTTTCACCCTCCTGGTCAGCATAAATATTTTTAAAGATTGTTTAGATTTTTGTCAAGATTTCTTTCTCTTGATGAATTTGTCCTCGATTCAGTGGGGAGAACCAAGAGCCTCTCTTCGTTTCTCATCCTCTCCCTTCCCTCTAGTTCTCAGTTTTCCCATTTTTCTGCACAAGGACAGAAGTGGACTAGAAGATTACATCTAAGGTCCCGTTTAGCTCACGATACAGGCCCTCCCAGAGGTGGGGGTGTGGGCAGGGTCATGTTCCAAGTTCTGCCTCCCTCGATGGACTGTGGGCTCCCAGAGGGCAGAGCTAGCTCTATTCTCATGATTAAGGACATCGAGAAGGAAGGGGTGACGCTCCTAGGAGATGATTTCCCACCCCTGTCCACAAGGAGGATTGGGGCAGCCTGGAGAGGCTCAGTGCCCGCAAGAATTAAGCAGAAGTTGGGACTGGACTGTAAACTGATGCTGTCGCACATGCTTTGGTTCCTGTCCCAAGCCTCCCAGGTTGCTCCGGGTGACTCTGGCCCAGCTTCTGGCTATCCATGAACACAAGTAGTCCCAGGGAGTCATTCTGGCAGAACCCAGGTCTGCTAGCTAAGAACTCCTGAACCATCCGCAATCTCTGCCTGTGGCCTGGACTTGGTGTATGGCCGGCAGGGTGGAAGGAGAACCCACAGGGCCTCTGAAGACAGGCAGGTGGCACACCTGCGGCTGGGAGGATTTGGAAAAGGAGTCCAGCGCCATTCATTTTTCATTCATTTTCCAGCCCAACGTTTGACCTGAATGCTTCACGCTCACACTGCACACACTACTCCATTTATAATACAACTCGAGAAGGGCACATACTACTCCATCCACAGCTCAGTGAAGGGATGCATACTACTCTACTCACAATTCAACGAAGTGGTGCATCTGCCTCTAATTTACTAGCTACCCTGGGGACCTTGGACACGTTGCGTGTCTGGAAATACTGCAGGTGATGTGTGTGGAGTAGGCTGCAGGCTCACCGTCCTGCAAATACTAGCTGTACCACCACCGGCTTTAAAGTCCAACAGACCTCTGGCCCAAGTCAAGTAGCAGAGGATCCAGGGCTTGGGTGGCCCACAAATAGGATTCTTCTCCAAAACGAGGCGCATAATGGCCTTTGTCTCCTCGACAGAAAAGGGAAGGTAGACTGGCTTCCTCTATGGGCGACCTTCGCGACTCTGGAGAAAAAGACCTCATCATTCTCAGACTTGGGAAGGAAGACTAAGCCCGGAAAGGTGGGGACAAGTCCGCTCCAACGCCGCAATGGGGAGTAGTAGGGACCCAGCAACCCGGTGCCGGGAGCCCTGCACCCTGGGAGGGAGAGGCGGTCGCTGAGGCAGGAAGAGGAGGAGGAGAGAGAGGAGGGACGCACCGGGTCAGCTCGCGATCCTGCTGCGCAGGGCGGGGCTCGGGCCGGTCCGCCCGCGCGCAGGTGAGTGAGCCAGGGCGGAGCGCAGCTGCGCCGGGCTTGGGCGCCTGGGGCCGCCGCTCCCCACCGTCGTTTTCCCCACCGAGGCCGAGGCGTCCCGGAGTCATGGCCGGCCTGAACTGCGGGGTCTCTATCGCACTGCTAGGGGTTCTGCTGCTGGGTGCGGCGCGCCTGCCGCGCGGGGCAGGTGAGTGCCGGGCTTTGGAGGCGGATGGCGTGGAGTGGTGAGCTAGCCAGCCAGCGGACGCCCGGCGGAGATGCGGCCGAGGGACGCAGGGTGCGGAGGGTGCGGAGGGTGCGGAGAGAGGGCGGGGACGGCGTAGTCAAAATGCGCGGGTGGCTCCGGGACCCCCGGACTGTTCGGTTCCTGCGCGCGCCGCGTCGGGCGCGTGGGCCTTGCCCTCCTGGAGTCAACCTTGCCCTCGGCACGTGAGAGTGTCCCCGATCGGGGAGCCTCCCGGTCCGGGAGGATGAGCCCGGTGCTGGCCGAGAAGGCGGGAAAAGGAGCTCCCGGTAGCCGATCCCAGGCGACATGTCCAAGGTGGCGCGCCGTGCGCCCCAGGGTCTTTGCCGGGATTCTTGAAAGCACCCAGGCAGGGTGTGGGAAGAGATCTTTCCTCTCCAGGCTCGCCCTCTACCTCCTCGCCTGGTCCAGAGAGAAGGTGCAAAAAAAGTGCTTTCACGTCCGCATTTCCCACTAGATCCCCTTTTTCCCGTCCGCACGCTGCATTCCCCCTCTCCTAAAGTTGAAGAGCGTTGGTGCAAAAATGAAAGCGCCCGGATTTCTTTTAGGGGGTCCCAGAGAAAGCCGCCAGGCATCTGCGCCACCGCAGAGACTGGACATTCCCGCGCCCCTCGCACTTTTTGGCAGTGGACTTTGAGGGCAGGAGGCTGTTGTTCCGGGGATATGTGTGAATTTCGAGTTGTTTCGGTTGGGGGAAGGGACCAACACGTCCCAGTGACCTGTGCCAGCCAGGAAATGCCCTGTGGGCCCTGGATGTATTAGAACGTAGTAAATAACCTGGTTTCTTCATGTAAGAACTTGATGTGAGGCTAGTACAGGTTTCGCGAGATTAGTACAGGTTTTGTGTTTTTTAAATAGAGCTCTCCAGGAAGCCATGTGGGTTTGATTCCCCTTGCTGCATCTAGGGTGGATTTGTGTTTGGCAGGTGTAAATTAGATAAAGGAATAAAAGGACGCAAGTGAGGTTGAATTTGGGCGTCCCGGTGACTGCCGTCTTTACAAATACAAGACAGGAGCTTCTAAAATATCAATATAAGCTCCAGGAATACTTCCTGGTTCATTCTCCAACATCAGGTGACATATTGCTGCATAGTAGATAGAAAATTTAAAACTTCATTTAAACCATGGCATGGATTTATAAATATATATATAAATTATATATATTAAAGTAGAGACAGGGTTTCACTGTGTTGCCCAGGCTGGTCTCGAGCTCCTGAGCTCAAGTGATCCTCCCACCTGGGCCTCCCAAAGTGCTGGGATTACAGATGTGAGCCACTGTGCCTGGCTGATGAATATTTACTATAATTTCTTAGGACTGAATTTCCAAGATTCCCTTTGAAGAAAAAGAATTAGTTTAAGAATAAAAAGGAAGTGAAAATATGTGTATATGTGTGCTGAGAAAAATGCGTGCCTACCAGTCTTGGAACAGTATTGAAACTCTGGGAATTATCTGAGATGTTTTTGGCTTTCTGTGACAACAGTGGGGAACTCTTCCAGTCAGAACAGGGTGTTAATCAAGGCATTGCTAATAATGAGAGCCTCTGTTCCTGGTCTCATTTCTCCCTGTGATCTGGGAAGGCTGCCATTTTGGTCCAGTAACTCCAATGGAGTCCCTTCCAGGAAGTCCTTGACTGGCTGAGCCCTGTCTCATGGTTCAATACATAAATACGTAGAAACCTAGGAACTTTCCCTTTCGCTTTCTTAAGTTCCTCCCTATGGTCTCAGGAACTGGCCCTTTGAGGGTACATCAGGCTGAACTGAGAGCTTTTGTGGTTGGAGTAGTTGCCTGTAGTCTTGAGGATCTAAGTGGCAAAGGCCTTTGAGAAATTCCTGGAGACTGTCCTGAAAGGATACAGAAAGCCAGAGCCCTGGCACAGTGGATTTGTTTTATAAATCCATGAAGTCTCTTAACAAAGAAAGACTCAGCAGAGTAAAAATGAATTTGGTGTCACTGCAGAGATGAAAAGTAAAGGAAAGTTTGTGTCTTGGTGTCGTGTGTTTGTGTGACTTTGGTATCCCCACCAACTCCCCCATTTCCAAGAGTGAAACACTGGTTACATTGGGATCATAGCCTTTTGAAAACCTCCATTTGGTTGCTTTCTAAGAACCACTCAGATACCAGAGTCTGGGTCAGTGACCCCAATCTTGCCACCATTGTCTCTTGCCAAAAATGTGAGCAGACAGATCAAATGATATATTCACACTCCCTGGGTGAGTGTGGGTGTTCATTCTGTTTCCGATTCAAATGAGGAGCTACTGGCTGTTGTCTGGAATGTGTAACTGGTAGCGCTGATGAGTCTCCCCCATCTCCTCCCCCACATCCCCACAGATTTGCATGACTTGGAGTCAGACCTGTTAGCCCTAGGGCTCACCTCAGATGCTGCCATTTCATCTATGATGGTTGCACGCCTTGCATGTGCACACACACACTCTTCTGGGTGTTCTCCCTGGCTATCAATATGGGGGAAGGAAGTTAATAATTAAGATGTTTTAAGTAGCATATAGTTATTGTAGAAAAAGTGGCAATAAATATAACCAAAATGGAAAAAAATTATCTATAAGCAAACTGCCTTATTCACTTTGATGCAGTCTTCTTAATGTGTATGTATGCACGCTCATGTGCACAAACCAAAAATGGGATCATCCCATTGTATGGCTTTAACCAGTCCCCAGTTGTTGGACATTTAAGTTGCTTCCAGTTTTTCTTATTAAAAATAGAACACGTCCAACAATAGCCAGCTGCTTGTATCAATTTTAATAGGTCTATTCAGTGAAAAGGCACTTGAAATTACATAGCACAGACTAGAAAATGACATGAAAGGATGAACCATTATCCTCATGTTGCCAAGGTTATAAAATGGTATCAACTGGATTATCCCATTTTGATGTATCTAAGAATGTGTTCTTCAGCTGTGTTGTTCTGCACACTCTTTTTTTAAATTTTTGAGACAGAGTTTCACTCTTATTGCCCAAGCTGGAGTGCAATGGCGCGATCTCGGCTCACTGCAACCTCCGTCTCCCAGGTTCAAGCTATTCTCCTACCTCAGCCTCCTGAGTAGCTGGGATTACAGGTGTGCACCACCACACCCAGCTAATTTTTTGTATTTTTAGTAGAAACGGGGTTTCACCATATTAGCCAGGCTCGTCTCAAACTCCTGACCTCAGGTGATCTGCCCGCCTCGGCCTCCTGAAGTGCTGGGATTACAGGCGTGAGCCACCGCGCCCATGTTCTGAACATTCTTAACTATTTTGTCCAGCTACAGTTCTGGAAGCAGAGTTGCTGGGATGAAGAGTAGAGAGGCTCTTAGGGCTTTGGACGCGCATTTCCACGTTCTGGAAGCAGAGTTGCTGGGATGAAGAGTAGAGAGGTTCTTAGGTCTTTGCACGCGTATTTCCGTGTTCTGGAAGCAGAGTTGCTGGGATGAAGAGTAGAGAGGCTCTTAGGGCTTTAGTTGCGTATTTCCATGTTCTGGAAGCAGAATTGCTGGGATGAAGAGTAGAGAGGTTCTTAGGGCTTTGGATGCGTCTTTCCATGTCACCTGTGGAGAGCCTGTCCTGGTGTGCTTTCCAGCCATCAGTGTGTTAGTGCTTGTTTCTCACATTCTCCCAGGCTCTCCTCACTGTTGTTTCACCAGCATCTATGGAAGAAGCATTTTCCTCCCTCCAATTTGGCAAATAGAATCTGGACAGTGTTGCTGGGCAGACTCAAGAGTCTTAGAAGCACCACCCCAGCTGGATGGTACTAATAGCTCACCAGTGCTTTTTTGCCAAAAGAAAACAGAACTGGGTCCCTTGGCTTATAACACAAGCCTCACCTGCGTTTTTGCCTAGCGGTGCTGACCTGGGTTTGGATGGGATAGGATGAGGTGGGGAGTGGGTAGGGAGAGGAGTCTGCTGGTCAGAAAGACCCCTGATTGAGGTCAGGGTGGGTGGGACAGTGGGAGATGATAAGACCACTGATGTGGGGGACCAGTGGCTAGGGTTCTCTGCCTTGGTGGTTAAGAAAAGTTTATACCGAGCCAGGCGCAGTGGCTCACGCCTGTAATCCCAACACTTTGGGATGCTGAGGGGGGCAGATCACATGAGGTTAGGAGTTCAAGACCAGCCCGGCCAACATGGCAAAACACCGTCTGTACTAAAAAATACAAAAATTAGCCAAACATGGTGGTACACACCTGTAATCCCAGCTACGCAGGATGCTGAGGCTTGAGAATCGCTTGAACCCGGGGGGCAGAGGTTGGAGTAAGCCTAGATCATGACACTGCACTCCAGCCTAAGTGACAGAACAAGACTTTGTCTCAAAAAAAAAAGAAAAGTTTATACCCCTTAATTATCATTCTAAATTATAAAAATTATGCCATAATCAAATTATTTCAAACCACTTCCCACAACCTTGTAATTTTCATCTCCCGGGCAGCTGGCGCATTCTAGACAACCAGGTAAGGAGATCCAGGCTCCTTCCCTCGCCCCTTTGTAGCCTTGGGTTTGTATCTGGTCCATCAGTCTTTAAAAGTATTAACTACTATTGCTGCTTGTAATAGCCAACACATTTGCTGTGCCAGCCACTCCTCTGAGGATTTTACAAATAAGCATCTTCTGATTAACATCAGTAATCCATTCCTGAAAACCAGACATTCTGTATGAAAACACTAAGCAACGCTATACATCCCATTATTTTATGTGGGAAAAAGTATAACAATCCACTGCACAGCGATGCAAAACCTCTAACAGTTTCTGAAAGTGTGATGAAAAACAGGAAGATACCTGTGTATAATTAACCAATCCTGTTAAGCATAAAGTGCATAAGACATCACTTGAGGACTACCAAACCATTTACATGGTTGTTTGCAAACAGTTGCTTTGTGTGCAGTAATGTAGGGCACCTCCCTTTGTTGACATTTTTGACACTTGGGGTGTCCTCACTTGATCCTGACATTCTTTTTTTTTTTGAGACGGAGTCTTACTCTGTTGCCCAGGCTGGAATGCAGTGGCATGATCTTGGCTCACTGCAACCCCCACCTCCTGGGTTCAAGTGATTCTCATGCCTCAGCCTCCCAAGTAGCTGGAATTACAGGCGTGCACAACCATGCCCAGCTAATTTTTGTATTTTTAGTAGAGGTGGGGTTTCACCATGTTGGCCAGGCTGGCCTCAAACTCCTGGCCTCAAGCAATCCACCCACCTCGCTCTGCCAAAGTGCTGGAATTATAGGCGTGAGCCACCACGCCCAGCCAGATCCTGACATTCTTGATCCTAGTGTATTTGGAATATAAGTAAAGACTTTCTGCACATAATTTTGTTTAAAATGTGTTGAGGTTGGAGATGTAAATATACACATTTCTGAAATAGACCTTGGCCAAAAATAACTTTCATAGATGAAACATAAGTTCTACAGTGTTCAATGATAAAAATGAAGCTATTTTCTCCTGAGAAAATGTAAATGGGAGAGGTGGTCTTGAGTAGGTCTGCGTGTCATTTAATTCTCCGTCCTCAAACAATTGCTCTTACTAACTTCCTGTTAGTAGGCACAGAGAGGTGACGTGACTTGCCAGGGCTCCCTAGCTGGTATGTAATGATGCTGAGCTGGCAGCCCCAGGAGTATGACTCCAGAACCCAGCTCGGTCATAGGACTGCAAGGCCAGTAAATGCCTCCCCTCAGGGTGGGAATATGCTTAAATAATAAATCTGAGAACGTCTTGAAAAGAAAATTAAAACTGTTCCCTGAGCACAGATGGCGTAGCTTTCTTTAAGTTTTAAATGAAGTGCAAATGATCCTACCCTCAATGACAGGAGATCAAAGGGTTCCGGGAGAAATGTGCCAAATGCAAAAATGTACAAGGTGACAATCTGCTGCCTTTGTCTGGGTAAATACAGTCTCCAGAAATGAGTTTTATCAACTCCCTGAGTCCAAAGATTATATAGAGTTGAAGTCGGGCTGTTGTCTTTATTTTGGGTCTGCCTACTTCCTTGGCATCTGCCATGTCACAAAACCCTTGGAGCCATGAGAGGGCTTCTTCAATTCTTGGCAATGTGTGGTCCAGCTGGGAGCTGAGCTAGAATGGTGTACATCCAGGCATATGCCATATGCATCCAAAGAGATGCCTTCTGTTACTGATCTGGAGGCGGGAACATCTGGCCATTTCAAACAAGGAAGTTTGGCTAAAACAATGTTTAACCCCGAGAACAGCTTAGAGCAGACAAGCAGTTTCTGGGACATCACAGAGAATGCAGAGGTGGTAAGATGAAGCCCCTGAGTTTGAAGGACTCACGGCATCTCTTGGACACAGGTAGACAGTCAACTCCTACAGAGTGGCCACCAGCCACAGTGGAGAGGTACACACCAAGAACCAAACAACATAATGAGATGAGTTATTACACACTGCTGCTCATACTGGAACTCTGTGCTCTGCTGGAGTCTGCCCAGGGACACTGTGTCAGGAGGGTTCAGCCTGTGTTGATGGGCTGTTTTCACATCAACTGCCCTGCTGACAAGTCTCGCTGGAGTTGCATCCTGGGCCACCCTCAAGGATACAAACACCAGGCTCTCCCGGTCACTATTGCCTCTGAGTTCTTGCTCACTGCTACATTGCCCGTGTCTTCAGACTGCACATCCCAAAGGGCTTAGCTTCCCAGCTGGAAGTTGGTGGAGGGAGGAGGGCAGAGAAATGGAAGGACTGGAGCCAAAGACCTCACTGGACTCAGAGTTGCCTTTCCAGCTTTTTGGAGACAGCCTCATTCAGACAAGCTCTGGAGTTGGTCAAAGCTTGGTTCAAATCCTGACTCCACCACTTATTAACGAGGTGAGCTGGGCAAGTTGCTTAACCTGTAGGGACAGCAGCACCCTGAGGCTGGCTGGAGGTCTGAATGAAATGATGTGTGCACTAGTCTGGCCTAGAACAAATTCCTCAGTTAGTGAGAATTTCATGACTTTGTGCTGTAGTTTGGATGATTGTTTCCTCCAAATCTCATGTTGAAATTTGATCCCCAGTGCTGGAGGTGGGGCCTAATGGGAAGTGTTGGGTCATGGGGTGGATCCCTCAGGAGTGAGTGAGTTCTTAACTCTGTTAGTTCCCTAGAGAGCTGGTTGTTAAAAAGAGCCCAGCAAGAACCCCCTGCCCTTGCTTCTTCTCTTGCTATGTGATCTCTACACACCAGATCCCCTTTGCCCTCTGCCGTGAGTGGAAGCAGCCTGAGGCCCTCACCAGATGCTCAATCTTGAACCTTTTAGCCAGCAGAATCATGAGCTAAATAAACCTCTTTTCTTTTCGGTCTTTCTTTTTCTTTTCTTTCTTCTTTTTTTTCTTTGAGATGGAGTTTTCGCTCTGTTGCCCAGGCTAGAGTACAATGGCACAATCTCAGCTCACTGCAACCTCCACCTCCTGGGAAGCAGTTCTCTTGCCTCAGCCTCCTGAGTAGTTGGGATTACAGGCGCCTGCCACCACCTCCGGCTAATTTTTGTATTTTTAGTAGAGACGAGGTTTCACCATGTCGGCCAGGCTGGTCTCGAACTCTTGACCTCAGGTGATCCACCCGCCTCGGCCTCAGCCTCCCAAAGTGCCGGGATTAAAGGAATGAGCCACCGCAACCAGCCAAACCTCTTTTCTTTATCAATTAGCCAGCTTTAGGTATTCCTTTATAGCAACACAAAACGAACTAAGACACTTTGATTATTTGAGTCAGGTCCAAGAAGAACATTTAGATATTCAATAGGCAGACAACCTGGGCCAAAATTATAGGCTATCATAGTCTGTATAACCAGGTCTCTAGTGGGAGACAGTAAGATTATTTTTGACTTTTGTTACCTACACATTGTGCTTTGGTTACTGTCCCAGTGCAGTCGACTTTGGGGACGTGTAAGGATATCTGTGGAAGAAATTCCTAGAAGTGAAGCTGCTCAGTGAAAAGCCGTATGAAGTTATTCTAAAAGACACTAGAACAAGTTTTTAAAAAATGTTCTGTGAGCAAGTGCCTGCACACACATGAATTTCCTGGTAGCCAAGGAACTGACTGGACCAGTTTTATAACAACTTAATTGTCATGCTCAGTTACATTTGAGATGGGAATGAGAACACCCCAGTGGTCTCCTGGGGATTGCAGCTATCTTCATGACCGGGTGTTATTAGCCAAGACTGGGCTGCAGTTTGCCAGTCTGTGAAACTAGAGCTAGATCTCCATGGAGGGAAACCTGGCAGGGCCCTGGCCTTTAATCCCTGCTGAGAGATGGAGGATTACTCTGGAACTGGCTTGGAAGTTTCTGACAGTCTTATCAGGTACTTCAGCCTTGGGCTACATCTGTCAGAGCTAAGTCCTTATCTTCACGGAACATAGAAGACTTTTTTTTTTTTTTTCTGTTGCCCAGGCTGGAGTGCAGTGGCATGATCTCGACTCACTGCAGCCTCTGCCTCCCAGGTTCCGGCAATTCTGCTACCTCAGCCTCCCATGTACCTGGGATTACAGGCACGTGCCACCATGCCTGGCTAATTTTTTTTTTTTTTTTTTGTATTTTTAATAGAGATGGGGTTTCACCATGTTGGCCAGGCTGGTCTTGAACTCCTGATCTCAGGTGATCTGCCCACCTTGGCCTCCCAAAGTGCTGGGATTACAGGTATGAACCACTGCACCCAGCCTAGCAGACATTTTTCAAGTTGTAAACAATGCTTGGATCATCTTGCAGAAGCCCACCACAACCCGAATGGTGCCAAACCCTCAACATAACTTCTTCTAGCCTCACTGGCCTCTGCCTCTATGGGAAATACAACTCAAGTTCCAGGCAGGAACCTGGAATACTGGTGGGAAGGTATGTCCCACTGGCATCTTCCCCTCCTTGCCCTAGTTGCTAGAGACTGGAAACAACCCAAATGCTCATCATTAGAATGTGGAGAGAAAAACACAAGGATCAGAACAGTACATATGGCATGCAACCTTTTGGCAAAATAAAATGAAATAGGGATGGTATATAAATACACACTTGCATATTCATAGATTACTTCTGGAATAGTGCACAAATACTGGTAATAGTGGTTGCCTATGGGAACAGAACCAGATTCAAGGGTAGGAGAACGACTTTTTACATTTTGTTTTACTTTATTGTGTGCTTCATATATTATTTATCTAAATGTAAAAATATTTTTCAGCTCTACTGAGATATAATGTACATACCATCAAATTCACCAGTATCAATTGTATAATTCAATGGGTCCTGTCAAATGCATGGTATAACATTTCCATCACCCTGCGAAGTTCCTCCAGATTCCTTTGTAATAAATCCATACCTCTTAGCCCCTGGCAACCACTGATTTGCCTTCTGTCACCGTAGTTTTGCCTCTAAGATATTTTAAAAATAAAAACAATTTAAAGCCAGGTATGAATATAGCCCTTACTATTTTTGTTGCATTAAAACAAATTTCTCAAGTATAGACCCCGTCTTCAAAAAAGCCTAAAGTTACTTCCTGCAAGAATGTGGTTGTGTAGAAGGGATGCAGTAGAAGTGTTAAGTTGCTAGGAACTGAGGAGTTGATGACCAAAAAACTGACTTCTCGACTTGGAGCAGCTTTTCATGAAGAGCAACTTGCTGTGATTTGTTTTGTTTTGTTTTTTCCCTATCTACTTTTAGGGCCTAGCACTGAGCAGGCCTAGAAAATTTGATTTATTATTTGATGGATAACTGGAGATCACCTATAAGAGCAAAGCAGAATATAGTGGAATGAGGATTAATGCTTCATCGCCCCAAATTTTCTAGCTAGTTTTGTTCCCATCCTCCTCCTTCTTCCTTAGCAATAGCTCTTAGCAGTAGGGCTAACTTCTACTGTAAGGAAGGAATATGGTTCATGAAAAGGAAAGTACTTTGACCCACAGTCTCTCTCCCTGTCAGGAAGAACCATCTGCTTTTTTTTCTTCCACCCACCCACACAATGTGCTTTGGAGCCAGGCTTCTTAAAACCCCCAACTCAGCATTCTTGGTTCCTTAACTTAGTTTTTCACATCCCTGAATTCTCAGAAGGTCTTGAAAAGATCTAGCCCAGTCCAAGGTCATTTTGATAACAAATTCTGTTCATTCTGTAGATATTGGCGACCCCTTGTGCATCTAGCTCTGTGTGCCCTTATCTCTTGCTCTCCAAGGACTCACCATCTGGAAGGGATTGAAACATGTAAACCAGGGGCTACAAATTGATGGCCTAGGGGTTTTGGCCTAGTTCCTTTTTGTATGTTTTGAAAAAACCTAAATTACAAAGTATTTGATAGAGCTTGCACCCTCTAATTCAACGAAGACCCTCTTCCCTATGTTGCCTTTCATATTTGGGTTTGCAACAATTTCCAGTGTAATAAGTAAAGCAAGAGATGTAGGTATAAGAATTGCAGTATAAGCTTCTACAGGCAAGACAAGAGAAAGAGGAGGACAAAATATTCTCCTGGTGCCTGAGGTCTGTGGGACATCATTAACAAAACCCCGAGTTTGGCCCTGGAGCAGAAGTATAGCTCTGTTATTAATTACCAATAACCCCACAATGTTTATTTTTATATTTAAAATGGCATTTCCCACCATCTCTGAAATGACAACTTGCTAAGTGATCCACTGTCTGGAAAGACGCAATTCAGAGTTAATCCTTCAATATCTGATTTCTAACTGGAGATCACCTACAAGAGCAAGCAGAATATAGTCTAATGAGGATTAAATTCTTGATTACTCCAAATTTTCTAGCTTGGGTTTTGTTCGAAGCCTCCTTTTCCTCCCTTGACAATAGCTGTTAGCAGTAGGGCCAACTTCTACTGTAAGGAAGGAATGCAGAAAGTGCTCTGCCCCACAATCTCTCTCCCTTTCAGGAAGAACCATCTGTTTTTTGTTTTTTTTTTTTTCTATCCACCCACACAATGTGCTTTGGAGCCAAGCTTCTCAAAACCCATCTCAGAATTCTTGGTGCCTCAACTTAGTTTTTCATATCCCTGAATTTTTGTATATTCATCTTAAGATCACTGGCTGGTCCCAACATTGACACTGTCTTGTTGCCAATAATGACCATCCTAGTTGATATAACGCCTTCCGTAATGACTGTCCTTGTTCTTGTAACTTCATTATGATGCCCAAACACCTTTTATAATGGCTGTCCTCGTTGACTTAACACCTTCCACATCCATACCTTTTACTGCAGTCACCCTTGTGAATGTATCTTCTACCATGACTATCCTTGTTGATATAGTATCTTCTATAATGGCCTTCCTCATTGACATAACACCTTTCAAAGGTAACCAACTTCTGATGTAGGTTATTTTGGAGAGCTGTCTGTAATGGACATCCTCATTGACATAATACCTCCTGGAAGCTGCCCTGGGCCCTCTGGGTGAGGAAGGCATGTGTCTGGCCCCAAAGATCTCCTGGAGTGTGCCACGTTGTGTTGCTGATCTGTTTATCCTGGGCTGCCTGGTTTGCTGTGGAATCATGTTATTGACCTGGCTTGTGGTCGCTTGCAAGGGCTTCATTCAGAAACCTGTTTGCCATCTCAGGCTGTGTGGTTTGCTCTCCCGTCCCCCACTTTAAGATTGCTGGACACAACAACAGCAACAACAAAAATGGTGTTAATCCCTGGTCCCTAAAACAGAAGGTTTAAACTGAGGGATGTATTTCTGGTTGGCTGCCCTGGCCTCTGGGATGGCAATACACCCACACTCCCCAGTCAAGTCCCCTGAGTGATCAAGAGGTTGGGGCTTTGCAGTTAAGAAAGAAGTAGATCTGGGCCGGGCGCGGTGGCCCGCGCCTGTAATCCCAGCACTTTGGGAGGCCAAGGCGGGGAGATCACGAGGTCAGGAGATCGAGACCATCCTGGCTAACACGGTGAAACCCCGTCTCTACTAAAAATACAAAAAATTAGCTGGGTGTGGTGGCGGGCGCCTGTAGTCTCAGCTACTCAGGAGGCTGAGGCAGGAGAATGATGTGAACCCCGGAGGCGGAGCTTGCAGTGAGCATAGATCGCACCACTGCACTGAGACTCCATCTCAAAAAAAAAAAAAGAAAGAAGTAGATCTAAGGCCTCAAAAACATGGGTTTCTCCCCTTGCTCAGTGGGGAAGCTGACATCCCAAATGGTCACTTCCTCTCACACCCTGGCTGCCGTGGGTGGGTGCTGCAATCTGTCCTTCCAGGGCAGCAAGAAAGGAGCAGGGAGTGAGTCAGCTGGTGGTCATCCTTCAGACCACAGTGAAGCAGAGGATGGATTGCTGCCAAAGTATCGGAAGTAAAGGCAGTGACGGAGGTGGTGAGGACATCGGAGATGGAGGAGGAGCAGATGCTCTTCCTGATTGATTGCCCAGGGCTTGTGATTAATGAGGAAGAGTTTGGGGGACTCAGAGGCAAGATTACAGGCCAAGGAAGGGCCCACGCTAGGGAGAGACTTCTGTCTTGGAGGGCTGCTAGCCTCTTTTTTTTTTTTTTTTTTTTTTTTTGAGACGGAGTCTCGCTCTGTCGCCCAGGCTGGAGTGCAGTGGCGCGATCTCGGCTCACTGCAAGCTCCGCCTCCCGGGTTCACGCCATTCTCCTGCCTCAGCCTCCCAAGTAGCTGGGACTACAGGCGCCCGCTACCACGCCCGGCTAATTTTTTGTATTTTTAGTAGAGACGGGGTTTCACCGTGTTAGCCAGGATGGTCTCGATCTCCTGACCTCGTGATCCGCCCGCCTCGGCCTCCCAAAGTGCTGGGATTACAGGCGTGAGCCACCATGCCCAGCCAAGAGTTCTGTATTGGTTTTCTATTGCTGCATACAAATTGCCAGAAACTTGGTGTCATAAAACAACACCTGTTAGCTCACAGTTCTGTAGGTCGGAAGTCCAGAAATGTACAGCACGGGTGGGTTCTCTGCACAAGGTCTCAAAAGGCTAAGATCAAGACGTTGTCAGGCTACATTCTCCACAGGAGCTTGTGGTGCTCTTCTGAGCATGTTGGTTGTAGCAGAATCCAGTTCTTGTGGCTGCAGGTCTGATGTCTCCCTTTCCTTGCTGGCTTTCAACCAACACTGCTCTCAGCTTTCAGAGACCACCTACATTCCTTGTCATGTGGACCCCTCCATCTTCAATACTAGCTACAGAGACTCTCCCTTATGTTGAATTCCTTTCACACATCGACTCCTTTTCTCCAGGAAAAGCCCAGCCTATTTTAAGAGTTCAACTGATTAGGCCAGAACCACCCAGGATAGTCTTTCTTTCCTAAAGTTAACAGTACCGTTCAACATGGTCTAATCAGGCGAGTGATATCCCATCCTTCCCACACTCAAGTGGAAGAGATTCTACAAGGATGTGAGTCACTGGAGGGCATCTTAGAATTCTGTCCACCACTGGGTGCCGTGGCACAGAGGCTTTGCCCCCTCTGTCGGAATGGTAATGATCATGGCCATCAATCACTCTTTGAGGGCCTGCCACATGCCTGGCTTTGCACATGTGGTCTCATTCCAATGCTTGTAAAAGCTCTGCACAGTTGATGTTTTTAGCCAAATGCTGCAGATGAGAAACTTATGGTTCAGAGAGGTCAGGTGGCTTCTAGTGGCCCAGCCAAGTGACTGAAGTGATGAGGCACAGAAGCAGGGAGTATTACACATGTGAGGTCAGGTGATGGGGGCCGCAGAACAGGTCTCTGTCTTAATAGAACCTCCTCTCCTGCTGCCTTTTGTTCCTCCCCCATGAGTGGATTTTCAAAGCTGCAGGCTGAACTAACCTAGAGCTGAACATTTTGGTAGTGAAGTGTTTCCCTACTACCACCCCACCCCGTCTCTAGTGTTATCCTTTGAGGGATGACAAATGGTAAGGTAGAAATAGCCGGATGTAACCTTCTGGAAAAGCTCATTTTAAACTGAACTTTATTTTTAGTTTAAGCAGCTCATGGCTTATGTTCAGACAAGTAAGAACGTTTTCTTTTATATGTCTTTTTTTTTTTTTTTGAGACGGAGTCTCACTGTGTCGCCAGGCTGTAGTGCAGTGGTGTGATCTCAGCTCACTGCAACCTCTGCCTCCGGGGCTCAAGTGATTCTCCTGCCTCAGCCTCCCGAGTAGCTGGGATTACAGGCATGTGCCACCACGCCTGCTAATTTTTGTATTTTTTTAAGTAGAGACAGAGTTTTACCGTGTTGGCCAGGCTGGTCTCGAACTCCTGACCTCAGATGATCCGCCTGCCCTGGCCTCCCAAAGTGCTGGGATTACAGGCATGAGCCACCACACCCAGCCTTACATGGCTCTTAATCGCCAAAAAAATGCAGTCCTGTCAGAACATTTCTCACAGGCCTGCCCGCAGCAGTGTCCCTTATTCAGTGCGTGGCCTACAGAGACCAAGGTAAGGTCTCTGAATGTAGTGGTCAATGGGCTGCATTATGTGCTAACCAGCTTTTCACTTATCAGGGAAATCCTTATTTTTCGTGACCTTTTGCCATCTTTTGAGTTTTCTAGTCATTGACATCATTTTTGTTTAAACAAGTTTCTCTCCCTCCCTTCCATAGTAATCCAGGGGATTACTGTGAATATATATGAATTTGAGGCTATGTAGTTTTAGTCAATGTTTGGTTGGCATCCAAATTAGTAATTAGCAATTAATTCTCACCTACATTATGCTAAATGAAATAAGCCAGATACAAAAGGACAAGTACTGTCTGATTCCACTTAGATTAGTAGTCAAATTCATAGAGACAAAGTAGGATGCTGGTTACCAGGGTTGAGAGGAGAGATGGGAGTTATAATTTAATGGATACAGGGTTTCTGTTTAGGATAATGAAAACATTCCAGAGGCGGATGGTGGTAATGGTTGCACAACAGTGTGAATGTGCTTAATGCTTCTGAACTACACACTTTAAAACGGTTAAAATGATAAAGTTTGTGTATGCATATTTTACTATAATAAAAAAGCAAAAAGAAATATTTGCAGGGTTTATTTATAGGTGCTTTTTTCCCTTTTCTATTTTATTGAGTTGGGTTTTTTTTTTTAACCACAATAAAAAAAATTTTTTTAAAGAAGTGAAGCATAGGTCAGGCACGATGGCATGCACCCGTCATCCCAGCATTTGGGGAGGCTAAAGCTTGAGCCTAGGAGTTCAAAACCAACCTGGGCAACATAGGAAGACCCCCGTCTCTACAAAAATGAAAACAAAAAAATTAGCCAGGCATGGTGTCATTCGCTGGTGGTCCCAGCTACTCAGGAGGCTGAGGTGGGCGGATTGCGTGAGCCCGGGAGGTCAAGGCTGCAGTGAGCTGTGATTGTGCCATTGCACTCCAGCCTGAGCAACAAAACGAGACCCTGTCACTGAAAGAAAAAAAAAATGAAGCATACCTTCCAATTCTATGGCTAGCTTTGTAAATATACTATTGGTTTCTAATGCTAGACTGTCTCTGCTAAAAAGGAAGCTCCTCCCCTTACAAGGCCCAGGGACAACACCTGTAAGCAACTCCCCTGAGCATAACTCACTGCACTTAGGGTTCAGATCATGAGGAAGGACCAACAGGTTTTTCTCCTCAATTTTCAGAGTTGTGCAAACAACAATTTGTTGTAACAAGAACCGTGAAGCCCTGCAAGAACCTAGTACCTTGAGGGCAGAGACTGAACCATCTGTGGATGAGACCTTATGCCCAGGACCTTACAGGCACAAAGATCGACTCAGAAGGGGTTTGGTGTATGTCCAGAAGGATGGCGGGAGAGGAGCTTCTCAGCATCCAAGAAAGTTTCACATAGCTAGCAATGGTTTTACTGAGTTTTAAGAATTGTTTTATTGTGGCTGGACACAGCCTCAAGCCTGTAATCCCAGCACTTTGGGAGGCCAAGGCAGGAGGATCGCTTGAGCCCAGGAGTTCAAGACCAACCTGAGCAACATAGTGATACCCTGGCTCTACAAAAATTAAAAAATTAGTCAGGTGTGGTGGCATGCGTTTGAGGTCCCAGCTATCCAGGAGACTGAGGTGGGAGGATTGCTTGAGCCTGGGAGGCCGAAGCTGCAGTGAGCCAAGATCACACCACTGCTCTGCAGCCTGGGTGACAGAATGAGACTGTGTCTCAAAAAAAAAAAAAAAGTTGTTTTATTGAGACTTAAGTACCCAAATCTTAAGCGTATAGCTGGATAATTTTTAGGTGTGTGTGTGTGTCATATTGTGTGTGTGTGTGTGTCTTGTTACCAAGATTTGGAACATTCTAGTACTGCAGAATTTTCTCTCTTACCCCTTTCTAATCACCTGCCCACCTTCCCCACCCCAGGTTCACTATTCTGACATACAAGCACAGATTGGTTTTGTCTTCTTGAACTTGATATAAATAGGATTTATATCAAGTCTTTTGTGTGTGGATTTTTGTTTAACCACCCCGCTGCTGACTTTTTGTCAGAAGAACTTGAACAACTATTTAATCTCTGATGGCAAGGTTGGACCATTGGAATGAGGTACTCTGGAGGGAATACTAAAGACACTGGAAATTCAGTAACTTCTAAACATTTAGCAGGTGAGGGAGGGGAGCTGTGGGCCTTTGCGTGTGTGTCCCTGAGTGTACATACAGATGGGTTTTTTAATCCACTCCTTTGATTTTTCTCCAGCCATCCTTGTGATCCTCAGTGACTTTCATGGTCCTCGTGACTCACACTTCAAGGTTTAACAAAATAAATCTTTTTAACATTTCATAAAATGTTAATGTGATTTAAAGTAGCCTTGTGGCATTTTAGCATCTTGTATGAATTATTTACAGTGGTCACAAGGTGAGTTATATTTGTTATTTAATTCTGCAATTCCCGTGTTCAAAGTCTGTTATTATGCAGCTTTCTTACCTCTGTGGTCCTCTTGGAAACCATTCCTTCACCGATACGGTGTGATTCAATCTGGAATTAAATGTTAATGTCCGTGTTTTGGATTGACAAGGAGCCTTAAGATGGCCTCAGTCTCAGAGGGGTTTATACGCAGATGTGTCCTTTTGCTACAGACTGTGATATAGACTGTGACCCAGACAGGGCCACCTCTCTCATATGGCATGTGTCTTTGATCATAAAAGGGAAAAATGCAACAGAAGAGTTTGGAT
Organism: Homo sapiens; assembly: GCF_000001405.40. Taxonomy (NCBI): domain Eukaryota; kingdom Metazoa; phylum Chordata; class Mammalia; order Primates; family Hominidae; genus Homo; species Homo sapiens. The sequence goes on along the minus strand of NC_000003.12, from coordinate 45,129,136 downwards.
GGTTCTGTGCAAACCTGTCACCACTTTAGAAAAATGATTCAAAGCATAAGCACTGCAGACAGTGAACTGCTAGCATTGCTTTTGAGGAATGGTTCAGTTACTTTAGAAAATAAATAACTTGGCCAGGCACAGTGTCTCACGCCTGTAATCCCAGCACTTTGGGAGGCTAAGGCAGGTGTATCACCTGAGGTCAGGAGTTCCAGACCAGTCTGGCCAATATGGTGAAACCCCGTTCTACTGAAAGTACACAGATTAGCCAGGCATGGTGGCGGGCACCTGTAATCCCAGCTACTCGGGAGGCTGAGGCAGGAGAATCACTTGAACCTGGAAGGCAGAGGTTGTGGTGAGCTGAGATTGTGCCATTGCACTCCAGCCTGGGCAACAAGAGCAAGACTCTGTCTCAAAAAAGTAAAATAAATAAAAGAAACAACTTGCATCATCACATATCATTTTCTTTCTTAAGGACCTTGAGAATTAAGAGTAGGGAGTGAATGAATGTATAAAACAGTCCCGTGTTGATAAACTGTTCCAACAAGTTGGATTGACTAAGCGTGCACATGGTTCTTTTCAACGTTGCTATTGGAACTTAATTTTACTCTCTTCTGTAATTAATCTAAGAGCTGTGGAAATAGTAGACTATTTTAATGGGAACTTTGTGTCTCTCTCACTGAGGGGGTGGGACCCTGATGTCTCTTGAGCCCTGAGGTCACTGGATATAATTCTGGAAGTTGGAGCCCGGCCTTGTTCATCTTTGTATGCCAGCACCTGGCATGACAGTAACTCATGGCAAAATGATCTTGAGAGATGTGGCCAGAGTCGGCCTTCATCAACATTTTGCAGCAAGTTGTCTCTGCACTTCCCACCTGCACTGTGCATGCCCTTGTCCTACTCCCTCGGGCCTTCTTCCCTGCCCTGACTTCCCAGTGCAGTCCTGTGTCTCAGGCCCACTGCAGGTGGGAGGTTGTGCTTGATCACTCCCCAGGTCCTTTCTTGATAACTAGGGTCTATGTCCAATCCTTCCTGGGTGTTAACTGATCACTGCAGTGTTTAATGTGGTCCTTTCCTTTGGAGAGCCTATAATGGCAGAATGGCAGGCAAGTTCTTGTAGCCACCTGTGGCACAGTATCTTCAGTTGGGAGGTGCACCTGCCGTTGGGGTTGGGGAATGGGATGGTCACCTGCCCTGCCACCCATCCCTTTCTCCAGACCTGCAACAGTAGCCTGAAAGCATTTCCTCAGCTTGGCCTGACGGCTGTACCTTGCCCCAGCTTCTTTCTAGGGGAGTCTGGTAAGCAGCCATCATTTCACATCCCTTTACTTCTCAGAGGGAGAATGAGAGATTTGCCCTGCTGTCTTGACAGGCTCTTTCCTGAAACCAGCCATGGGAATAAGGTGGAAGGAGTGGGGTGGGGAATGGGAATTGGCAGGTCCTGGCAGGTCCTACTTGACTTCCAAACCAGTGGATGAAAGGCTTTACAGCTCAGATACCCAGAAGGACAGGTGGAGGTCTCTTTTAGGAAGAAGCATTTCCTGTGAAGCCAAAGCAGAAGCCTGGTTGAAATTGACTCAAACTTGCATCGGATTTTCCCATGAGTCTCATTGACAGCTGTCTAGAGAAGTGAGTCCTGCAGGCCAGGGCTTCTATAGCATGCTTTTCTGCTAAAACTTGGCACTGGCCTTTCATTCCCAGTGCTTTGTTCTAGAATCATGGCTGCTTTTCTTTTGCCACTAACTCAGCCACATTAACTTCCCATGCCCACACCCCCCGGGCAGACCTCATGAAGCTGTGGAGCCATCAGCAGTGGAACCATGCCAGTTCCCTTTCTTAGAACCTTACACCTGGCACTGCCAAAAAAGAACAATACAAAAGAACAACCACGCCCCAAACATTTCAAATTCTGTGGAATTTAAATCTTAAGCTTAAATTCCAACTATACTTTCAAATTACTTTGACATGAAGGAGGATTTGCAGTAATACAGTGTGCTTGTTGGACCATTTAAAACAAATATGTTTTCCTTTTGATATCCTAGAAAGCCAGCAGCTTGGAAATACTTCATTCTACCTTGATTGACTTTGTTGGTAAGAACAACGCACCATCATCAGAAAGTTCCTGGTTGTGTGTGGAGTTCTTCGGGCGGGGCTAGCTCTGATGAATAGTCATTTATCATGCCCCGGGCACCGGTGTCAGAGCTGGGACACAAAACTTGTCTCTACCTCTTATTAATCATATATGCCTGGGTACATTACTTAACCTACCCAAGCCTCAGTTTCTTCATCTGTACAATGGGGTTTAATATTAGAACCTACTTTATGGAGTGGTTGTGGGGATTTATAAATATTTATAAACATATGCACGGGGCTGCCTAATATTAAGGAATCATTAAATGTTTGTTGTTGTTACTATTTAGACAGGCCTGGTGTCTAGATTCCAAAGGTTTTTCTCCCATCCAAGAGAGAATGATTAGCCCTTGAAATGGCAATTCATGTTCTAGTTCTTTCTTATGTGAAGGTGGAAATGAACTATTTCCAGGTAGGCAGATCAGTGGTCTTCCTGTTGTTGGCAAGACTTACACCTCAATTTACCAGTCTGTAAATGGACCCGGCCAAGTCAATGACACGTGGATTTTGAGTGTCTAAACCAGTTGTCTCTCTATGCCTTTAGGCCTCACTGCCTCAGGTCCACTGGACTAGGAAGACTCCAAGTTTGGCGATGTGACTATCTGGCACCCCCACCCCTCCCACAGCAGGCACTGTTAGAATGAATTCTGTTGGAGGTGACTCCCCACTTCCTGGAATCAGCCAACAACTGCATTCACTTAATAAGAATGGCAGTTTCTGTCACCTCCAGGGTAGACAAAAAAAAGAAACAGAGAGAGAGAGAGAGAAGAAGGAAGGAAGGAAGAAAGGAAGGAAAGAAAGAAGGAAGGAAGGAAAGAAAGAAAGAGAGAGAGAGAGAAAGAAGGAAAGAAAGAAAGAAAGAAAGAAAGAAAGAAAGAAAGAAAGAAAGAAAGAAAGAAAGAAAGAAAGAGAGAGAGACAAAGAATGGCAGCAGTTGCTCCTCTTCTGCTAGGTAACTTGACCAGCCTTGGCAGCTTCTATGAGGGCAGCTCATTGTGGTACCCTGGGTGGGTGGAGACTGCAGAGGTGCCAGGGTTGAACCAGAATGTCCCAGCTGCCTCCTGAGTTCAGCAAACTTGGAGAAGGGAGGTCACTTCTCTGGTCTCAGTGAGGGTGCTGGAGTCACATGAGTCAACATGTAGAAGGGCCTATTAATAGCCAATGATCAGGGCCAGGGCCATGGCTAGGTGAGGCAGATAAGGTGTGCAGAATTTAAGGAGGCACTCATACTTGCTTCCTTAAGTGGCACTGCCCTGACAGTGAGTGCCTCCTTAAGGTTTGCCTCTTCAGTGCTTTGCCTGCCTTACGTAGTCCCCACCCAGCCAGCCAGGACTGTAGGCTTTAGACTCAGAGCCAAACTGCTGCTATAGTTGTCTGCTTAGCACCCTTCAATGGTGCCCCATCGCTGCTAGTAGTAGTTGTAATATGCTATCATTGATAATATCAACAATACTAACAGCCAATATTGATTGACTACCTGGCACCATTCTAAGCACTTTGTAGGTATTAACTCATTTAGGCCTTACAGGAATTTCATTATTATCCTGTTTGCAGATGAGGAAAGTGAGGCACCAAGAAGCTAAGGAATTTGCCCAAGGAAGCACATCTGGGTGAGTGGTAGTGCCGGGAATTGACCCTAGACAGTTTGATTCTAGAATCTGTACTCTTCACCACCACACCAAGCTGCTAAGGTGTGCTGGTCCCAGTGGGTGAAGCCCAAACTCCGTGGCCAACAACCAAGCCCTTTCCCACTTCTCCAGCCTCCTCTACCCACCCAAACAAAACTCTGGCCAAATCAAACTCCCCAGAGTGGCTCCAAGGAAGCCATGATTTTCATATCTTGGCATCTTTGCACCTGCTATTCCTTCCATCTGTCCTTCCTGACAGTCATCTCACAGTTCCTGGTTGGCACACTCATATCCATTCTTTTAGACCCATCTTAAGTCATACGCCTTCTGTGAAGCCCTCCTTGACCACCACCCCCAGATGGTTGATAGCAGACCCTCAATGTCTTCAGAGTACCTTGAAGTTCCCTGGTGTCCTAAAATTACTATTTGGGTCTAATGAACAGACAGGCAAATGTTCATTCAATGTGTGTGAATTCAACACTCGCTCCCTGCAGGGAATAAAGGTTGGGAGAAATCATTGCAATGGTGTGTGTGTCCCCTTGGGGTGGATATGAGGTAGGGTATAAACTTGCCAATCTGCTGGACATCCTGGGGCTCCCATGGTGTGCACATCCACAATTTAATGAAACGTATTTTGCAAACCTGGCCCCTAAAAGCATATCACGACTTATCTGATGCTCAGTCTGAAAAGCAGGGATCTGCTCCATGGATGGAGGAAACACCAGCTGCTGGACTTGTTGAGAATGGAATGTTGGTCTGCAATGTGACCTCTTCCTAAGAGAGGACAGGGCTATTTTGGCCATAAGTGGAACCTGACTCACATGCAAGCCGTGACTGAGCAGCCACAAACTTCTTGGTTTCTGAGTCTGCCTCCCTTGGCATCCTGGGCACTCCTCCAGGGCACCATGCATCTTAATATGTATCTCCTGGTGCCTAGGCTGAGCCCAGCCCTGGCTGGGAGCTGCTCAGTCCATCTTCCTTGGACAGAGAAGGTGAATGAGAGCCGAGTCCCACAGGCAACCACACCCAGAATTGAGGCAACTTGTTCCAATTCGTCTACAAATTTTAGACGGGTTGCCAGTTATTTTGCCAGTCTTTTAAACTGTATTTGACAGATCTGGGAGAAAAATGACTTCCGGTGTTTATCACCTGGAATTCCCTCCCCTACATTAGTTTCCCTTACTAGAATCGAGAATTGCAAAGAAATAGGATGGCAGGGAGAAGAAATAACAGGGATGTGTGATATGGTGATTAATGAATGGTGAATCATGAATGATGATTAAAACAAATGGAAATTCTTCCCCCAACCCTGCCTGCCCAGGAAGGAGCTGGTGAGGCAGATGCTCACAAAGGTGTCCTAATAAGGAGAGGTCAGGAGGCAGGAGAGCTGAAGAAAAGAGCTGTGTGTGACTCAGGAGCCCAAGCCTGTGCCTTGTAAGCTTTTCCAAATGCCCTAAGCCCAGGAGCCCATGCACTGCTCTAGTGAAAGCTTGGATGCCTTTCAGCCCATAAAGCCTCAAAGTCACACCAGAATCTGGAGCATTTCTAAGTTTCTCTGAACCTGGGTAATGATTTTCTGAAATATTAGACCAATGAAATACCAAATTCCTGGGGAGGCAAAAGAAAGAGATGTGATCCAAGCATTTGTGATCAAATGAGCTGACAAGTTACTCTACTTAAGCAGTGGGGATTTTACCACTGTTTTTATTGCAGCGAAATAAATGCCTCCAGAGTGGCAGAATTGGTGGGGGTCAGGAGAGAGTCCACATTTCAAGTATGTACAAGGTGTTGAATCATTATCTTCTTGCTCCTGTTCACCCCTTCTAGCTAACTTATTTATCAGTTAGGATGAGGGGGATCATTAAAAATGACAGCCATGTGAGTGATGTGTCCTTGGCTGTGACCCTAGAAAAGAGCCTATAATATAAGTCATCTCCTCCTGTTGGAAAGGTAGCTAAATTCAGCTTTGCCTATCATGTGTCTTTAGCTTAGTTGTTTCCTCTGAACTATGAGCTGGACACCAGGTGGGGGATTACTCAAGCCCAAATTCTCTGGTCTGGTATACCAAAGAATAGTTACAAACTACAGCTGGACAGTAGAACGTGCTGGGTTGATCATCTCAGCCAGGGCAAAGAAACATATTAAGACGTTAAACATCTACCAGGAGTGAGTCATTTAACCCTCGTAAGGTTTCATCTTCCTTGATTGCAAAATGAGTTTGTGTGAAAGACCATAAATAAAAAATAGAAACAACAGAAGTAGCATTAGTAATTCATGAAGGAAGGACTGGTATATTCAACGCTTAGAGTTGGAACAATGGGCTCTCCATATGGAAAAAAAAGTAAAAGCGAATCCCTACTTCTCACCATGGACCAAAAAAAAAAAAATCCCTACGTCTCAGCATAGACCAGTACAGATTCCCAGAGCCCTTGTTATACCTACTAGGGCTTAGAACTTTATCACAGACCATTTGTAGGCCCTTAGTCTAGGCTATTAATTCCCTAAGGGCAGGGACTCTGGCTGTTTTTATCATTAAGTCATTTGCACCAAGTGTGTCCCTAGAATAGATTATGAACCCAGAAAATGTTTGTCGAATGAATACATCATTTCCAAAATTCTTTAAAAAATGAATTTCTAGGCCAGGTGCAGTGGCTCACACCTGTAATCCCAGCACTTTGGGAGGCCGAGGTGGGCAAATCACTTGAGGCCAGGAGTTCAAGACCAGCCCAGCCAACATGGTGAAACCCCCTCTTTACTACAAAATACAAAAATTAGCCAGGCGTGGTGGCACACCTGTAGTCCCAGCTACTCGGGAGACTGAGGCACGAGAATCACTTGAGTCCCAAAGGCAGAGGTTGCCAAGATCACGCCATTGCACTCCGGCCTGGGCAACAGAGGGAAACTCTGTCTCAAAAAAAAATTTCTAAAAGAGATTATACATTTTTCTGGCTGGGCACAATGGCTCACGCCTGTAATCCCAGCACTTTGGGAGGCTGAGGTGGGTGGATCACCTGAGGTCAGGAGTTCAAGACCAGCTTGGCCAACATGGTGAAACCCCAGCTCTACTAAAAATACAAAAATTAGCTGAGCGTGGTGGCACATGCCTTTAGTCCCAGCTACTCGGGAGGCTGAGGCAGGAGAATAGCTTGAGCCCAGGAGGCGGAGGTTGCAGTGAGCCGAGGTTGCGCCACCGCACTCCAGCCTGGGCAACAGAGTGAGATTCCGTCTCAAAAAAAAAAAAAAAAATACAGATTATACATTTTTCTTTGACTGTCATTATAAAAGAATACCTTGCCATATACCCAGAATTATTTTGGGTACTAACCTGGCCAAACAACAGAGAAGAACTGAGTGGAGAGATTTTGGTGAGATCAGCTTTGGTCTTCTCTGAATCTAAGTTAAAGAGATTTAAAATATTACATATACCTAGGCTTCCCCCAAAATATTATTAAACCATATTTTAACTGTGGTAATGATTATTCTTTTATTAATTTATTACATGCCTACTTTGTGTGAAAACATGATCTTTTGAACACTTTTTCTTTTTATTAAGGTATAGCTTACATAAAATAAACATCATCAATTTTAAGTGTACAGTTTGATGAATTTTGGCATTTGTATACAAGGTGTAATCACTGCTATCGTCAAGATACAAAACAGTCCCCTCACCCTGCACGGTCTGCTTTGCCCCCTGGTACTCCATTCCCTCTCCCCATCTCTAGCCTTAGGCAATGCAGCTCTGCTTAGCGTCTAGCACTGATTTAAAATAATGATCATAGGGGCAGGAATTTTTAAATAAAGGATAAAAAAGCTGACAGAAGGGGAAATGGGAATAAGAAAGAAATTGGTAACATAGCTAGATGGGCTGTAGCCTCAGATTGGACTCAGCTTCACTTGCTGGTGAATTAGCCCAACTTGGAGAGACTGAGGGCTCCAAGAATTTTTTTTACAAATAACACAGTTAGACGTTTTCATGATTACAGAAAAAGAACACAAGAGTTGTAATATACAGCTCAGATATAAACCTGGCAACTGGGTTTCTGAACATAGATCTGGATTCATTTTTAATCTGACATCTTGAGGAACTCCTCAGCCTCAGAAGATTCTAAATGGCCACACTGCTTGAAGACCAAGCATTTGAGCAAATAAAACTTCTGCCCCTGAGAATATATTCTCTCTCAAGCTATTAATTAAAAGATGCATAGTCCCTTGTTCTTGCCAGGATTTATTAGCCGAAAGTAAAATATGGGAATGGTAGTATGTCTATGAGAAATTAAATGCGGTGAAGACAAGCACACAGGGACTAATAGTTTTATATGGAGTTGTTTTGGGGCTTAAAACGTTTTGTCTCCTCGTGGGGATCAGGCACTGCCTTGGTCGTGGGGCTACCACTAAAAAATACGGGCAAGTTCCTGCTGCCTCCTGTAGGAGCTCACGGACATCAAGCGCAGGGTTCAGGAGGACTGAAGTGGTGGGGGGAGGGGAGCACTTTAGGTGGGCTGGTCAGGGAAGGCCACTCTGAAAATGTGACCTTTGTGCTGAGACCGGAATGACAACAAGGAGCCAGCTTTTTCTAGAGAAAGCACTTTTGGTGTCAGGACCAGCATGTGCAAAGGCCCTGAGGTGGGAAAGAGGTTGGTGTGTTCAAGAAAGAAGGCAAGACTGGCCTGAACACAGTGACTAAGGTGGAGAGGGTTACACGCAGAAGCCAGAAAGACAAGAAGTTTTGCCCCAAAAATGGAAATCTAAGCACTCTTGCAGTCATAAAACTGGCCATGGCAGTGCCCTGGTGCCCAGAGAGATATGTCATTTCTGAGCAGTAGTTGGGAATTCTTCCAGTTACAAAGTCGCTTCCTACTTACTCAGGTAATAGTCATAGACTCAGAGCTGGCAGGGAGTGTAGAGTTATTCTAGCCCCACCCCTTCATTTTACAATGAAGGAACAGAGGCCCAAAGAGGGTAAAGTTCATACCTGAAAAACCATTCTAAGTGAGGTCAAAAGGCAAACGATAAACTGGGGAAAATATTTACAGTTCATATAAGGTTGGGAGATCAATTTCCATACTATGTAAGGAGCAGCTGGCCAGTGGGGTTGGAGCAGAGTGTAGAATGGAGAGAGAGGCACAAGAAAAGGGTGACAGAAATCCAAATGTGTGATCACATACAGCTGCTGAGCTGTGGGAATACAGCATGCTCACTCATGGCAGCTGGCAGAAGTACATCCAGTCTTGTGCAGGCTAGCAGTTATGGTAAAATTATAGCACATGGCTCGTCCAACACTGAAGAGGACTCAGATGTCATTCAGCAGGTGCATGGATAAATAAATCATGGCCTATTCTGTCAATGGAATAGTACTCAGCAATAAAAAGGAGGAAACTACTGACCCATGCAGCAGCGTGGGTGAATCTCACAAGCATGCTGAGCAGAAGCAGCCAGCTACAAAAGAGAAAGTACTATAGGCTTCCATTTGCATGAAGGTCCAGAGCAGGACAAACTCATTGACAGTTTTCTAGGACTTGGAGTGGAGGTTGACTGCAGAGGGGCACTGAGGGAACTTTTGAGGGTGAGGAAAATATTTGTATATCCTGATTGTGGTGGTCACATGAGTGTATACATTTGTCAAAACTCTCAAAATGAGTGAGTCCTTTTTAATGTGTGTAAATTACTGTCAATAAGGTTGATTTTTTAAAAATAAATTTTTACAAGGAGGGAAAAAAGAATAGATGGGAAACAAAAGCTTCTGATTAGATTGCTATTCATTCACTAACTGTTTATCAAGCACCATTTGTGTGCCAGCACGATAACAGATCCCGACCAGCTGTTTGTACCAGAACATGGTGCTACATGAACTGTGAGCCCCTAGGCTCCCTCCACAGGATTTACCTACAGACGATCTTCCCATCATCTGCTGTTCCCAGGCCATCAGCTGCCCGGAGACTCATAATCAGAATCCAAGATAGGGCAGGGGCAGTGTCAGCTAAGGAGAAAGTGGCTCTCCCTTCTTGGTCTAAGAGCACTTAATCAATCAAGCAAAGCAAATGGGAAGGAGATTGGGCTTGTTTGTGAACCAGAGCCCTACTCTGACATTTGTACAATTCTGTTTAATAACCAACCCCCACCTCACTTGCTTGATACTGTTTGCTCAGGTGTTTTTTCTAAACCCCAATCTGAGATAATAGCATTGTTTTGCTCTAACTTTCCAAATTCATTGATATAATATGATTATATCTAATTTCTGCAAATGTTTTTCTAGCCCCCACTACCATACGTACATACATATGTATGTATGTACGTACGTGTGTATGTGTGTATGTGCTGGGCATATAAAGCACCCAGGGCAAGGGACAGCAGCTCTTTGCAGATAAATGTGTCTCCCTATGATGGATGGTTTCTGTGTGTAGACTTTGTTCTACTGTCATGTTGAGAAAAGGTGTGGTGGTTACTCTGGTTGTTATTTAATACTGCTCAGATGGGATATCTAACAGCATACTGCTCAAGACATCTAGAATGTGGTATAGTGTTTTCAATTTGTAGAAAAATTAATAATCCAAACAAGAAACACATGTCAGTGACCAGCTGGCAGCATCCTGGTTCTTTTTCATTGCTAAGGTCGGAACTGTCATTTTGCACCACCCTTCTTCTCAGAAAAGGAGGGAAGGAACAAAGTTGTCATAGAGGACATCCTCTCTGAACCAGATTGGGGTCGGGGACCACAGCAGTTTGCAGACCTAAATCATCCTGCTTACTTCATTTTCCTTCCTTCCTTCAGAAGCTTTTGAGATTGCTCTGCCACGAGAAAGCAACATTACAGTTCTCATAAAGCTGGGGACCCCGACTCTGCTGGCAAAACCCTGTTACATCGTCATTTCTAAAAGACATATAACCATGTTGTCCATCAAGTCTGGAGAAAGAATAGTCTTTACCTTTAGCTGCCAGAGTCCTGAGAATCACTTTGTCATAGAGATCCAGAAAAATATTGGTAAGTAGACACTTGTGAGCTGTTTGACAATGTCTTTTAAATGTCTCTACACCTCCCTGACTGTCTTTCCCATGCTAAGTCAGTCTCTAATGCTAGAGAGCTAAGATCTATTCTGAAACTCTACAGTTTTTTAATTTAGCTCTGATGTGGCCAGTTAGAGTTCTAAATGCGTTACACAGCTTAATTTGTTTAATCTTTAAAACAGCCCTATGAGAAGTTCACAGAGAGAGGAACTTGCCTAAGTGGGCACAACTAGTAAGCAGAAGATCAGGAGAAGAACCCAGGTACTGTGGCTTTCAAGTCTTTGCACTTAGCCACTGTGCACATAGGCTCTTCAGGCAGCACTACAGAAGCCCACAAGCTACAGATCTTCAGGTCTGTGATGCTCATCCTGTGTGCTAAAAATATCTGGCTGATACGGAAGACAAAAGAATCAGAAGGTTGAGGAGAGGCCGGGCGTGGTGGTTCACACCTGTAATCCCAGCACTGAGGAGGCTGAGGTAGGCGGATCCCCTGAGGTCAGGAGTTCAAGATCAACCTGGCCAACACAGTGAAACCCTGTCTCTACTAAAAATACAAAAATTAGCTGGGCATCAAGACCAGCCTGGCCAACATGGTGAAACCCTGTCTCTACTAAAAACACAAAAATTAGCCAGGGGTGGTGGCAGGTGCCTGTAATCCCAGCTATTTGGGAGGCTAAGGCAGGAAAATCACTTGAACTCAGGAGGCACAAGTTGCAGTGAACCCAGAACACACCACTGCACTCCAGCCTGGGTGACAGAGCGAGACTACGTCTCAAAAAAAAAAAAAAAAAGAAGTTGAGGAGATAAAGATAGAGCAATTGATCCATAAGACACAGTGGAAGAGACGGCTGCTTTGGAGAATGATGGAGTTGGGTTTGGCTTCAAGCTCCAGGGCTACTACTCATGTGACGTGATCACATGACTTTAAGCAAATTATTCAACTGCGTAATGCCTTAGTTTTCTAGTCTATAAAATAAGGATTATTGTACCAAACAAGAGAGTTGTGAGGATAAAATAAAATAATGGATTGAAAAATGGATGACACATAATACTTAAATAAACTATAGATATTTGGTTTTATTATTCATAATTTGAGCTTGGGATAGAAGATTGACATAGGAAATAATAATAATTAGGTAGGGAAACATGCATTTATAATTTCTCAATCATTTTAAGGGGGCCATGTCAAATAGGATGAATAGATGTATTAACAAGAATAAGAGCACTATTTGTCATCCAATCAAAGCCATACCTTAGGAAGAAGGAATTCAAAAGTAAAAGGAGAAATTGAAGTATTAGAAATCAATTTTAAAAACTACACTTAATGACTAATACCAAGACCTAGTTCTCTGCAGACTAATTAAATAGACAAATCCCTGACTAGTCTCATGGAAAAAAGAAAGAAAATACAAATATACAGCATTAAAGGTATAAAAATGGACTTAACAATATATACAGAGACTATTTCTAAAATTGTAAGAGACTGTGTATAACGTTTTCATCATAAATGTGAAAATCCAAAGGAAGTGGATGATTTTCAAAGAAAATTTAATGGGCTGGATTGACTCATGGAAAGGTAGGAAAACTGAATAAATAAATAACCAAGGAGGGGATTGGAAAAAATGCCCGAGACAGGGGAGAACAGTTTGGGTTAGTTAGAGATGATTTTACAAGTGAGTTCTATAAAACTTCAAGGAGCAGATAATTTCTATGACATTCAAACCATTCTAGAGACAGGTTGGCAAACTTCTTTCAGATAAGGTCCGATAGTAGGTGTCTTAGGCCCGTGAGCCAGGAGGTTTGTATCATGTCACAGCTCCTCAACTCTGCTATTACAGAGTGAAATCTGCTGTAGACGATATACATAAACCACCTGGCAAATCAGTTAATGTGATGCTTTGCATTATTAGGTTAGAGAGGAAAAAACTACATATGATTATCTCAATAGATGATTTTAAATGTCTTTTTTTTTTTAACGGAACACTATGGCTCCTCAACTCTTCTATTACAGAGTGAAATCTGCCATAGATGATACATAAACCACCTGGCTAATCAGTTAATGTGATGCTTTGCATTATTAGGTTAGAGAGAAAAAACTGTATATGATCATCTCAATAGATGACTTTAGATGTCTTTTTTTTTTTTTTTTAACAGAACAGTATGAACATAGATTTTAAATGTCTTTCATAAAACACTCTTAGTAAATCAGGAATGGAAGGTTATTTTCTTAATTCAATAAAGAGCATCTATCAAGAACTGATAGCAAATACCATATTTAACTATCAGATATGGCAGCATTACCAATAAAACAGGCAATAACATAAGGAGGCTTATTATGCATGCCCTTGGTCACCATTATTCAGAATCTCTAATTAAATATATAGAGATTATCTTAATAAGTACATAAAGTATACGAAGCAAAATATAAAATTCTGTTGAAAGACAAAAGAGAAGACTTAAATAAATGGAAAGATATGCCATGTTCCTTGATAGGAAAAATAAATATTTTTACAAACAATTAGCCAGGCGTGGTGGCATGTGCCTGTAGTCCCAGCTACTCGGGAGGCTGAGGTGGGAGAATCACTCAAACCCAGGAGGCAGAGGTTGCAGTGAGCCGAGATTGTGCCATTGCACTCTAGCCTGGATGACAGAGTGAGAATTTGTCTTAAAAAAATTTAAAAAAAAAAGAAATACTAAGTATTTTTAAAGTGTAAATTCTCCCCTATATTAATTTATCAATTTAAGTCAATTATAATTAAAATTTTAATGAAGCTTTTACAGAGTTAAAGAGAACGTTGATATATTTAAGAACGCAGTGGAATGGTGTGTTGCTACTAAGAGAATGAAGTAAGTTTGTGTATTTGACATAGAAAGATGCCCAAAATAGTTTTGTTCCATTAAAAACAATGCAGCTTATAGTAGGACAATAGTTTATATAGTTTGATGCTACTCTATTAAATACACACATGTGCACATGCACACTTACATACATGCACACAAACATGCACACACAATCATACAGAACCCAAAGTCTGGAGGGATAAACTCCAAAACTCCAAAATTCTAACTTTATACTACTCTATAGGGGATGGCAGAGGGGAACAGGTGACATTTTCTTCTTTCTACTTTTCTGTACTTCCCCGCCCCACCCCACCCCACCCCCACCTTTTTTTTTTCTGTCACCCAGGCTGGAGTGCAGTGGTGACCACAGCTCACTGTAGCCTCAAACCTCCTGGGCTCAGGTGATCCTCCCACCTCAGCCTCTGGGGTAGCTGGGCACACACCACCACACCCACTTGTCTTTTTGTTTGTTTTTAAAACGACTGTACATTACTTTTATAATCAGTTAAACCAATAAAGTGACTTCCACTTTGAAAAAGGAAAAATGTAACAAGTGACACATTTCACAAGTCAAGCCTTTGAATGCATTCAGTCTCTCAATCCTAGGATGCCCACATGGCTTACTATGTAGTAAAAACCCATGCTCACAACTTTTGAAAATGATATGAAAATATCAATTTCTAAAATAATAAATCTAGACACTGAATCAGGTCCAGTGGTCCACCTGCCCTTCATTGCCTTTTCTGAACAATCATTCTGAAATCAGCATCAGATAAAATTTGATGTCTCCATTCTCATCTCTTCTTGAATAGTTCCATGAGAACTAATGAAAGTTGGCTGAGCATGGTGGCTCATGCCTGTAATCCCAGCACTCTGGGAGGCTGAGGCAGATGGATCACCTGAGGTCAGGAGTTCAAGACCAGCCTGGTCAACATAGTGAAACCCCTACTAAAAATACAAAAGAAATTACCCAGGCATGGCAGCACACACCTATAGTCCCAGCTACTTGGGAGGCTGAGGCAGAAGGATCACCTGAACCTGGGAGACAGGTTGCAGTGAGCCAAGATGGTGCCACTGCATTCCAGCTTGGGTGACAGAGCAAGACTGCATCTCCAAAAAGAAAAAAAAAAAAAAGAGAGTTAATGAAATTAGAAATCTGCTGGGGAAAATGAGTTTATGAATCACTTCAGAAATAATACTTCTCCATCCTCTGGACAGGAATCATTTTAGTTATTTAAAATGTTTTCACTGGACAGAGTACAGGAGAAGATTCCGAGGCATGCCAATCATTTTGACTACTCTTACCTGTGTGTTCATCCTAAAAAACAAAGCTCTTAGCATCAAATGAAAAATTGCTTTCATAACCTGACTCTCACAGTGTCACATGGCTGCTGACAGAGCTGAGGCTGGGAGATGGGGCTTTTTGACTCCAGATTTTACTATAGAATTAAATCAGAATCCCTGGGATGGTCCAGGCATGTGTAGTTTTTAAACGGCCTGCAGGTGAGTTGTAGGTAGAACCAGAGCTAAGAGTCACTGCCTTACTAGAGTTAAATGTTTCCACAAGAGTACAGAACCTAGCCAGAGCCAACTGATGTTGCCCTGGGCACACTGGAGGTGTGCGTGGAAAATCACTTGAGGTCTGCTTTTGAAAGAAAGAGGTGGCTTGATATAAACATTGAAGTTTCCATGAGCTCCTAAAATAGGAACTACCTTTACTAACACGCAAAGTCTAATTTTAGTCACGTTAGTCACCATGTTATCTAACCCTGTGTTATTGGTTAGACAGCATAGCGCATTGGCAAGAAAGGGCTGACCAAACACAGCCTGAGCTTTCGTCCTGGGATCTGGAATTGCCGTGTACTTGCTGCAAGTGCCAGCCCAAGTCACCTGGATCCACAGCTGCTTTGCAAAAATTAGAGGTCTGGCTTGGATGACCTCAGAGATCCAAGACTGATCTGAAATTCTCCATAATTCTATTTTGAGTGGACAATACTTTCAAATACCCCAATAGAACAGCAGTAAAGATTCACAAATTATTATTATGGAGGCCAGAGTCTATCACACCTTTCAGATGCCCCCTGCTCAAAACAACAAAACCTTAATGTTACATTGCCTACTTTCTGTTTCGTCCCCTCACTTTCCTCTTGTTTTCTCTTTGATAATATTTCTTGCTTTGTTTTAAAAGGCTTAGGAAACAAATATATCAAAGGATGTTATTAGCTGTTAGCCTTAAAAAAAGAAATTCAACTGCAGTGGTTATAAAATATCAGCATTAAGGCAGTGCAAGAAGAGAAATGGCGCCGCCAGATTCCAGCTGTCCAGGGGAGTTGCACGTTCAGAGTATATTTGCTATGTTGATGAATGTGTTGATGGGGAAACCAGTTTTAAAGGATGGATCTTGGCACTGTGCTCTACAAATTGTGAAATCGTGACTCTCTTAGTACAGGAGAAGTAGGAGATCCCAAAGCACAGACTCTGCTACAAATGCCTTCCTTCTGGCTTCACCCACTGGACCCCAGGAACTTAATCTGGAAATCACAGTAGTTAAGAGATGTCTCAAGTCTGGTGACCTGGAAGCAGAGCCTGAGACAGGATTTTTTGTTTAAGTCAGTGATCAAGAAAGTGCTCTCAGAAGTGAGGAAAGCAGGATAGAGCAGGGCACGTAGCTGAATGCAGATGCGGTTTTAGCTGAAGAGTAGCTTCAGCCTGACCCCATGGGGAGCTCTGGAGTATGAATGGCATACCCAGGTTACATCACTTGAAGCAAGGAGGTCAGACTTTTTAATTCCTGCAGGAGGCCATTATTGGCTGTAGACAGCACCTCTCCCTTGGGATGGGCATGAGGGGCTGCAACACCTCTCAGGCTTTTCTGGTTCAAGGCAGCTCCCCCGAGCTGAGGCACTTCCCCGAAGGAGGGTACATCTGTGAGCCATTGGCCACTAAGACTCACAGCAGTTGGGGCCTGGGTGCCCCTGCCTGGTAAAGGCCACCTTGGGGGAGCCCCAAAGAGTCTACTACAGGGGGCTGAGTGGTGGAGGAGGAGTGGTGTGGGGCCTTGGAGCATCTGTGATCAAAATTGCTTCTGTGACTGTTTTTCAGACTGTATGTCAGGCCCATGTCCTTTTGGGGAGGTTCAGCTTCAGCCCTCGACATCGTTGTTGCCTACCCTCAACAGAACTTTCATCTGGGATGTCAAAGCTCATAAGAGCATCGGTTTAGAGCTGCAGTTTTCCATCCCTCGCCTGAGGCAGATCGGTCCGGGTGAGAGCTGCCCAGACGGAGTCACTCACTCCATCAGCGGCCGAATCGATGCCACCGTGGTCAGGATCGGAACCTTCTGCAGCAATGGCACTGTGTCCCGGATCAAGATGCAAGAAGGAGTGAAAATGGCCTTACACCTCCCATGGTTCCACCCCAGAAATGTCTCCGGCTTCAGCATTGCAAACCGCTCATCTATAAAACGTGAGAAAGCCCCTCCCTGCTATCTGATTAGGTTAAAACACACAAGATCATCATTGTTCTAGGTCAGAAATGGTCAAATGTCAGCAAATCTCTAATACTCAATATAAAAACCATAAAGGAAGATCTAGCTCTCTTATAAGTGACATGGGTCATGCATTCCTAGTGTGAACCCCCTCTTCTCTATTAAACAAACGGGGTGATTCTCTTTGTCCTTTTTGCATGTGATACTTGTTTTCAAAAAAATGACAAGGGATTGGTTCTACAGACCCACCTTGATTGCTTCATTTCTAACTTCTTTGTCTTCCATCTCTTTCACATTTTCTGTAAACGTATCAGTGATGTGCAGAGCTCACTCACACTGGCTCATAAAAGCTGTTTTTTGTTTTTATTTTTGTTTTTGTTTGTTTTGAGAAAGAGTCTCAGTCTGTGGCCCAGGCTGGAGTGCAGTGGCACTGTCTTGGCTCACTGCAACCTCTACCTCCAGGTTCAAGCGATTCTTCTGCCTCAGCCTCCCAAGTAGCTGGGACTATAGTCGTGCGCCACCACACCCAGCTAACTTTTGTATTTTTAGTAGATACGGGGTTTCACCATGTTGGCCAGGCTGGTCTCGAACTCCTGACCTGAGGTAATCCTCCTGCCTTGGCCTCCCAAAGTGCTGGGATTACAGGCATGAGCCACTGCACCTGGCAGAGAGCTGACTGTTAAGTGTTCAGGCATTTTGTGAGCTGATGTGAAACAGATCCGTTATAAAAAAATAGAATTAAATTAACATAATTAAATAAATTATTTTTAAAACAAAGGTAATAAATACTCAAAACTCATCACTTCCTAATTATTTTACTGTTGCCTGTGCTTTCAGGGTTATTTGTGTTGTCGTATCTGTATGGAGGGAATAATATAAAGGTGTGCTACTGCCCAACTCCACATTCAGTCACCTGGTGTTGGTAGCTTGAAATCAACCGTGGTGGGATTATTTACATCCACTATGGAAGTGGGCAGACGCTATAAGTCAGGGCTCTCCCCTCTACCACTGGACCGGTTTTTAATATTTACTCGCACACCACTGATGTGTCTGCATTCCCAATCTCTGCCTTGAGTCCAAATATACAGTATCTAGACCCACTGCTCAGGATCTGAGAACTGCAGTCATTTTTCCTACACCCCCACCCCTCGGCTGCAGACAACCAGGACAGGGTCTAATGGCTCCCTATTCTTTCTGGTTTGGGTTCCACTCCCACTAGGTCTGTGCATCATCGAGTCTGTGTTTGAGGGTGAAGGCTCAGCAACCCTGATGTCTGCCAACTACCCAGAAGGCTTCCCTGAGGATGAGCTCATGACGTGGCAGTTTGTCGTTCCTGCACACCTGCGGGCCAGCGTCTCCTTCCTCAACTTCAACCTCTCCAACTGTGAGAGGAAGGAGGAGCGGGTTGAATACTACATCCCGGGCTCCACCACCAACCCCGAGGTGTTCAAGCTGGAGGACAAGCAGCCTGGGAACATGGCGGGGAACTTCAACCTCTCTCTGCAAGGCTGTGACCAAGATGCCCAAAGTCCAGGGATCCTCCGGCTGCAGTTCCAAGTTTTGGTCCAACATCCACAAAATGAAAGCAGTGAGTGAGCCCCACTTTCCTTTTTCTTCCTCCTCCAGCACCTTCGTTGTTTCCTGGGTAGTCTGCCTGGGTGAGGCTCCCTTCCTGTTTCTCATCTGTGGCTTCTGAAACACTTAGACTCTGGACCCAGCAAGAGTTTCAGGAAGTGGGTTGCTAGGCAGTTAGACAGGCTTGTTGGTGAACACCCGGTATGTAGTTCCATTTCAGCACAATAAAAAGAAATCTTGCATTCAAGATGCTAAATTGTTTTTAACGAAGGCATTGAAAGGTCATTTTTCTAGATCTTATGTCTTGACCCTGCAATGTGAATGAGGATGTCACCCGCACCATCAGCGATGATGATGGGAACTTACAGTTTTATGGCTCAGCACCCCTACTATGGACACATACTCTGCATGTCATCTTGTGTTAGGCACGCCACTTACACAATCTCAGCTAATCTTTATTGCAACCCTGTAGGGGAGGTGGGAATTATCTTTATTTACTAATGAGAAACCAGAAGGTTCAGAGAGGTTATGGAACTGGCCTGACATCACACAGCTTGTTAAGAGCAGAGCAAGCTCAGAACCCTGAGCCTGTGCTCTGGCCCACACTGAAGCCCAGTTAGGATGATGAGAATTAGGTTGGACATCATTCCACAAAAGTTGCTGAGATGCCATGAACATAGAAAAGCGGAGTTAAGGCCAGGACTAGGGTAAGGCAAAGTGCCCAGGGTGCAATATATAAGGAGGTACCCACTCTCAGGGTCATGTACCTGCAAGGTCAGCCCCTGAGAGTGAGCACCTCCTTAAACTTTGCTCCCTAGGTGCCTGGCTTGCCTCACCCCAGTCTTGGCCCTGAGGGGTGTCGTGCAGATTTTGAGATAAAAGATACAAAATTAACTCAGACTGGCTCTTCCTGGGCCTCATGCATGATGTGAAGGAGTGAGTTGTGGCAAGTGGTCTCCAACCAGGACATTTCTGATGTGTGTTGCTAAGGATGGACGCTGTTCAGAGGGCTGATTCTCATTCTTGTTTTTACTATTATTTACTTCTAGGAAGTAGGCAGAGCCAGGCAGAAAAATTAAGTGGGAGTGTGGAATGGCGTGCTGCTGTTTTTTGTAGGGCTGATAAGCATCTGAAAAGTGGCAGTGTGGGATCCACTAGAGGGATTGCCCAACTGGTGCTGCCCTGGAAACGTCCATATGTATGTATGTATAATGTGTGTATAGATATATATACAAGGGGCCGGGCACGGTGGCTCATGCCTGTAATCCCAGCACTTTGGGAGACCAAGGCAGGCAAATCACTTGAGGTCAGGAGTTCGAGACCAGCCTGGCCTACGTGGCAAAACCCCGTCCTACAAAAAAGTCAAAAATTAGCCAGGCATGATGGCGCGCACCTGTAATCCCAACTACTTGGGAGGCTGAGACATGGAAATTGCTTGAACCCAGAAGGCAGAGGTTGCAGTGAACCGAGATTGGGCCACTGCACTCCAGCCTGGGTGACAGAGTGAGACTCCATCTCAAAAAAAAAAAAAATATATATATATATATATGTATACATGCATATATATATATATGTATACATGCATATATATATATATGTATACATGCATATATATATATACATGCATATATATGTATACATGCATATATATATATACATGCATATATATGTATACATGCATATATATATATACATGCATATATATGTATACATGCATATATATATATACATGCATATATATGTATACATGCATATATATATGTATACATGCATATATATATGTATACATGCACATATATATATAGTGTGTGTGTGTGTGTATCCATTGAGACATTTTTATGATTCCACTGTCACAACTGTACAATCAGAATGTTGAAAACAGCCACAAAAGGATTTAGAAATGGAGTGGGCTTGGGGTTTAGAAGACAGGGGGATTTGTTTATCACCTCAGTCATGGTGGAATGCTGCTTAGAAGCTCTGATTAATTCTGCTAACTGTAACATCAGCTGGGTTGATTTCTAAAACTAATCAAATTGTTAAACGTGCTATAAACAGCATCAAGAAGGACATGGATTTAGTGCTGAGATTAAAGGGCAATAACTGCCGTTGAGAGGTGTTTAGCAGTGTCAAGCCCTCTAACTTTGCACTGTTTCTAGCGGAGTGAGTGGACTTGGCGGCAGAAATATCTTTGGGGATAAATTTAGGTTGGGCTGGACTGCCTGAGAACTCTGATCTCTGGGCAGCTTCATCTTGATCCTCTGAACCTCTATGTGGACCCTAAATTTCAAGGGCTAGCCCAAGGAAGCCAGTCCTGTGCCCCTACCTGTTTGTCTGACCCATTCTTTTTTTTTCTTTTTTTTTTAGGCAGAGTCTTGCTCTGTCACCCAGGCTGGAGTGCAGTGGCGTGATCTCGGCTCTCAGCTCACTGTAACCTCCACCTCCCAGGTTCAAGCGATTCTCCTGCCTCAGCTTCTTGAGTAGCTGGGATTACAGGCGCCTGCCACCACACCCAACTAATTTTTTGTATTTTTAGTAGAGATTGGGTTTCACTATGTTGGCCAGCCTGGTCTTGAACTCCTGGCCTCAAGTGATCCACCCGCCTCGGCCACCCAAAGTGCTGGGATTACAGGTGTGAGCCACCACTCCCAGCCCTCATTCTTTATTCTCTCTCATTTGCTAAGTGTTTGTAGGCAGCTTGTATTGCTGGCAGCATAGCCCCATTAAGGATAATGACCTGGAGTTGGCCTGCATGGATTTGAATCTGGTTCCCCCACTTACTTTGACCATGGGCAAGTCACTTCACCTCTTTGTGACCCAGTTGCTCATCTGTAAAGTGGAAGTGGTAAGACTGTCCTCATCGGGGTGTTGTGAGGACAGTGTGAGGTAGCACAGTGCCTGGCAGGTAGTGAGCGCTCTTTAAATGTTTCCTGCAGGGTTCTAGGTCAAGGCAGGCATGCAGGGTTAGAAAAGACACAACACGGGCCGGGCGCGGTGGCTCATGACTGTAATCCCAGCACTTTCAGAGGCCGAGGTGGGAAGATTATAAGGTCAGGAGTTTGAGACCAGCCTGGCCAATATGGTGAAACCCCATCTCTACTAAAAATACAAAAAATTAGCCGGGCGTGGTGGCAGGCACCTGTAGTCCCAGCTACTCAGGAGGCTGAGGCAGGAGAATCGCTTGAACCCGGGAGGTGGAGGTTGTGGTGAGCCAATATTGTGCCACTGCACTCCAGCCTGGGCAACACAGCAAGACTCCATCTCAAAAAAAAAAAGAAAGAAAGGAAAGAAAGACACAACACTTGTTCAAACAAAGAGATTAGACTGTGGCTCCAGAAATGATTGGTAGGATGCAGCAAGTCACTCATGGAAGGAATTCCAATGGCATGTGGTGAGGTTGGAGGCAGGAGAGTGGACCGCAGCTGGTAGGAATACTAAGGGGAGACTCTGGGCAGAGTCTGGCCCTTCTCAGGCTGTGCAGGAGGCCCCATCTGTGCCAATGGTGTGTGCCGCTCATGATCACTGGAAGAGCTCTATGTGCTGCTCCTGCTTTCTTAGCCTTGGAGGTGAGAAAGAAGCTGAGAGAGGGGCCTCAAGGTGACTGAGTTTTGGGTCAGAGCCTCTGCCCTTGCTTCTCCTGTGAGTGCTAGAGGAAAATCTCCTGGGGCTAGTTTCCCCCTCGACCCCTTCACTGCTGCACCTCTCTGAGTCCAACCCAGGCTTTGCCCTAACTTGACCTTCCTTTGTCCCCAGAAGCAGGGGAACAACTACCCAGACCAAAGCCACTACCCCAGGAGTGCACTTGTGGGTGGTTTGCATTCTTCACACAACATGGATTTATCTGTCTCCACGTCTGCATCTTACTAAACTCCTCCCAGTCAGGAATCTTGTCTTATTGCTCTTTCTATTCCCACCACAGCTTCCGACACATTCCAGGCCCTCCATAAATCCGTGTTGCACCAATCTCAGGAGTCAGCATCTTTTCCAAAGTGGCTCAAGAGCCAGTTGCACCATAAGAACCCACAGCCCATCTGAAGGGGCAAGGCAGATACAGTGAAGTGGGGCACCCATGAGAGCAGCTGCTTGGTGGTGGGGCAGACAAGGAGAAGGGCATCAGAAATAAGAGCAAAGGCAGAGCCTGGAGACCTTCTCAAACCAAAGTGCAACCATAGAAAGCCAGAGCCTCAGCAGGGGTGGAGAAAGCTGTGAGAGGCACCAGCCAGCCCAAACCCCTCATTATCTACAGCAGGACCTGAGCACAGTGGGCCCAGGCTACAAAAAAACAGACAGGTGTTACCTTGAACCTAATTGTCCAAAAAACAAGATAAAAATATCTACCATCAGTCCTCTCTACTTTGCTGAGAAACATCAGGTAGGTTCAAACTAGACCCAGAGAACTCCTGTAGGGAGTATTTTTCCATGGCTTGACCACAAACATCCTGTGTTTTGAGTCATGTACAATTACCCAGGAACTGAGGAATAACTGATGTGGCCATCCGTGACCACATCTGTAAGCAGTGATAGCTTCAGCTGCCCACAGTGTGCAAACCACGGGTGTCTGAGAGCTCAGTTCATGTTCACCTCTACCACACAAATCTTGTTTTTAAGTGCTCCACAATGCACCCTCTCCTTTCTTTTTTGATATCACAAGATTACCATGTCATGCCTGATGTTATTACCACTTTCACCAGGCAGCCTGTTTCTCTCTTTGTATAATTTCTAAAGGTTCAAGTGGCCCTGCTGATAATGATTATGTGAGTTAATGGTACAGTATTCTACCCATCTATATTATATTCTACCCATCTATATATCTACCCATCTATAAGGCTTTAGGGAGAGCCTTCTAGCCTACTAGCCTACTGCTTTATGCATCCTCTTCTAGCTTTTGGAAAATCTGTTTGCTTTCCTGAAAATACCAAACAAACTATTATCTTCAAAACCCATGGGCTTCTGGGTGATCATGAGTCACATACGACAAGCAGATGTGCATTTCCAGTGTGTTACACAGGACGCTTTGTTAACCACTCTGGGTGAATGCTGGTTGTGGAAGCAGATACATTGCTCCTTTTTTGGCTTTTACAACCTCCAGAAGCCACCTGGAACCTTAAATAATTATTGGATTTGTTTTTGCTTCTTGTTTTTTGTTTTTGTTGGGTAACTTGTGTTCCATGAGTCTTAAATTTGTCCTGCTGAGCTGATAGGTATTATGGCCTTTGACTTACTCCCATTGAGTCCATTTCCAAAAAAAATTGTCTATCTATAGATACCACAAAAATGATTAGGGGCCTTTATGAAACATCAGTCAGTAACCCAATCCCTTCAAAGGTCCCCAGTGTGGCTTTTACAACAGTGTCAATAACTATTAAATAGTGAAGGGTTTTCTTTTGGTGGCAGGTGGGGGTTAAACATCAGGCTCAAATGTTTTGTTTGTTTGTTTTTTGAGACAGAGTTTTGCTCTTGTTGCCCAGGCTGGAGTGCAATGGCACGATCTTGGCTCACCGCAACCTCCGCCTCCTGGGTTCAAGCGATTCTCCTGTCTCAGCTTCTCAAGTAGCTGGGATTACAAGCCCACCATGCCCAGCTAATTTTGTATTTTCAGTAGAGACAGGGTTTCTCCATGTTGGTCAGACTGGTCTCAAACAATCGACCTCAGGTGATCTGCCCACCTCAGCCTCCCAAAGTGCCAGGATTACAGGCGTGAGCCACCACACCCAGCCTCAAATGTTTTTTATATGAAGGCATCTGCAATGTTGTAGAAAAACTATGGGATTCTTTCAAGGCAGGAAACTGTGTCCAGATCACAGATCTGCCCCTTTATTAGGGAACATTGAGCGGTTAATTTGCAACCTTCTCAGCTGTAAAATAACAATAGTCATTCCTCCTTCCCCCCATGTTGTGAGGGTGAGATAAGGCAACTTGTCAAAGCACACAGACCTCACTGAGTAAAGATCTGTCTTGTCTTTCCATAGATTTATGAATGTTAATAGGTAATTTTACATTTAAAACACCCATCTGTGAGAGATAAGGGCTGCACATTTCCACCCTGTTTTGCCTGCTGAAGCCACATATGAAAACATTCTGTAGGCAGCAGGGAAATTAACTGTGTCTACCCCTCAGGTTCCTCAGGTTATTTTGAGATCCAACCAAAAGAAGTGTGGAAAGAAATGTGTAAAATGACTAATGAATGAGGTGCAAATGCAAAATAGAAAGTGGAATGAAGTGTGATATTACAGAGAGCCTCCTCATAACGGGCAGTCTGTCTTGCCCCCAGAATCAATAAACTGGGCTTCTGTTTTAGCTGGGACATGAGGTATCTCACCACAGTCCACCTGATTATTATACAGTAATTTTCAAAAGAAATATAAACTGTAAAACCACAATAGTGTTTCACACCCACTAGAATAGCTAAAACAAGAAAGGCTGAGAACATCAAATGATGGTGAGAATGGACGGCAACAGAACTCTTATGGAGTGCTCCTGGGAGTGTCAAATGGTGTGACCACCTGGGAGAATTGTCTGGCAGATTCTTATGAAGTTAAACTTACACCTACTCTCATAGTCCATTTAGTGTTGCCATAACAGAATACCTGAGACTAGGTAATTTATAAAGAAAAGAGATTTATTTGGCTCACGATTCTGGTGACTGGAAAGTCCAAGAAGCATGGCACCAGCATCTGCTCAGCTTCTGGTGAGAGCCTCTTGCTGTGCCATAATATAGCAGAGGAGTGGCAAGGGAAACGGGCATGTGTGAAAAAGATGAAAACATGAGAGGCAGCCTAGCTTTATAACAGCCCACTCTTGTGAAAACTGATCCACTCCCATGGAACTAACCCAGTCTTGTGAGAAAGAGATTAATCTGTTTTAACAACCTAATCACCTCTTAAAGGCACCACCTCCCAACATTGCCCCACTGGGGACCGACCACACCTCAATATGAATTTGGGTGGGGACAAGCTATATTCAAAGCATAGTGCTTACCTATGAGACCTAGGTATTTACTCAAGAGAAAGGAAACTATGTGTCTACTCAAACACTTGTACAAGGATATTCATAGCAGTCTTATCCATAAAAGTCAAAAACTGAAAACAATCTAAATCACCAACAGAGGAATGGATAAACAAATGTGATATGCTCGCTCATGGAGTACTACTCAGGAATAATAAGGGAAAGAACGACTGATACCCACAGCAACATGGATGAGCCCTAAAAACATCATTCTGCAGAGAGAAAAAAAGCCAGAGACAAAAGAGTATGTACCGTACAATTCCATTTCTATGAAGTTCCAGGGCAGCCAGAATCTGCAGTGATAGAAATCAGAAAATCGTTGCCTTTTAGGGGATGGGAAGTTGGGGGAAACTGACTGGAAAAGAGCACAAAGGAAACTCTGGGATGATAAGAATGTTCTAGATCTTTCTTTGGGTGATTGATACAATGGATATAACAAAATTGTACAGACTCATCACACTGAACACTTAAGATCTGTGTATTTTATTATGTGTAAATTATTTGTCAAAAAAAAAAAATCAAGACCAAGTATGGTGGCTCACGCCTGTAATCCCAACGCTTTGGGAGGCCGAGGCAGGCATATTTGGTTGAGCCCAAAGGAGTCTGAGACCAGCCTGGGCAACATGGCAAAACCCTGTCTCTACAAAAAATAGCTGGGTGTGGTGGCATGTGCTACTAGGGAGTGGTCCCAGCTACTAGGGAGGCTGAGGTGGGAGAATCGCTTGAGGCCAGGAGGCGGCGGCTGCAGTGAGCCATAAACTCCAGCCTGGGTGACAGAGTTGACAGAGTGAAACTGTCTCAAAACAATAATAATTTTTCTTTTTCTTTTTTTTTTTTTTTTAGTAGAAACAGGGTTTCACCATACTGGCCAGGTTGGTCTCGAACTCCTAACCTCAAGTGATCTGCCCAGCTCAGCCTCCCAAAGTGCTGGGATTACAGGCATGAGCCACCATGCCCAGCAAATAATTTTCTTTTTAACCAAGGGAAGATATATATCGAAAGGTTAAGACCGTATGTTTGGATGTTGGGTCCTACCCACTAGCTAGCTATGTAAGTTTGGGCAAATTACTTAACCTTTCTAAGCTTTAAATTTGTATTTTATAAAATGAATATATGCCAGGCAAGGTGGCTCATGCCTGTAATCCCAGCACTTTGGGAGGCCGAGGCAGTGGATCACCTGATGTCAGGAGTTCAAAGCCAACCTGGCCAACATGGTGAAACCCCATCTCTACAAAAGTACAAAACTTAGCCAGGCATGATGGCAAGTGCCTATAATCCCAGCTACTCAGGAGGCTGAGGCAGGGGAATCACTTGAACCTGGGAGGCAGAGGTTGCAGTGAGCTGAGATCACACCATTGTACTCCAGCCTGGGTAATAGAGCAAGACTCCATCTCAAAAAAAAATGAAGATAATAAAAACAGTATTACCTAATGCAAATTTAAATTGCAACCTTCTGTAAGGAAAAGCCTATTTATTGTGTGTACCAACACTGGAGCATAGTGTTGAAAGTAGAAACAGGCCCTCTGTACATATTTGATGAACGGTGAACGGCTGTTGAACTAAACCAAGCATCACCACATTTTTTTTTTTTTTTTTTGAGCTGGAGTTTCACTCTTGTTGCCCAGGCTGGAGTGCAATGGTGCGATCTCGGCTCACTGCAACCTCTGCCTTCCAGATTCAAGTGATTCTCCTGCCTCAGCCTCCCGAGTAGCTAGGATTACAGGCATGCGCCACCATGCCAAGCTAATTTTGTATTTTTAGTAGAGATGGGGTTTCACCATGTTGGCCAGGCTGGTCTCGAACTCCTCACCACAGGTGATCTGCCCACCTCGGCCTCCCAAAGTGCTGGGATTACAGACATGAACCACTGCACCCAGCACATGACCACATTTAATACACTTCTACAGCACATTAAGGAACAGCTTCACTATCATCTTGAAACTGGATGGCAGTTGGCAGAGTTTTTCCATGAGTGTGCCATCTATAAGTGAGCTGCATGAAGCCAGTCCCAGGGCCCACACAATTTCTTGTCTCCTCAGTGCAACCACCAGGCTAGAGGAGAGGCAGTTGGGTCCAGGGAAGCAGTGAACATCATAGAAATAGCACAGGCTTTGTAATCAGGAAGATGTCGACTTCATTGCCAGTCTTACCACTTCCTAGCCTTAGTTTGTCTGCGAAATGGTAGTGATAATGCCTCCTATGCTAGATTGCATTTTTGTTCTAAAATATTCACCACCCCTGCTGAGGGAGGATTAGACTTGGTACTGCATTGACCACAGCCTTGGCCATGTGGGTTTGCTTTGGCCAATGAGATGTGAACAGAAGTGAGCCTGCCACTTCTGAGAGAAGCCTCAGCACTCATCATGTGGTTCACATTTTCAAACTCTGTCGCAAGACTGCTGTGTCACAAATAGAGGCTTCTTCAACTTGGATCTGGAATTCAGAAGACATAAGCCAGAGCTGCAGCCAACTCACAATGAATATGTAAAGTGAACAAGAAATAAACCCTTGTTATACTAACCATTCAGATTTGGGGATCATTTGTTGCTGCAGCATAATTTAGCCTCAGCTGATTTACACACTCCCTCAAGGATATCATGAGGATGAACAGCCTAACATTGTAATTGATCCTCTACCATATACCAGTTATGTGGAGCCATGAAGTTCACATTCTGGTGGGAAAGATGAACAAGTAAAAGGAAAATCATGACTTCCTGTTAAAGATGGCTTTACTCCCTTCATACACCCTACTATAATGGGTTTTCTTAGAACATTTTTAAAGCATTTTAAAACATTTTTAAGGTACAATTTTTTTGTATTTTTAAAGACATAAAATTCAAGGAAGAAAGAGAAATAGAAAGGAAAAAATATCGTATAACATTTCATAGAGTAGAAAGGTGGTAACTGATCCAGCAGATGTGAAAGGGCAGAATCCTAAGCCAACAGTGGGAAAAACCAAGAAGAAATCTGCTTTATCCTGCAAAGCCTCAAGAATTGGCAGCAAGTCTCCTCCAGAACTGGGGGCAAATGTGGGGCTAAGGTGGGAAGAGCCACTAGAGCCCCAGATGGTCTCCTTGCCAACAAGCAGCCAAACAACTGTTCTTCCCTGAGCTGACAGAAGAGAGAAGTTTCTTTTCCTGAGATGAGAGTCCCTGAACCAAAGATCCCAGTCACACTGAAGGTGGAGGTACTAAGCTGAACACGGGGGATTGAGTAAAACTGAAGTACTGAGCATGAGGCTCCATCCTTCCTTCCCTGGTGCCCATGGGTATGTTTCTTCCCTTCGGTAGAGAATGACTTCTTCTCTGGGGGCATCTGACCAATCTAAGAGAAAAGACCCAAAGATATTGATGTTATGGGCTCCCCAGGAAGCAATCTGGCCATATCACCCTACTGAGAAGCCCAGTCAACAAGCAGAGCTATTCCAAATAGCATTAGTGCCTCACTTTAAATAAGAGCAGTATATAGATCCCCAGACATCTGGTGAAGCCTAATGAAAAATACAAAGACTAAAACAAATGAATAGAAGAAAAGCCACTTGCAGGAAACAGAGACTATAGAGGGAGAAAAAACTAAAAATCAGCTATCAAGACTCTCAAGTTAATAAGAAGAGATGCTGCGTTTATGTAAAAGGAACCGGTTGTAATTTTTAAAAAGGGCTTTCAGGAGAAAGCTCGTTTTTAATCTCCAAGAGTTCAAAGGAACTCTTGGAGATTAAAAATATGTTAGCAGAAATGAAAGAGTCAAAAGGGCTGAAAGATAAAGTTGAGGATATCTCCCAGAAAGTGGAGTGAAGAAAAAGCCAGCGCGATAGAAAGAAAGAGAAAATATAAAACTCAAGGACCAGTCAAGGAGGCCCAATATCCGGATAGATGGAGTTTTACAGAGAAAAAATAGAGGGAAGGGAATCATCACAAAATATTTCAGGAACATTTGCCAGGACTGATGGATATGAGTTGCCAACTGGAAGGGGCCACCACACACAATGGATATAAATAGACCCACACCAAGGCACAGTATTGTAACATTTCAGAATATCAGGGACACAGAGACCCTACAAGCTTCTAGAGAAGAGGTAAAAAAGTTTTATACGGAGGAAGAAGAAACCAAATGGCAACAAACTTTATCAGCAACACTGGGTATTATAAAACAATGGAGTAAGATCTTCAAAGTTCTGAAGGAATATTATTTCCAACCTAGAATTTTATACCAAGCCAAACAATTAAGTGTGAAGGTGGAATAAAGACATTTTTAGACCTACAAGATCTAAAAAAATTTACCCCCATATATACTTTCTCAAGAAGCACCTGAAGGCTGTAATCCACCTAAAAAGAAAGTAAAAATTAAAAAAAAAAAAAAGAAAAGAAAAGATGGATCCAGGAAGCCCAGGATCTAGTCCAAGAGAGAAGCAAAGGGAATCCCATGATAACAGTGAAGGAGATCCAGGATCACACCTGAGCACCAGGCATCAAGAGCAGCCCCTTTAGATTAGAGCATTGAAAAGGCTCTGGAGAGATTTCTTAAGAAGTTGAGGAAGTACCTAATGTTTTCAAATTTATTGAAAGGAGATTTATACAAGTGGAAGAGAGTTTGGGTATCAAATTATTGATAAGTACATAGAAACTAAGGAAATGATTAAAATGATAATAATTCACTACAGGGAACACAAAATTTTATGCAGAAAGGAAAAATCATTATAGCATGCAATATAGTGTAGCTACCTAAACACTGTTAATATTATTACATAGTCACGATTACACAAACATAGAATGAAGATCTAGCTGAAAATATGACGCTAACTATCAGGAAGATGGGAGAATGGGAATGGGAAGTGTGTGTGGTGTGAGTGTTCGCTAGTCTGTGCTGTGTTGTGGGGGTGTGGGGTGTGGAGGGGGTGTGGGGTGAAGGAGGAGAAATCCACATCTTCCTGAGTGGGAAGCCAATAGACAGTGCCTGAAACTGAAAGATCCATAGGCAGCAATGGAACGGAGTGTGTTATTGAGCAATGGAACAGAGCATGTTTTACTGCGGTTATCCCAGGCTCCTCCCCTGGGGTAACCACAGTCACGGATTTGTTATATTTCTCTCCATATCTTTTTTCTCTTCATCTGCATACATAAATCTGTACATATAAATAGCTGTTTTGTTTCACAGATACTCAGGAGGCTAAAGCAGGAGAATCGCTTGAACCTGGGAGGTTGAGGCTGCAGTGAGCTATGATCACGCCACCGCAGTCCAGCCTGGGTGACAGGGTGGGACTTTGTCCCCCAAAATAATAATAATAATAATAATAAAGGCTGAGAATCTCTGCTTTAAAGTATGTGCATGCATGGCTTTGGTAAGATGGAAATGAGGGAAGAGCGGGTGGGGAGACCACTGCAGTGTGTGGCGGGGCCTTGGTAAAGGTAAGCAGGGACTGCAGAAGCAGAGGGGCTTCTAACACGGCTTTGGGGTGGGGAGGTGTCCTGCAGGTAACAATGAAGGTGAGTTTTGAAAGACAGTAAGAAATGAGCTGGATGTGGGGCCAGGTGATTGAAAAGCTGACTATTTTCCAAATCAAATTATATTTAAGTTAGCAGCATTAGAATATATACTTCAGCTCTAGACATGGCATCTCTCTAATTAAAGCACTATTGGATGTGATGTCAAAATTTACGTGGAAAATAGACAGCAAGAACTACAGCAGGCAATTAACAGATATGACAGCCATAAAACATTTTCCTAATTGTGCTACTAATTTGACACCGAGCTTCCCTGCAGCCAGTTCAAGAGGAGAGAGTCCATCAATTATATGGTTCCTGTTATGAGGAAGAAGGAAGTTTAGCAGGCCTTTTTGGAAATAGAGCTTTCCCAGTTAGAATTGAACTCATTCGCCGGCGCTGATGGGTGATATTGTCAACACCCTTGAATTGCAAAGTTAGCACCACTTTGCACAGGCGCCTTCCTAATCTGATGGGCTTTTTTTTTTTTTTTTTTAAACAAAAGAATGAATGAAATTCAAAAGCAACTCAGTACAAGTTGATCCCCAGGCATCTGTGGTGTAGAGCTTTCTAGGGATAACATTAAAAAGTGAAATGAGTCTTTTATAAACCAATCTGGTAATCTATTCTAAAGAGTTGAAAAGGTATCCCTATTCTTTTTTTCTTTTCTTTTCTTTCTTTCTTTCTTTTTTTTTTGGAGACAGAGTCTTGCTCTATTGCCTAGGCTGGAGTGAAATAGCGGGATCTCGGCTCACTGCAACCTCCACCTCCTGGGTTCAACCGATTCTCGTGCCTCAGCTTCCCGAGTAGCTGGGATTACAGGCGCCCACCACCATGCCCAGCTAATTTTTGTATTTTAGTATTGATGAGGTTTCACCATGTTGGCCAGACTGGTCTGCAACTCCTGACCTCAAGTGATCCACCCGCCTCAGCCTCTGAAAGTGCTGGGATTACAGGTGTGAGCCACCATGCCTGGCACTGTTCATTTATTTCTAATGGCAAAATTATAGAAATCACCTAAATGACCAATAATCCAGCAGTTTTCCAAATGATGCAAGAAATAGGTAACTATGTTCTTGTTAGAAATTTAAATATTATAGGCAAAGCTAAAATCCTCCTTGACCACTCAGTCTGTCTTTACTCCCAGGCCCCTCCTCTGGGGTAACCACAGTCACGGATTTGTCATATTTCTCTCCAGATCTTTTTTCTCTTCATCTGCATACATAAGTCTGTATATATAAATAGCTATTTTGTTTCACGGAGAGATTTTACCATCTGCATTGTATCATACTCTACATATTATCTACAACTTGCTGTTCTGCTCAATATTTATATTTAGGTTTTCAAATCTCCCTCTTTTTTTTTTTTTTTTTTTTTTTTGAGACGGAGTCTTGCTCTGTCACTAGGCTAGGGTGCAGTGGTACAATCCCAGCTCTCAACAACCTCCGCCTCCCGGGTTCAAGCGATTCTCCTGTCTCAGCCTCCCAAGTAGCTGGGATTACAGGCATGTACCACCACACCCAGCTAATTTTTGTATTTTTAGTAGACACGGGGTTTCAACATGTTACCCAGGCTGGTCTTGAACTCCTGACCTCAGGTGATCTGCCCGCCTCGGCCTCCCAAAGTGCTAGGATTACAAGCGTGAGCCACTGTGCCCAGCCTCCCTCATTCTTTTTAACAGCTCCGTAATATTCCATTGGTGAATGTCCCCATAGTTTATCTATTCCAGTATAAGGTGGTCTCTAGTTTCCCACAATCACAGTGCTGCAGTTAAACGTGGGCACTCATGGCCATGTCACACTGTTTGGTTCCCAGAAGAGACAAGAGTTCATTCTTTTACTAATTCCCATGTTTCTGTAACAGGGTGTTCCAGGCTCCCACTGGCCGTGTGCCAAAGGGCCTGTTTCCTGTAGCCTCTCCAGCTTTCAGTATTGCCAGACATCTACATTTCCCCCCATCTGAGGAGTGGGATACAGTAACACTTTGTTTTAACTTGCATTTTCTGATTACAAGTGACATTAAGAACTTTCTATATTTTAAATATTTAGTCATTTATATCTCCTTTCCTGTGAGCTGCTCAATCATTCTATATTGCAAACACTTTCTCCCGACGTGTCCCTTGTCCTTTAACCTTATTTGTAGCACCTATCATCAGACAGATATTTTAATCTTTTTTTCACTTTTATAATTTGTGTTTATGCCACATTTTTAATGATTTTCTCTTTGTTTTTATTGTAGTGAAGTCCATTATTTTTCTTTTTAACTGTCTTTTATAGTTATTGTAATGTTGCCTTAATAATACGTTTTCCCAACATTATCCATCCATGGTCTGATATGCCATTTTCTTCCTCAGGAGAGGTTTTCTACCAATTTTTGCCATTTCCCGTGTTGCTGCTGATCCATGCTTCATGCCTGTTTTCTGTTTGTGGTTTCAGATAAAATCTACGTGGTTGACTTGAGTAATGAGCGAGCCATGTCACTCACCATCGAGCCACGGCCCGTCAAACAGAGCCGCAAGTTTGTCCCTGGCTGTTTCGTGTGTCTAGAATCTCGGACCTGCAGTAGCAACCTCACCCTGACATCTGGCTCCAAACACAAAATCTCCTTCCTTTGTGATGATCTGACACGTCTGTGGATGAATGTGGAAAAAACCATAAGTACGCCCCTGAATCAGTGCATTTGTCCCTGGCCATGGATAGCTCTTCTCTCCCCGCCTTGCCTTAGTGGGGTTCCCTGGGTAGGTTGTAAATCATATCAAAAAGGCCCATCTGGCCGGGCACGATGGCTCACGCCTGTAATCCCAGCACTTTGGGAGGCCAAGGCTGGTGGATCACTTGAGGTCAGGAGTTCAAGACCAGCCTGGCCAACGTGGTAAAACCCCATCTTTACTAAAAATACAAAAATTAGCTGGGCATGGTGGCAGGCGCCTATAATCTCAGCTGCTCAGAAGGCTGAAGCAGGAGAATGGCCTGAACCTGGGAGGCGGAGGTTGCAGTGAGCCGAGATTGCACCACGCACTCTAGCCTGGGCAACAGAGTAAGACTCAAAAAAAAAAAAAAAACCCCACCCACAGTGCAGGTGAGCAAGGGTGACCAGGAGGCAAGCAGAGTGGGTGTCAACACGTCCCTTTGGACCAGCCTCAGGTAGAGCCTGCAGCCCTCAGAACTGTGTCATACTGCCCCATGTTCAGGCTTATGTCTCTCTGCCCAGCCTTCCAATCTTCCTCTTGTGAGATCCTCTCCTCTCTTGCTCAGACTTCCCCAGCCTCTCCCATCCCCATCCCCCCACACCCCACACCCCCACTTCCACACTCACTGCCCTCTTGTCTTCTCTCACACAAGACTGTGATTCCTGAGGTCAAGAACTTTGACTCGTTCTATTTTTCATCCAGTTAGCCCCTACCGGTGCTGGACATGCACTAGTCACTTGAAAAATGTTTGATTGGCCAGGCACAGTGGCTCATGCCTGTAATCCCAGCACTTTGGGAGGCCGAGGCAGGCAGATAACTTGAGGTCAGGTTATCAGGCAGATAACTTGAGGTTGGGCAGGCTGGTCTGCCAACATGTCTGCCCAACATGGCGAAACCCCATCTCTACTAAAAATACAAAAAATTAGCCGGGCATGGTGTTGGGTGCCTGTAATCCTAGCTACTCGGGAGGCTGAGGCAGGAGAGTCGCCTGAACC
This sequence comes from Homo sapiens, assembly GCF_000001405.40. NCBI lineage: Eukaryota > Metazoa > Chordata > Mammalia > Primates > Hominidae > Homo > Homo sapiens. Next base: position 45,094,319 of record NC_000003.12, on the reverse strand, counting down.
CGGGAGGTGGAGGTTGCAGTGAGCCGAGATCGCACCACTTCACTCCAGCCTGGGCAATAGAGTGAGACTCGGTCTCAAAAAAAAAAAATGTTTGATGACTGAAGGCCAGTAAACCAACAGCCACCTCCTTGCTGGGCTACCATGACTTCTGATGTGTGCTCTTAGTTCAAATGCAGGAACTAAGGCCACAAGAGGCAAAGTAGCCTGCCCAAGAACACCCTATTAGGAAGTGGCAGAGCCAGAAGACGAACTAACATCTCCCCAACGCCACTCACAGCTCCAACCACTGCCCAGAACTGCCTCCTGAGCAACACGTCTGGGTGGAGTGAAACCTGTGCCCTGCCCCATGACACTTAGCATCTAAGACACAGATACACAGAAGAAAAACTTAAGCAAAAAAGGAGAGGAAATTTCAACCCTGAGTACTACCCAGAAGTTTGTTTGCCAGCTTAGTAAACAGTAAGAATGTTTACTAAGAGAGCAGAGGGACCGCTAGAAAAGGAACACAGAGGAGCCAGAAGCAGAGGGCAGGGTGGGAGAAGAGAGACCGAAGGGAAACACAGGGCAGCATGCAGACACCCAACCTCAGGCTGACGGGAGAGCTGGGGAGGGTGCACTTCTGGTCTCCTTTGTGCATGGCTAGCATGCCCCACTTCTTCCAGGCTGCACAGACCACCGGTACTGCCAAAGGAAATCCTACTCACTCCAGGTGCCCAGTGACATCCTCCACCTGCCTGTGGAGCTGCATGACTTCTCCTGGAAGCTGCTGGTGCCCAAGGACAGGCTCAGCCTGGTGCTGGTGCCAGCCCAGAAGCTGCAGCAGCATACACACGAGAAGCCCTGCAACACCAGCTTCAGCTACCTCGTGGCCAGTGCCATACCCAGCCAGGACCTGTACTTCGGCTCCTTCTGCCCGGGAGGCTCTATCAAGCAGATCCAGGTGAAGCAGAACATCTCGGTGACCCTTCGCACCTTTGCCCCCAGCTTCCAACAAGAGGCCTCCAGGCAGGGTCTGACGGTGTCCTTTATACCTTATTTCAAAGGTAAGGGGGGTCTCCCCTATCTCCATGCCCCTTTAGTTTAAGCGTTTATTTGATTTTAGTTTTGTGATCACCTTAATTAAGTTGCCAGTTTGGAAAGAAGGGATAGCTCAATATGCTGGTCCTTGCACAAGAAATTTGAAAGATAGTGAGTCCTAATCCTGACTTTACCATTAACCTAGCATGGAAAATTCCTGAGATTAGAAATAAAAAATGTTTCTGACAGTGAGAGGCGATGGTTGGTAGGCAGCAAAAACATTATCAGGTTTGAGTCTTTTTTGGAAGCAGGCAGGACGTAAATGAGAAATAGCCAGATATTCCCCAGTCCCGGATTTTTAAGGTAGTGACATAAAAATCCTTAGGCAGACATTTTTATGACTCTGCTTTTACAATTCAGAATGCAGTGCCGAGAGCACAGAGGGAGGAGCGTTGGGAGGGAGACGAGTCTCTGGAGCCAGAGTCCAGCAGCACGGCTGGGCAGACCCGACCCTCCTGGGAGGCTGGCATGTGGTCTCCATGTTCTGAGGCAGTAAATGAGGTCTAAATGGCTCACAACGTGACTTCTACATGGTTGACTTTAAAAGTCACAGTCACCATTACAAGTTGCTCCAAGAACATTAAGTTAGAGGCCATTTTAAAATTGACCAAGACCTTTGATGTTTATTTCCTACTCTTATTCTCTGAGGTGTGAGTGGGAGGGAGAAGAATCTTTGGTCATAAGATTAAGGTGGGTCCAGGCTGCCTGATATCTCCAAGGTTACCAGAGAAACTCCTTCTGAGGAGTCTTTGCAAATAAGACACATTCTCATCAGTGTGGAATGTGTGGGTTTTATCTCTCCTGAAGGTAAGGAAGGGATTAGTTGACGTGTCAGGAGCTCTTTCAGCTTTGCAGTTCCGGAACTCTTCCCAGAACCTGAAGATATTTTAATCTCTGAAACAGAAATCAGGCTATACCAGCCCCACCCCGGAGAGGGCAATAGATGAATATAGTAGCTACGTTGAGAGCATTTCTGAAGGGAAGCTGAGATAACCACCAGTTTGGGAAACTTGCCTGGTTTTTATTTGCCTGTTTGTTTTGTTTTTTTTCAAAAGTCCTGAGTACCTACTCTGACTGAGACTGATCCAGCACTGACCAATACAGTGGTGCTAGCCACATAGCAATGATTTGAATTTAAATTAATATGAGGCTGGGCACAGTGGCTCATGCCTATAATCCCGGCTCTTTGGGAGGCCAAGGCAGGCAGATCACTTGAGCTCAGGAGTTCAAGAGCAGCCTGGCCAACACGGTGAAACCCCATCTCTACTAAAAATACAAAAAATTAGCCGGTCATGGTGGCTCATGCCTGTAGTCCTAGCTACTCGGGAGGCTGAGGCTGGAGAATTGCTTGAACCTGAGAGGTGGAGGTTGCAGTTTGCAGTGAGCCGAGATCGTGCCACTGCACTCTAGCCTGGGCAACAGAGTGAGACTCCCTCTCAAAAATAACTAATAATAATAAATTAACATGAAACAAATTTAAAATGCAGTTCTTTGGTCATGCTGGGCACATTTCAAGGCTCAGCAGACATATAGCTGGTGGCTACCCTATCAGATGGTGCAGATCTAGAAGATTTCCATCATCGCAGAAAGTTCGGTTAGACAGCGCTGGTCTGGACAGTTGGACTTCGTCTCCTCCACCACTCCCTTTCCTCTCCATGTTGACTGAATGAAACATCTGTCTGGATCTCCCTCCCTTTCCTGCAGAGGAAGGCGTTTTCACGGTGACCCCTGACACAAAAAGCAAGGTCTACCTGAGGACCCCCAACTGGGACCGGGGCCTGCCATCCCTCACCTCTGTGTCCTGGAACATCAGCGTGCCCAGAGACCAGGTGGCCTGCCTGACTTTCTTTAAGGAGCGGAGCGGCGTGGTCTGCCAGACAGGGCGCGCATTCATGATCATCCAGGAGCAGCGGACCCGGGCTGAGGAGATCTTCAGCCTGGACGAGGATGTGCTCCCCAAGCCAAGCTTCCACCATCACAGCTTCTGGGTCAACATCTCTAACTGCAGCCCCACGAGCGGCAAGCAGCTAGACCTGCTCTTCTCGGTGACACTTACCCCAAGGACTGTGGGTAAGGGCCTTCAGGGTCTTTGGGGACAGTGATGAACAAAAAATTGTCAGCTGGAGGATAGAGAGCAAGCCTGGAGACAAGTCAGAATCACAGATTGAGTCCTGACTGTCCATGTATCAGTCAGCTATTGCATCAATAGTGCTGAGTAACAAACCATCCCAGAACATAGTGGCTTAGTAGCAGCCATCTATTATTGCTCCAACGTTGGCTGGGCAATTCTGGTCTGAGCTGGACTTATCAGGGCTCAGTCATTCATGCACCTACTGGCAGCTGCAGGTTGGCTAGAGGACTTTGCTGATCTTAGCTTGGTGCTTTCAAAAAGCTGAGGCTCAGCCAAGATCATCTGAGACAACTGAGATTACTTGGCTTGACTCTACATGATCTCTTGTTCTCCAGCCTGGGCTGTTTTCATGGCAGAGGCAGAGAGATCCACAAGAGACTGGAGGAGGCATATAAGGTCTTTTGATACTTTTAGGTTAGGAACTCACACACCATCCCTTCGACTGCATTCTTTTGGCCAGCCTAGATTTTTTTTAGTCAATCTACCAGCATCCTTTACCATTCATCTCTCTTTTACGTAGGGGAAGTCTCTTCACACCTATGATCTTCCTCATCTACAGAGAGTAGATAATAATAGCCACCTCATAAAAGTATCATGGGATTCGGTGTCATGAATTAAAATATGGGGACCTGAAAAGTCTGACAGGTACATGGTTTTTTGTTTAGTCTCAGTGAAACGTTGGAATCCATGAAATACCCTCAGTGGGAGGCCTTGGAGCCAGGATGATGAGTTTGCCTTTATTCCTCAAAGTCATGGGCACCACTAAAGGGTATCAAGCAAGGGAATGCAGGTGTGGCAGGGCAGGCTGTGGTGGGGCCATGTCTGCCCTTTACTCAGTGAAGGCACCGAGCATCACAGTGTCAGAATCAGAAGGGACTGTGGAGGCTGCTTTTTTCCCTTTCCCTTTCTGGGGGTCAGAGTGATTGAAGGTCCATCCAAGCCACACAACTGGTTAGCCTCAAGAGAACTGGTGGGAGCCAAATGCCACAAGTGAAAACCTCTCCACACTCATAGATTATATCCTGGGTTTTCTTCCTCTCTTAGATTCATTTTCTGTCATTTCTTTCCATTCCTCTTTCCTTTGGATCTCACCTTTTGTTTTCTTGGTGAATAAGCAAGACATTCTAATTCGCTGTTTGGTACAGGGTTCCCCCTCTGATTTATTTTCTTTTTCCTTTGTGCAGCTGCAGGAAAAGGACAGCACAAAGGAAACAACCCTCCCTTTAGCTGCCTCACTTCTGACTTTTGACTCCCTGCTTTCTCCTACCCTCCTCTGCTCTTCTCTTCTCCAAGACAGGCTGTGGCAATCAGTGGAACACACCTGTTGTAGGCCAGGAGTAGCCTTTGAAGTTGATCTGGTAGGTCCCTCAGTTTGTTTCAATTGTTCATTGCTATATACAAACTACCCCAAAATTTGGTGGCTTTGGCAATAGCTATTTTGTTTACCCACGATTTATGGATCAGGAATTCAGACAGGGCACAGCAGTGTATCTTATCTGTGCTCCAGGATATCTGGGGCCCCAACCAGAAGCCTTGAACAAGTAGAGAGGATGGCTTGGAGAATTCAACTGGAGACATATGTCTATGGCCTTTGGTTCTCACTGGGTTGATTTTTTTCCCCGGTGGAATCTCTACATGGCTAGCTTGGGCTTTCTCACAGCATGGTGGTCTCAGCATAGTCAGACTTCTTACATAGTAGCTGGCTTTCTCTCAGAGAGAAAGTGCAAGCTGACATCCTCTTAAAAGTTAGGCCCAGAACTGGCACAGTTGCCTTATATTGGCTGACCCAGATCCAAGAGGAAAGGAAATAAACACTTTGTGATATGAGGAGCCCCATGTGCACACAAGGAGCCACATGTATGGCGCTCCACCTTTGGAGAGATGGCAGCTGCTTTTGGAGATGCCTCAAGTTCATTGCAGAGCTCACCCCAGCTGCCTCTTCATCTGTCTCTTTATGTCTCTGCTCACAGACTTGACTGTCATCCTCATCGCAGCGGTGGGAGGTGGAGTCTTACTGCTGTCTGCCCTCGGGCTCATCATTTGCTGTGTGAAAAAGAAGTAGGTGGAATCTCTTACTCTCTTTATCTGATTTGATGCCTCCTCAGATCACACAGACTGGGTGGATTGTTCATTATTGACTTTGTTTTCTTGCTTCCCATTTTTTCCCCCAAAGATCAATGTTAAACAATATTGCCAGGTGTGAGTCATGCTTTCAGGAGAAAAAAAATCCCATGCCTGGGGGTGAGGGGGGGATAAAACACACGTGACATTTTCACCTGTATGTAGTTCATGGTGCAGCTGCCTCAGCACAAGTCCCCTGCAAGCAGAGTGCTGTTTGCTCAGTAGATTGATCAAGCAGGAGTGATCTTGGCAAGAAAATGCTCACGTAGGCTCTGCCAGACTGTGCCTCTGAAACCACTCCCTCCGTCACCCTAAGGAGAACGAATGTGTGTTGTCCCAGCTTGTTCTCCTGCAGTTTCTTAAGCAAACTGCTTTATCCTTGCCTGTTGGGCTCCAGGTATGTAACAGAGGCCAGGCCTGTGGCCCAGAGGAAGGAAGGCCCAGTTAACTGCCTCAGTCTCTCTTTCCATCCCCTCAGGAGGACAACTTCTGTTTTATTTATTTATTTATTTATTTTTGAGACAGAGTCTTGCTCTGTTGCCAGTGGTGCAATCTCGGTTCACTGCAGCCTCCGCCTCCTGGGTTGAAGTGATTCTCCTTCCTCAGCCTCCCGAGTAACTGGGACTACAGGCACACACCACCACGCCCAGCTAATTTTTTTTGTATTTTTTTGTAGAAACGGGATTTCACCTTATTGGCCAGATTGGTCTTAAACGCCTGACCTCAAGTGATCCACCCACCTTGGCTTCCCAAAATGTTGGGATTACAGGCATGAGCCACCGTACCTGGCTGAGCTTCTATTTTATAAAAGGAAAATGTTGACCTTTTTAGACAGAGTCCGTGCTGCCGCCAAACTGTATAAATTCTGCTCATATTTCTGACTAAAGTCATGGGAGAGAGAAGAGAGCTATTTTCCTTAACATGGTTTGACCTTCCAAAAAGCCAATCTGAAAAAATTCTTTTTTTTTTTAAGACAGAGTCTCACTCTGTTGCCAGGCTGGAGTGCAGTGGCGCGATCTCGGCTCACCGCAACCTCCGCCTCCCGGGTTCAAGCGATTCCCCTGCCTCAGCCTCCCGAGTAGCTGGGACTACAGGCACCCGCCACCACGCCCAGCTAATTTTTTTTTGTATTTTTAGTAGACACAGGGTTTCACCATGTTGGCCAGGATGGTCTCGATCTCTTGACCTTGTGATCCACCCGCCTCGGCCTCCCAAAGTGCTGAGATTACAGGCGTGAGCCACCACACCCAGCCAAAAAATTCTTTTTTAAAAATTAACTGTGGACCTGAGCAAAGAACTGAAATTCCTAGTCTACAACAAGACTGTCTACAAATGTCTCTGCTGATGAGGAAGGACTGGCTTGCAGGAGGTCTTTTCCCCATGAGAAGTGGCTGTACCTATAACACATGGGGGAAAAAGGACTGCTTTTAAGGAAACATCATGTTACTGTTTCTCTCAGGGAATTTTCCCATCTGCGGTGCACGGAATAGCCCACCCAGTTGGGGAAGCATGGCATTAACACTGGGCCCCAGGTTCCTTATCAGGAGGGAATTGGACAAGGAACGAGATCCAGCACTTGCCTCATCTTGAAACAGCGCCAGTTTAAGCCTGAGAATCGTCAGTCCAGCCTTGCTACAGGCCTTGCTTGTGTGAGGCTGCTGGCTGGCAGGTTTGCATAAGGCCTGTCCGTGCCCAAGCTGTTGTAGGAGGATGGACAGGTTGTGCAGTGAGAATGAGGAGAGACAATGCCATCTAACATGTTCACTAAGCGGGTACTTCCTGAGTGTCTCCTGGGCACTAGGATTCATTGAGGTACTGGGGACAATGATGAGTGAGACAATCTCTTCTATGGGGGCAGGGGGACTGAAAAGACAGGCAAATAAACAGTCAGTTTCAGGATAGCATGAGAAGAGCTTTAGTGGGGACAAACATTACAGGGCTTCAGGCAGGAGCCTTAGGAACCCATCCTCCTGGCCAGGGGCTCAGCGTTACAAGCTGAAGGTACCAGGTTTATTTTTATCTCAGCAAAGTACAGACAGCCTGTCCACCATTATGAACTGCCAGCCTGTGCCTTATATGGCCCATTACGCTAATTGAGCTAATGTCCTCCATTTGCATCACTGGTCAGCTAAAAAGTCAGCATTCCCTGCTGTTTGGTTCACAAAGATGGAGAGCAAAGCTTTGTTTTCTGTGGCAGCAAGCGCTAATGCCCATGCAGGTCCAAGTACCAAAGAACATTATAAACCAAATGCTAATGGTGTTATTGAAGAACTCTGGCACTGCAGCCTGAATTTTGTCTTCTTTTTAGCTCTTTCCTCTGTTGGGGGTGACTACTGAGGCACTGGGTCTCTCTGCTAATGCTGAGTTATCCTCTCCCCAGCTCATACTGAAAACTAAGATACAACCTGGCCTCCTGAGTCTCTTGTATCGCCATTTAAAATCTAGATGGTCAGAGCTTTTCCCAGGCAAAAGAGAGATAAAGCATGAGCTACGGGAAAGTACTAAGAGTGCGGGAGGATTGACCTAGGCATGACTGAGCCTGATGTGGTTGAGAAGGTCTGGGACACTGCCCATTTCTGGTAGAATGGAGGGGAAAGAGATTGTCAGATGTCTCCACCATTGGATACCGCATATCTATCAAAAACGAATTGAGCACAGATAGTGATAGAGGTGCCCTCTCTAAACCACTCTTCTACTACCTGTGATCTCTGTTTCCACTTTGAAAACTGGAGACAAAATCAGGTCCCTTCTAAATGTTCACTGAGGACAGTAGTTTCAGTTTCAAATGCTGAGCAATCTGAGGGATTTGGGGGAGACATGGTCAGAACCCTAAAGAATCCAAGCTCTAGCAGGGCCATAGCAATGGTACCCATCGAAGATTCTTGCCTTTCTGACTTCTGTCTTGTTCCATTTTTCCAAATAGGAAAAAGAAGACAAACAAGGGCCCCGCTGTGGGTATCTACAATGACAACATCAATACTGAGATGCCGAGGCAGCCAAAAAAGTTTCAGAAAGGGCGAAAGGACAATGACTCCCATGTGTATGCAGTCATCGAGGACACCATGGTATATGGGCATCTGCTACAGGATTCCAGCGGCTCCTTCCTGCAGCCAGAGGTGGACACCTACCGGCCGTTCCAGGGCACCATGGGGGTCTGTCCTCCCTCCCCACCCACCATATGCTCCAGGGCCCCAACTGCAAAGTTGGCCACTGAGGAGCCACCTCCTCGCTCCCCTCCTGAGTCTGAGAGTGAACCGTACACCTTCTCCCATCCCAACAATGGGGATGTAAGCAGCAAGGACACAGACATTCCCTTACTGAACACTCAGGAGCCCATGGAGCCAGCAGAATAACTTGATCCATTCCAGACGCTTTGCTGAGTTTCATAAAGCAGGGCACTGAGACACCCGTCCGTGTTCCTAACCAGAAATCCTAAAGAAGAGGAATTATACAGAAGGAACAGCAGGAGGTTTTCCTGGACACCGCCAACTTCACATTGCTCAGTGGACTCATTCTAAGGGCAAGACATTGAAAATGATGAATTCCAATCTGGATACAGTCATGACAGCTCATGTGCTCCTCAACTTAGGCTGTGCGGTTAGCCAGCCTGTAATGAGAGGAGAGAGGCCTGAGTCACCTAGCATAGGGTTGCAGCAAGCCCTGGATTCAGAGTGTTAAACAGAGGCTTGCCCTCTTCAGGACAACAGTTCCAATTCCAAGGAGCCTACCTGAGGTCCCTACTCTCACTGGGGTCCCCAGGATGAAAACGACAATGTGCCTTTTTATTATTATTTATTTGGTGGTCCTGTGTTATTTAAGAGATCAAATGTATAACCACCTAGCTCTTTTCACCTGACTTAGTAATAACTCATACTAACTGGTTTGGATGCCTGGGTTGTGACTTCTACTGACCGCTAGATAAACGTGTGCCTGTCCCCCAGGTGGTGGGAATAATTTACAATCTGTCCAACCAGAAAAGAATGTGTGTGTTTGAGCAGCATTGACACATATCTGCTTTGATAAGAGACTTCCTGATTCTCTAGGTCGGTTCGTGGTTATCCCATTGTGGAAATTCATCTTGAATCCCATTGTCCTATAGTCCTAGCAATAAGAGAAATTTCCTCAAGTTTCCATGTGCGGTTCTCCTAGCTGCAGCAATACTTTGACATTTAAAGAGAAATTTAGAGAATATTCTCATCCTCTAAAAATGTTTAAATATATACCAAACAGTGGCCCCCTGCATTAGTTTTCTGTTGCCACTGCAACCTATTACTTGGTAGCTTAAAAACAACACATTAGCTTATAGTCCTGGGGATCAGAATTCCAAAATGGATGTCCCTGAATGAAAATCAAGGTGTCAGCAGAGCTGTGCTCCTTCTGAAGGCTCTAGGGAGAAGCCGGTTCCTTGCCATTTCAAGCTTCTAGAGGCTGGCTGCATTCCCAGGCTCCAGTGGCTGGTCAAGCTTTTCTCACATGGCATCACTGTGACACTGGCCCTCCCACTTCCCTCTTTGACTTACAAAGCCCACCAGGAAGATCCAGGATAATCTCTCCATCTAAAGTTCCTTCATCATCCTGGAAGAGCCTTTTGCCATGCAAGACAACATAGCCACAGGTGGGGATTAGGACCAGAACATCTTTGGGGTGCTGTTATTCTGCCTACCACACCTTCCTGCCACTGACTCCCACAGGAGAGGCTACAAAATGATCTGGCGCACAGGGATGTTTTGTTTAGCTTGCGGACTCTAACACTTAAAAAAAAACCCAGATCAGAAGATCTGGCCATGCTGGGGCTCACATTCTCACCTAGCAACAACTGGCTGGAGCTGGGCACCAGCTCTGCCTTTAGAAGGGGTGTCCACTTCACCAGGTCACCACAGCCCACACTACGCCCTATCACTTCCCACAATGAGGCTGAGTGTTTGTTTCTACTGATCAATGCCCCTGCAGGTTGCATTTATTGTAATGAAAAAGAAAGACTGGGATTAATCTCTAATCAGGTGAGTAGACCATGAGACCAATGTGTGCTCACATTACCCTTTTTCTTTTTTTTCTTTTTCTTTTTCTTTTTTTTTTTAATGTGAGACAGGATCTCATTCTGTTGCCTAGGCTGGAGTGCAGTGGCGCAATCTCGGCTCACTGCAACCTCTGCCTCCTGGGCTCAAGCAATTCTCCCACCTCAGCCTCCCAAATAGCTGGGATCACTGGCACAAACCACCATGCCCAGCTAATTTTGTATTTTTTGTAGAGACAGGGTTTCACCATGTTGCCCAGGCTGGTCTCAACCTCCTGGGCTCAAGCAATCCTCCTGCCTCGGCCTCCCAAAGTGCTGGGATTACAGATGTGAGCCACCGCATCCAGCCCCACACCCTCATTTATACCAATTACCTGCCCAGTAACTGTGGACTTTTGCTTCCTCACCCCTGCTCTGATCTGGAAGGAGAGGGATTATGTTATAGCTTGTCAGCACAGTCCCAAGTTCAATATTTCTGCGGCAAAAACTTCCTTCAAAAAATAAATGTACTTCATTGTATTCAATGAATTCACCTTGGAAATGCACCGCCTCAACTTGTTCACATGGCATAAATGAAAGGAATTTTATAGTCTCCTAAATGGCGTGTACTGCAAGACCTCTTGAACACTTTCCAGAGGATAGGATATTTAAGTCATGCCCTTGGCGTTGCCTATGGCACCTTTCCCTTCTGAAAGTCTGGTTCCTGCCCAGTGACCCTTGGCCTTGTGAGCCGAGATGCTGACCCTGCATAAAGGGCCAAAGGAGGGCTGCGGCTTCCTTCCCTCACTGAAGAGCCCTTATTTGAATTCACTGTGTGGAGCCCTAGCCCTCCATTCTCGACATTCCCCAACCTCCCAGCCCCTTCCAAGCAGGACTAGGTGCCCTGCATTCCACCCAAGGTGGGATTGGCCTTCCTTAGGCTGGCTACTTGTCACCATCACCGACATCACTGTTGCCTGCAAGGACACCACGTGGCCATTTTCCTTCAACTGAGGGCTCAAAACTCCTGGACAAGTTGCTGGCTCCTGAGACCAGTATTTCCTGGAGCTGTGCCTCAGTGAAGGGGCCCAGCCTGAGGAACCCTGGCTCTTTTCTTTAAAGCCCAGGCCCCACTTACGTAAAACATTTCAGGGTCACTGGAAACAGTGAAGTGCCATTTGTTGAAGCCTACTGCATGCCAGCCCACTGCTCATCCACGTGGTCTGCCATGCCTACGAGGAAGGCCAGCGCATGCAGGACTGGTCTCTAATGCTGTGGTCATTGCACAGAAGGGAAAGGTCTCAAGGAAGAGTCAACTGGAACAAGCACAAGCCCACCGGACATGGCCTTGGTAAAGGTTAGCAGACTGGTGTGTGTGGATCTGCAGTGCTTCACTGGAAATAATTTATTCATTGCAGATACTTTTTAGGTGGCATTTTATTCATTTCCTGTGCTTTAAATAAACAAATGTACCAAAAAACAAGTATCAAGCTGTTTAAGTGCTTCGGCTACTTGTCCCCTGGTTCAGTAGAGGCCCCGGTTTCCCAGTTGTTGACTGTGACAGGCTCAGCATGGGCTCAGCAGATGCTGTCTTAATTTGTGGATGATACAGAAAGCCAGGCTTTGGGATACAAGTTCTTTCCTCTTCATTTGATGCCGTGCACTGTGTGAAGCAGATGTTTTTGTCCGGAAATAAAAATAATAGTCTTGGAGTCTCGCCACCACTGGTTTTCAAGTCTCCCTGTATGCAAGTGGAAGGAATGGAAGCTATGCCAATGGGTAGCTGAGAGGCCAGGGCTTGTTCTGTTCTGTTCTGTTCTTGTGGGGGCTACATGGGCCCCACCCTTTGTGACCTTTCCCAATACCTAACCCCCATAGAGGCCCAGGGCCACCCTAATCACTGACCACAGTTGATCTCTAAGCCCCGTGGAGGTCACCAGCCACCAGAACAAAAGTTAAGGGAGAGCAGTGAGAGAGGGAAGTTCCCATGGCCCCCACCATCTGCCATGCACTAGGAGGGGAGACCCAAGCACATTGGATTGAATCCACCGAGAAAACCAGATGTTGCTGTGTAATGAGCCACCCCAAAATTTAGTTAACAATTAGTAGTTTTGCTCACAAACCTGTAATTAGAGCAGGGTTCAGCAGGGACTGTATATCTCTCCTCCATGTGGCCACAGCTTGGGCAGCATAATTAGAATCCTCTTTCAAGTGGGCTCCATGACACTGCTGACAAGTTAGTGCTGGCTATTGGCTGGGAGCTTTGACTCCTGGTCACTTGGACCACTGCACAGGGCTTCTTCACAACATGGTGGCTGGGTTCCACAACTGAGTGCTCCCAGATTCTAAAGGTCAGAACAGCCAGTCTCTCAGAGGCTGGAACTGGACACTGGCATGACATTACTTCCATTCTATTCCTTTTTTTTTTTTTTTTTTTTTTTTTGAGACAGGTTCTCACTCTCTTGCCCCAGCTGGAGAACTCCTGGGCTTAAAGCGATCCTCCCACTTCAGCCTCCCGAGTAGCTGGGACTACAGCCATGCACTACCATGCCCAGCTAAACTTCCATTCTATTCTATGGGGGGCATTAGTCACAGAACCTACTCCGATTTACATGGAGGAAGCAAAGATTCCCCCACCCCATCTCAGTGGGAGAGGTGTCAAAGAATTTGCAGCCATCTGTAATAGGCTTCAGTGGGGCTGGGGAGATCACAGCCAAGTACCATGCCTGTGGACAGCACTGACCACCTTCACTACTGCGTCCTTGATCACCATGACCACATCTGGGCTGCATCCCACCTCTGACTGCCCCTTCTCCTGGATCCTGTTCCCAGGACTCAAGGTTCAGTCTTTGGTCTTCTGGCCTTTTCTCTCTGGACACTGCCCCATAGGGAGGGTACTGTCTTAGTCCATTTGTGTTGCTATAAAGGGATACATAAGCCTGGGTAATTTATGAAGAAAAGAGGTTTATTTGGCTCATGATTCTGCAGGCTGTACAGGAAGCATGAAACCCAGCATCTGCAACTGATGAGGGCCTCAGGCTACTTCCCCTCATGGCAGAAGACAAAGGGGAGCCTGCATGTGCAGAAATCACATGGTGAGAGAGGAAGGGAGAGAATGGCAGGGGAAGGGGTGGCGCTAGGCTGTTTTCAACAACCAGCTCTTGAGAGAACTAAGAGAGGAAGAACTTGCCGTGGACCCAGGAAAGGCATTAACCTATTCTGAATGGCTATACAAGATTACATCTTCTAAGGTCACTTCACGCTCTAGAATGCTTTGATTCCTCCAGTCACCCAGGCCCAGAATATTGGACCTAACTTCATTTCATCCCTGTCACTCACCCTGATTGTTCTAGATTCTCCTCCCATCCAACATCCCCCTCTATTCCACCATTCCTTTTTCATCATGTGACTCCCTCACTCTGAAATCTGTGCCTCCAGACTTGGTTGGCCCTTAGAACAGAATCCTTGGTCTTTTGCTGGTGGTGTGGCACCTCCAGTCCACTGCCTGGCCCTCCTAACCTCTTCAGACCTCTCTCCGCCCACTTCATCCATGACTTCAAAACTCTATTCCAGTGGGGCTCTGAATCCACTCCTGCCCACACCTTGCTCTTGCCCACACCTTGCTCTTGCCCACACCTTGCTCTTGCCATTGTTCCTGGACAACTCACAGCAAAAGCTGCCCACCTTCCATGCCTTACCAGCACTTCAGAGTCTATCACAGAGCCCATTTTCTCCAGGAAGCCCTCCAACTCTGCTAAGCTCTCCTTCTAAATCCCAATAGTCCTTTTGATTCATAATTCTTCTGCATGTAGCTGTATTAGTTTCATAATTTAAAAAGCTTGTGCTTGTGTGTCTTTTGCTTAACCAAGATGCTACTTTTTTCAGAGGTAGAGGTCCATGTCTTGTACTTAGTCCATCTGTCTCACATTGTCCAATGCAGTGGGTGCCCTAGAAATTATGTCTGTTACATTTAATTGTCAGAAACATGTTGTACTTCAGCTATGACTTCAGGCAGGTGTTATACTGGAGGCTTCCAGATGGCAAGGAGGAAGTAGATGTCAGGCAAGTGCCCTGTGTTTTACAAACCTTATCTCATGTCACCAATTAATATCCTAGCAGCAAAGCTTATTTTCAGCTTACTGGTGAAAGAAGGCCCAGCAAGGTGAAGTCACGAGCCCAGGGTCACAGAGCAGCAAGAGGCAGGGCAGCAACCATACAGCCTTTCCACAGTGCTCTGCTACTCAGCTAGGCCATGAGACTGGGTTCTCCTGGGAGCCACAGTCGGGAGAGTGGCTGCCGAGGAGTCTGGTGGACCCCAGGGCTTCCTAGATAGTGTTTGTCTCTTTTTCTTTCCTTCAGGAGGCCACAAGTTTGAGGTGGAGGAGGTCTCAGGGACACTGAAGCACAATATCTAGTCCTAGGCACAAGATTAAATATTCTAAGGCCACTTCTAACTCTAGAATGCTTTGATTCCTCCAGTCACCCAGGTCCAGAATATTGAACCCAACTTTGGTTCATCCCTGTCACTCATCCTGATTGGCATTTCTGCTTCCACCTATATGCCCTGCCCTTTCTGGACTTTGTGTTGGCAGCTCCTCCCCCAGGTCAGGGATACTTGGGGATCTGATGTTAAAGCCACAGGGCAAAGCACCTATAGCCCTCCAGGCTGCTGCCAAACCTGTCTCCTTTACCCTCGCCCTGCCCTTCAGACCCAGCCTCTCATGGACTTCTGTTCCCCACGGAAGAGGGGAGTCCTGTTCACATCTGTGTGGTCTCTGGGATCATCTCTAATCAGTGCCACATCAAGGCATCCTCAGCCAGTCCTGGGGAGCCTGCAAACGACACCCAACCTCACAGCTCACTGTTCTGTTTGGGCGGTTCACAAGGCTGTTTCTTGGCTTTAAACGTGCTTATGACGAAATGAGAAAGGTGGAACTCAGCCTCCTGCTGGCCAATTCTCTCCTAGCCTCAGGCTTCATAAGAACAATTTTTTTTTTTTTTTGAGACAGAGTCTCGCTCTATTGCCCAGGCTGAAGTGCAGTGGCATGATCTTGGCTCACTGCAACCTCCACCTCCCAGGTTCAAGCGATTCTCATGCCTCAGCCTCCTGAATGGCTGGGATTACAGGTGTGCCCCACCACGCCTGGCTAATTTTTGTATTTTTAGTAGAGGCAGGCTTCACCATGGCCAGGCTCAAACTCCTGACCTCAGGTGAGTCTGCCTGCCTTCACCCAGCAAAGTGCTGGGATTACAGGCATGAGCCCCTGTACCCAGCCTTAAGAACCTCCTAATGATCCCATGAGTTATATGGATGAACCAGCACGGCCTCTTCTCTGCCCTTTAATGTAGGTGTATTAGTCCGTTTTCATGCTGCTGATAAAGACATACCTGAGACTGGGAAGAAAAAGAGGTATAGTTGGACTTGCAGTTCCACATGGCTGGGGAGGCCTCAGAATCATGGTGGAAGGTTAAAGGCACTTCTTACATGGCAGTGGCAACAGAAAAATGATGAAGATGCAAAAGCAGAAACCCCTGACAAAACCATCAGGTCTTGTAAGACTTACTCACTACCATGGGAACAGTATAGGGAAAACTGCCCCCATGATTCAAATTATCTCCCACCAGGTCCCTCCCACAACATGTGGGAATTATGGGAGTACAATTCAAAATGAGATCTAGGTGGGGACACAGAGCCAAACCATATCATCCCACCCCTGGCCCCTCCAAATCTCATGTCCTCACATTTCAAAACCAATCATGCCTTCCCAACAGTCCCCCAAAGTCTTAACTCATTTCAGCATTAACCCAAAAGTCCACAGTCCAAAGTCTCATCTGAGACAAGGCAAGTCTCTTCCACCTATGAGCCTGTAAAATCAAAAGCAAGCTAGTTACTTCCTAGACACAATGGGGGTACAGGTATTGAGTAAATACAGCCATTTCAAATGGGAGAAATTTGTCAAAACAAAGGGATTATAGGCCCCATGCAAGCCTGAAATCCAGTGGGGCAGTCAAATCTTAAAGCTCCAAAATGATCTTCTTTGACTCCATGTCTCACATCCAGGTCATGCTGAAACAAGAGGCGGGTTCCCATGGTCTTGGACAGCTCTGCCCCTGTGGCTTTGCAGGATACAGCCTCCCTCCTGGCTGCTTTCATGGGCGAGCGTTGAGTCTGCGGTCTGCGGCTTTTCCAGGTGCACAGTGCAAGCTGTCAGTGGGTCTACCATTTTGGGGTCTGGAGGACAGTGGCCCTCTTCTCACAGCTCCACTAGGCAGTGCCCCAGTAGGGACTCTCTGTGGGGGCTCCAACCCCACATTTCCCTTCTGCACTGCTCTAGCAGAGGTTCTCCATGAGAGCCCCGCCCCTGCAGCAAACTTCTGCCTGCACAGCCAGGCGTTTCCATACATCCTCTGAAATCTAGGCTGAGGTTCCCAAACCTCAGTTCTTCACTTCTGTGCACTTGCAGGCTCAACACCATGTGGAAGCTGCCAAGCCCTGGGACTTGCACCCTTTGAAGCCACAGCCCACGCTCTACATTGGCCCCTTTCAGCCATAGCTGAAGTGGCTGGGATGCAGGGCACCAAGTCCCTAGACTGCACACAGCACAGGTACCCTGGGCCTGGCCCTCAAAACCATTTTTTTCCTCCTAGGCCTCTGGGCCTGTGATGGGAGGGGCTGCCATGAAGACCTTTGATATGCCCTGGAGACATTTCCCCATTGTCTTGGGGATTAACATTCGGCTCCTCATTACTTATGCAAATTTCTGCAGCTTTCATGAATTTCTCCTCAGAAAATAGATTTTTCTTTTATACTGCATTTTCAGGCTGCAAACTTTCCAAACTTTTATGTTCTGCTTCCTTATTAAAACTGAATGCCTTAAATAGCACCCAAGTCACCTCTTGAATGCTTTGCTGCTTAGACATTTCTTCCACAGATACCCTAAATCACCTCTCTCAAGTTCAAAATTCCACAAATCTCTACAGCAGGGGCAAAATGCCACCAGTCACTTTGCTAAAACATAACAAGAGTCATCTTTGCTCCACTTCCCAACAAGTTCCTCATCTCCATCTGAGACTACCTCAGCCTGGACTTTATTGTCCATATTGCTATCAGCATTTTGGGCAAAGGCATTCAACAAGTCTCTAGAAAGTACCAAACTTTCCCACATTTTCTTGTCTTTTTTTGAGCCCTCCAAACTGTTCCAACCTCTGCCTGTTACCCAGTTCCAAAGTTGCTTCCACATTTTTGGGTATCTTTTCAGAGGCACCCCTTCTGCTGGTACCAAGTTACTGTATTAGTCCATTTTCATGCTGCTGATAAAGACATACCCGAGACTGGGAAGAAAAAGAGGTTTAATTGGACTTACAGTTCTGCATGGCTGGGGAGGCCTCAGAATCATGGTGGGAGGCAAAAGGCTCTTCTTAACATGGTGGTGGCAAGAGAAAAATGAGGAAGATGCAAAAGCAGAACCCCCTGATAAAACCATCAGATCTCATGAGACTTATTCACTACCATGCGAACAGTATGGGGGAAACCACCCTCATGATTTAAATTATCTCCCACCAAGTCCCTCCCACAACACGTGGGAATTATGGGAGTACAATTCAAGATGAGATCTGGTGGGGACACGAGCTAAACCATGTCAGTAGGGACACAGATCTAAACCATGTCAGTAGGTAACTGCAAGAGCTAGACTATGGTCATTTGAGACCCAGCCAACAAACAAGCCTAGGAAAAGATTAGCTATAGTCTACAGGACTCAGAAAGAGGGAAGATCTGAAACTGATGTAAGAAAAGAGCTCCCCACCCCAGCCTTCTGCCCAGGCCAGCAGCAGTGCAGCAGCAGCAAACGCTCTCGCCTTTGTTCCCTCTCCCATTTTCAACACTCTGACTGCCCAGCCCGCATCCTCAAGACCCAGGAGGCAGCTTCGTGGTCATGTAACCTACGCGTTACACAGAGCCTGCAACTCGGAAGGGCCCCACACTTGGTCTCTGCTGTTGCCAGCTCAAAATTCTTAATAATTTTTGAACAAGGGACCCAGTGTTTTTATTTTGCCCTGGGCTCTGGCAAATTAAGTAGCCAGGCCTTTTCAGAGGATGAGGCAGTCTCTGAGAGGTTAAACAACCTGTCTGGGGCTTCACAACTAAGAGACAGACCGAGATTTGAGTCCTAGTGTGTCTTAAACTCCATCAGCCTCTTTCTTCAGGGTGCTGGCCTCTGCTTGCTCACCCAAACTTTCCACTCCTGTGCACATGATTTTTAAACTCTATCAACGGGCCTTCTGTGCCACACCTTTATAAGCTGGCTAAAACTCATTTGGCTGATCATCTAAAAAGAGAACGTTTGTAAATTGGCCTATAGACAGAATAGGTCTATTTAGACAGGATGGACTACAGAACTGCTTATGTTCAAGACAGTAGCCAGCAGCTACATGTGGCTATTTAAACTTCAGTATTTATTTAATTAAAATTTCATTAAATTTGGTGCTAACGAATACATCAAAATACACTGGGTTTCCTTTTTCAAATTAAGTGTGCATGATTGTATATGGAAGAGACTAAGGTCCCAGGGTAGGAAAACTAAGAAAAGGGATATGGAGTTCTTACTTGACTTGAATATGCATCTGAGGGTGCTTTGTGTGAATACATTGCACACTACAGCATCTTATTTCTTTTTTTGAGTTGAGTTTCAATAAAATACAATTCTTCACCCTTCTAAAAAAATGTAATTCCTCAGTTGCACTAGCCACATGTTCAAGCTTTCAGTAGCTATATGTGGCTAAGTGGCTACTATATTGAACAGCACAAATATAGAACATCTCTGTCATCACAGAAAATGCAATTGAACAGGGCTAATATAGCAAATGTGTGTGTGTGTGTAGTGTGTGTTCCATGTATTGAATGATTACTATGTACCAAGAACTCTTCTAAAATATTTATACGAACAGTTTTATTGAATCCTCATATTTAATTTTCAGTCCTTATCTTACTTGACACAGTATTTAACACCATCTCTCACTCTCTCTTCCATGAGACATTTCCTTCTCTTGGCCACCACGGCCTCAGATTTGTTGGTTGTCCTCCTTCCCCTCTGGCTTCTCCTTCTCAGTCTCCGTGGCTGGCTCCCCCTTTTCTCCCAATCTCTAAACATCAGAGGGCCCCATGGTTCAGTGCCCAGATTCTTCTCTTTTCTCTCCACACTTACTCATTTGGTGACTTTCTCCAGTCCCATGACGTTAAATACCATCCATGTCCCAATGGCTCCCAAAGTGGACCTATGCCCTGAATTCTGACCATGTATCCATCTCTGCTCGAGATTTCCAGCTGGTATCTAATGGCCATCTCTAATTTGAAATATACACAACTGATCTTCTGTTGTTCCCCTCAAACCTGTTCCTCCGGTTGGTAGGGAGGCTAGAGGAAACAAGTTTGCTCCAAATCAGTTGATGGCAGCTCCGTCCTTCCAAAAACTTTAGAGTTCTCTCTGACTCCTCTCTCTCTCACATCCTATATCCAGTCCATAGGGGACCTTAACGGTTCTCCCTGACATGACGAATCCCCCTTCTTCCTACTTCCACCACTTTCACTTGGTTCACACCAACATCCTCTCTCACTTAGATGATGCAGGCTCTGTGCTTCCACCTAAATCAGTCTCTGTGCTTCCACCTCCGCCCTCTTCAGCCTCATCTCAAGACAGTAGCACAGTGATTCTCTTTGTATATAAAGCAGATCTTGCAACTTCCCTGCCCAGAACCTGCCTGTGGCCACAACTCACTCACAGCAGAAGCCAAAGTTCTTCCTATGGTCCACAAGGCCTTGCTAGTCCTGGCTCCATCGCCTCTTTAACAACAGTTCCTGCCGGGTACTCTGTCAACCATCCTGCTTCACCCAGTCCAAGCCCTTGACTATCCTCGAACACTCTGACCTCACAGCCTTTGCATTTGCTGTTCTCTCTGCCGGGAGAGAACAGCTTGTCCACCAGATACCCCCTGACTCTCTCTTACTAAGTCTTTACACAAATGTCACCTTAATTTCTCCAGTGAAATCCCATATGGCTTCGCTGGTGACACTCTCTAAAATGTCAAGCCTTTCCCTGACCTCCACACTTCATATCCATCTTCCCTGCTTTATTTTTACTCCTTAGTATTTATTACCATGTAACAAACTATATATTTTATTTATTTATCTTACTTATTGTTGGTCTTCCAGCTGAATTACAAGCTTCATGAGGCAGGAACTGCTGGTATGTTTTGCTCATCCCCATCCCCAGGACTTGCAATAGTACCTGGCACGTGGATAGGTTCAGGTTCATGCAACAAAAACCAATAGTGACCTAAACAAGATAGAGGCTATTTTTTTTTAACATATATGCCACTCAACAGTGGAACCTAGGCCCCTATCTCTTTCTCCTTCACCATCCTGACTGTGACAACTACCATGAAAATTGCCTCGTGATCTCATTATTGATGCCAGAGCTCCAGCTGTCACACACACATTCCAGGCAGGAAGAAGAGAGGTGGGGGCAAAAGGACATCTACTTTTCAACTGAAGCTGTCTCCATTAAAAGTTTTCTTGTAGTCCAGGCACACTGGCTCACTTCTGTAACCAGCACTTTGGGAGCCAAAGTGGATGAATCTCTAGAGCCCAGAAGTTCAAGACCAGCCTGGGCAACATGGTGAAACCCCATCTCTACAAAAAATTAAAAAATTAGGAGGGCATGATGGTGCACACATGTAGTCACAGCTACTCAGACACTGAGGTGGGAGGATCACCTGAGCCCAGGAATGTTGAGACTGCAGTGAGCCATGATCGTGCCACTGCACTCCAGCCTAGGTGACAGAGTGAGATGAGATCCTGTCTCAAAAAAAAAGAACTTTCTTGTAAGCCCCACTCAGTAACTTTGAATTACACCTCATCTCTATCTTTAAGGACAACTGGAAAATTAGCTAGGTACATTGGAGACTGTGGCAAGGTCGATTGCAAGAGGGGAATGAGAGAAGGAATGAAGGGATACGGGTAGGCAACTTGGCATCTTTGCTTCAGTCCCTGTTTCTTATGTTTGTTTGTTTGTATTTAAGTGTGACTGTAAATCCTTCCAAGTCGTGCAGCATTTGTTTCCAGCATAATGCAAAAATCATATTTGCTTAGATGTCTAAACTCCCTTCATTCAAACATGTTTTCATACAACTAATTTTTTTCCTCAGTTGCCTGCCTTATCAACTTAAAGAGCTTCTAAAGAGATTTGCCCCACATCTCACTTTTCTAAGCTGATTAGAGACCACTAAATATCACTGTGTGTTTCTGATAGTTTTGTCCTGTTTTTTATATACTAGTGCAATGTCTCCACTAAAAGATAGTGTCATTCAGCATTTAACAATTTTTTCAGGCTGGGTGCGGTGGCTCACGCTTGTAATCCCAACACTTTGGAGACCAAGGTGGGCGGAACACTTGAGGTCAGGAGTTCGAGACCAGCCTGGCCAACATGGTGAAACCTCATCTCTACTAAAAAATATATATATATAAAAAATAGCCAGGCATGGTGGCAGAGCCTGTAATCCCAACTACTTGGGAGGCTGAGGCAGGAGAATCACTTGAACTCAGGAGGCAGAGGTTACAGTGAGTCAAGATCGTGCCACTGCACTCCAGCCTACGTGACAGTGCAAAGCTCTGCCTCAAAAAAATAAAAATTTTTTCAAACGTGAAAATGAGCGTGTTTTTGGCAGGCTTCAAATGAGGACCATCGTTTAATACAAACACAGTTCATCATAACATCATAAAATGATCTTGAGTCGCATTGTAACATGGTACTATTTCATTTTGTTTCGTTTTATTATTTTACAGGCATTAAGTACCCCAAAGTACAATCTGTCACTGAAAGTCTATGGATGATCAAAAAGAGCCATGGTCACCAATGAGACCCAAGTGAGCTCACTGGACAATGAACAAGCTAATTAGAACTGTTTATCTACATGAGAGCTTTCATCAGATTACTGAGTTAACCTTTATTTTACTCAACACTGAGCAGGGCCTGAGTCCATGGAGACTCAAGGCCTCTTTAAGGCTTACTTGAGTGCAATGTTTGTGCTTCAGTAGGAAAGAACAGCTTCTAGATGTTTTCTGTCCTAAACCAGCTGGTATCCCATTCCATGGCCTGGAGTATCTCAGTGTCGTTTCTCAAACCTGTGTCCAAATTACCTGGGTTTCTTATATAAAAGGCAAATTCCTGGGCCCCACACAGAGTCAGAATCTCTGGACTGGAGTCCAGACATTTCCAACAAGCTTCCCATCCTTGGACAACTTTCTTCAGAAAGGGGACCCTACAGGGGGTGCCCATCCAGGATCTCGTTTCTCATCTGAAACTATCCGAGGCACTCCTCGGGCATGGGCTGAAGCTACTTGCACCAAATCCAGAGCCACCTGGTGCCTCTGCAGAGACTCAGTGTCACCCACCAAAACTGCAAATGCTAAATTAGGGACCACTTCTCAGAGAGCAGAGGATCAATTTCATATTCAACCTGTAAGTGTCTCCTGGCATTGGCCTAAAGCAAAGTCCTGGGTTGCAGATAATGGCCTCAAGTGCAGACCTGGAACTCTCATAGCCAAACAGTGAGGGCTGCTCCAAGCACTCAAACCATCTCTGTGCAGGTGATTGGAAACCATATTGGACTACAAGAAGACTTTTAGTGGAGGCAGCTTCAGCTGAAAAGTAAGTGTCCTTTTGCCCCCACCTCTCTTCTTCCTGCCTGGAATGTGTGTGTGACAGCTGGAGCTCTGGCATCAATAATGAGATCATGAGGCAATTTTCATGGTAGAAGTCACAGTCAGGATGATGAAAGAGAAGAGATAGGGGCCTAGGTTCCACTATTGAATGGCATATATGTTTAAAAAAAAAAAAGCCTCTATCTTGTTTATGTCACTATTGGTTTTTGTTTCATGAACCTGAACCTATCCATGTGCCAGGTACTATTGCAAGTCCTGGGGATGGGGATGAGCAAAACATACCAACAGTTCCTGCCTCATGAAGCTTGTAATTCAGCTGGAAGACCAACAATAAGTAAGATAAATAAATAAAATATATAGTTTGTTACATGGTAATAAGTACTAAGGAGTAAAAATAAAGCAGGGAAGGGGCTGGACAATACCCTGCCATTTGCCTGAGATCAGTCACTTTTCCAAAGTTTTACCACTTAAATATGACCCTATAAGATCTTCAAAGTGCCCTTTTTTTCCTTTTTCTTTTCTTCTAAAAAAAAAAAAAATTTCCAGCTGGGCACAGTGGCTCATGCCTGTCTGTAATCCCAGCACTTTGGGAAACTGAGATGGGTGGATTGCTTGAGCCCAGGAGTTCGAGACCAGCCTGGGAAACGTGGCAAAATCCCATCTCTATAAAAAATACAAGCCAGGTGTGGTGGTGCAGCCTGTGGTCCCAGCTACTCGGGAGGCTGAGGCCGGGGGAGGCCTGGGCTGGAGCCAGGTTGCAGTGAGCCAAGATCACATCACTGAACTCCAGCCTGGGCAACAGAGTGAGACCCTGTCTCAAAAAAATAAAATAAAAATAAAAATAGTAACAATTTAGAAAAATTTTTTTCAATCTTTCAGAAATTGTTTCACATTCAAGTATGGAAATCTTCTAACATACACTAAAGTAGAGAAAAGAGTAAAATGAACACTAATATATCCATCACTCAGCCTCAACAATTATCAGCACTTTATTATCCTTGGTTCATCTGAGGTTCTTTTTATTTTCAGAATGAATACAGTATAATTCCATTTATAAAGAGTTCAAAACCAGTTAAAACTAAAAAAGTATATTTTAAAAATAACAGTGTATTGTTTAGGGAATCACTCATAGGCAGTAAAACTATAAAAGAGAAGCAAGGGAACACTTACTGCAACGGTAAGAGCAGTCCACCTGGGCAGACGAAGAAGCTAGATGCAAGCAGGGAGGGACACACAGGTGTCTTCTAAAGTTGTTTCCTAACAGGTTATGGGTAAATGTTGTTCATTTTGTTCTTCAAATATTACATATACGTTATACATTCTGCTGCATAATTATACATTTCATGGTAAAGCAAATGAAAAAACATATCAAATATCTACTCTATGGAAAGGTACTGTGGATGTTAAAATGACTCAGATTCCATCTCCACTCTGCTAAAATTACTTTCACTGAGGTCAAAGACTTCAATGTCACTAAAGGGAATAAACATTTTCAATTCTCATTTTCTTTGGTGTCTCAGCAGCATTCAACTCTGCTGACCATTATTCTCCTTGAAACAGTATATTCCCTTGGTTTTCATAAAACCATATTCTCCTGACCATTCCTTCTGAGTCTCCTTCAAAAGCTTGTCTCCTACCACCTAAACCTTAAATACTGGAGCTCCTTAAGGTACATCCATGAAACCCCATTTTTTTCATATGCTGTTCTTTCTCTCTAGACACTCACATCCATGCCTATGGCTTCAATTATCATCCATACATCAAAGATTTAGACCTCCAGCTCAGACCTCTCCTCTGAGTGATATATCCCATTATCTTGTCAACACCTTTACTTGAATATTTCAAAATATCTCAATTTTAACCTGTTAAAAATGAAACTCATGATTTCCCTGCAAAACACTTCTTCTAGTACTCTTTCTCAGTGAATGGCACTGCCAGTCATCCTTGACAATTTCACTTGATGAAAACAAATAGGCATTTGTTTTTCTTTCTATAGAATAAAATAGCTCACTTTCTTTTCTTCCTAGGAAAAGGTTGAAAATGAGGAAAGTAATTTTGGTGATGACTCTAAGTTGAAATAAAATCTGTCCAAAAAAACAAACAAACAAACAAACAAACAAAAACCCCACATCATCTGGTAATTTAGGTTTCCTACATAGAGGGAGCTCAATAAAGTTAGTTCCCTTCCCTCTAGTTAAGAGTTTTTCCAAAACATAACAGTAATTTATTTTCCTCTCTCCTTCTTCTAACCCCTTTATGTACATTTTCTTGTCTCTTCTTTCTACTTCATTTTTGCACACAATAGAGTATTAAATTGTTTCTGATTTTCTTCATTTCCTGTTTCTACTTTTTTCCTTATTTCCCTCATGGCCCACCTCTCTGTCACTGAATCGGAAGACGGTCCTTCAATCAACAAATATTTATCGAGCACTCTGGGATACAGCGATGAGCAAGATAAGGGTCCTGCTCTGATGTGTTTTATATCTGGAGTGGGGAACAAACAATTACAAAATAAACAGCATGAGCTAATTAAGGAATTAAAACTGAATGATATAGAGAGTAACTGGGTGGCTATCTTTGAGTGGTCAGGAAAGGCCTTTCTGAGGAGGTTATATTTAAATCTTTTTTAAAATTATTTTAGTTTATTTTTCCATGAGTTATTGGGATATAGGTGGTATTTGGTTACATGAGTAAGTTCTTTAGTGGTGATTCGTGAGATTTTGGTGCACCCATCACCTGAGCAGTATACACTGCACCATATTTGTAGTCTTTTATCCCTTGCCTCCTTTCCACTCTTTCCTCCAAGTCCCCAATGTCCGTTGTATTGTTCTTATGTCATCTGAGGTTCTTTTAACCACAACTCCATGCCTGGAATTGACTGGAATCTCAGAGGGGGAAAGACCTTGGCACACCAGTCATTGGTCACCTCTACTCACCTCCTGCCCCAACTCCTACCATAGAGCTTAGTAGTCACGGCATCCCTGGGACCTCAGGAAAATGTAGAGAACACAAATTACAATAGGCTTCCAGAATCTTGGAAAAGTTCATTCACCCCATGAAGTCAGCAAGCAATGTGGATTCAAACTATGTGACACTTCATCCCAGGCAACAGGATGACCTGTGACAAAGGATGACATAGATTAAACCTTCATTCACAGTGTACAATCGGCCTGGTTTCCCCCATCTCTCATCACCATAACAACCAGCATTCTATAATAAGTATCCAGTCACCTAGAGACATGGGAAAACAATGCAGCAAATGTTGCTATGTTCCAATTATGAAGCCTTGGGTTCCGAGAGGTCTTATATGGCAATCTCATCCTCTGCTTTTGGGTTCTTGATCTCATGACATGTAACACCCACCCATGAGCACAGAAAAATTCCCAGGCAGGTTTTTAGATGCCCCTGACATCTTGAAAGAAAGATAGTATCCAGAGCCACATGTGACTTCCCGAATAATCAGCATCAAAAGAGAAAGAGAGTACCAAAAGCACTTAGGTCTGGCAACCTCCGTAGAAGGAGGATGAGGAATCCTAGTTCTAACTCTTGGGATTATATTAATGTCATAAACTGAACAGAAAGTACGCTATGGCTTTATTACCCTATAGAACATTAACCAGGTTTGTGTACAACTTAAAATGTTTATTTTGGTGTGCCTTTCCCAATTCTTCATATGCTCTCAGAACCAGCTTTTCATCTTACTGTTTCCCTCATTGCTTAATGAATTAAATAAGCTCTGTGGCTCATGTTCATCCTATTTTGTATGAGTCGTATTTTTGACTTTTTTTACTTACACTTTGACACAAGAACTGTCCACTGAACCTGCTGCCACAGTAATGAATGAGCCTTGTCCTCAGCCCCCTCACTCAAAACCCCGAGTCCCCCAAGAGGATGTCTTGTTGGCTGAGTCTAGCTCATAAGGTCCACCCCTGATTGTGCCAGGCTGGAAAGAGGGGTGATCCAACCCCTTTAGCACTCACAGTGGGAAACAGGTATAAATGCCCACAAATAAGCCAGAATGCCATTAGGAAATGAGAATAGTTACTAAGCAATCCAAAATGACAAATTTCAGTGTTCCTTCCTTAGGCCTCTAGTTTACAAAGGAGGGAGCTAAGGCTCAGTCCTAGTCCAGCTGTGTCACAGTCACCAGTTTGCTGCTCCTTGAGAAGCCACAGAGAACCAGTGGGGAGGGGACTGGCCTTTGAGGGCATCACTGCTGCTGGGTGGCTTGGCCCCTCATCTAAGAGTGTTCCAGAAGCAAACCCACAGAAACGGGCATCAGACAGTCATCCACCATTGTGTCAAGGAGTTTGTGGGGTGAGAGGCCCATGATGTTTGTGTACATGGGTATGTATTGTTGGGGCTCAGGAAATGATACCCCAAAGCATGGTGCTTTGGCATGCTGAGCACTTAGAATTAAAATAAATTGGAAAGCCTTAGAAGTTGCCCCAGAATCAAAGTCTATGATCTTCCCTTGTGTCTTCCCCCAAGCACAGGGAGGGCTCTCTCTGAAGTTCCCTCACCTAACTGAGGGAAGTTCTTCCAAAAGAGACACAATTGCCTTCAATTTCCTGTCTGAAATCTCATTAACCAGAGAAGATTAATCACTAGAGAAGAAGCTAAAGGTCACCACCACACTCAACTGGACAGATTTTTTTTGCTATTCTGAGAGATGCTACCTGAGAGATTTTACAGTGGGCTCTCCATAGCCACAGATTCCACATTCACAGATTCAACAACCATAGATCAAAACCACAGATACAAAGGGTCAACTGTACATATTTTCCATCCACAGTTGGTTGAATCCGAGGATGCAGAACCCACAGATACAGAGGGCCAACTGTACTATGCCATTTTTTATCAGGGACTTGAGCACCCAGTGATTTTGGTATCTGCAGGGGATCCTGGAGCCAATCCTCTGCGGATATGGAGGGCTGACTATATCTGCATAATAAGACAACCTTTGTTCACAGGGCAGTTCCACCCTTTACTTTCTCATAACTTGTCACCACCTCCCCCAGAGCCCAGAGGAACTTCGTTCCAGGTTATTGTATGGTTTTCAGGCCTATTAATCTCCCCTAAAAATTGTTTGCTCTTTGTCTAAAATTGCCTACACCTTCCACTTCCCTTTCCCCTGTGAAGAGGTATTTAAGCTTCAACCCTCTGGCCCTTCTTTGGGTTTTATACCTTGCATGGTTCCTGTGCACTTGTATGTTAATAAATTTGTTTACCTTTCTGCTGTTAATCTGTCTATTGCCAGTTTGTTTTACAGACTCAAATTCTCTAACTTTCAATGGGTAGAAGGACAGTTCCTCTTGCCCCACCAGTATATGAAGGCCAGCCTGCCCTCATTTTTAGGAAACAGATGTCCCCAGACTAAAGAAGATCTCAGAATTGCTGAGATGCAGCTGTAATACTAGCTGTGTGATCAGACAAGCAATCTAACTTTTCTGGACCAAAATTTCCTCAACTATAGAATGTGAATGCTAGCACCTACCTGACAAGATCATTTCAAGGATGAGGAGAGGTGATTTTATACATGTCAATGAATTTAGTAGCTAGTATTAGTTAAGTCTGCACTGAAGAGGAAAAAACATCACCAACAGTCTGCTTTCGGGGGCTTGGTCTCTTCATCTTCAGCAAGCTGACTGTCTTTTCCTGTGAGGTGACTGTTCTCTAGATAGTTGTGTCAAATTCAAATATGCTGTCCTCCTCATCATCTCTAAACTCACTTAGCAGTCCACTCCAGCAAGCTGGCATATAATCCTACAGCATTTGCACAGCCCTAGATGCTCCTGGGAGAAGCAGTATCACAGTGTGAGCCATGTGGGCTCAGCAGCTAGGGAACAGGAAAGAGCAGAGCAGTCCTAGGCATTTGGGCCTTCCTGGCCAGGGCAGCCAGACCAGAGATCACTTGGGCTGGGGCTGGACATGTATCTGAGTATAGTGAAGGGATGCAGCGTTCCCAGTATGGTGGCTGGAGGCAACCATAACAACTGTGCTGTCTTTTTGTCAGAGGTGTTTGAACCAGAGTGACTCCATCTTGAATAGGGACTGGGTAAAATAAGGCTGAGACCTACTGGGCTGCATTCCCAAAAGGTTAGGCATTCTTAGTCACAGGATGAGATAGGAAGTCAGCACAAGAAACAGGTCACAAAGATCTTGTGATAAAACAGGATGTGGTAAAGAAGCCGGCCAAAACCAAGATGACGATGAAAGTGACCGCTGGTCATCCTCACTGCTCATTATACTCTAATTATAATGCATTAGCTGCTAAAAGACATTCCCACTGGCACTAAGTTCACTAACGCCATGGCAACATGAGGAAGTTACCCTATATGATCTAAAAAGGGGAGGAACTCTCAGTTCCGGGAATTGCCTGCCCCTTCCTGGAAAAGTCATGAATAATCCACCCCTTGTTTAGTATATGATGAAGAGATAACTATAAGCATACTCCATCGAACAGCCCACGCTGCTGCTCTGCCTATGGAGTAGCCATTCTTTATTCTTTTACTTTCTTAGTAAACATGCTTTCACTTTATTTCATGGATTCACCTCGTATTCTTTCTTGCACATGGTCCAAGAACCCTCTCTTGGGGTCTGGATTGGGACCGTTTTCCAGTAACATTTTCTCCCTACTCCACCCCCACCTCCCCCACGGACACCTTCCTCAATGACACCAGGCTGGACGAACAGCACCACTCCTTTAGAGGAACTCATCACTTCCTCTCCACTGTAGAGTTAAGTTGGAGCAAAGTCAGTATCTCTAAATAGCTTCTAAGAATTTGGGAAGCTTTTTATTTTATTTTTTAAGTTTGAAAAAATCTTGTTAAATAGAAACTATGAATAGTGTGTGACTTCAAAGAAGTCTGTGGGGCTGGAAAACTTCTCACAGTATACCCTTTTGTAACTTTTGAATTTGAACCTTGAGAATGTATCTCCAATTTTAAAATAAAATGAAAATTAAAACCTCATTTAAAAACTTGTTAAAACTCTGCTGGGTGCAGTGGCTTATGCCTGTAATCCCAGCACTTTGGGAGGCTGAGGCGGGTGGATCACGAGATCAGAAATTCAAGACCAGCCTGGCCAAGATGGTAAAACCCTGTCTCTACTAAAAATACAAAAAAAAAAAAAATTAGCCAGGCATGGTGGCGGGCGGTAATCCCAGGTACTCGGGAGGCTGAGGCAGATAATTGCTTGAACCCGGGAAGTGGAGGTTGCAGTGAGCCGAGATCGCACCACTGCACTCCAGCATGGGTGACAGAGCTAGACTCCATCTCAAAAAAAAAAAAAAAAACTTGTTAAAACTTGGCTGGGCATGGTGGCTCATACCTGTAATCCCAGCATTTGAGGAGGCCAAGGTAAGCGGATCCCTTGAGGCCAGCAGTTTGAGACCAGCCTAGGCAACATGGTAAAACCCTGTCTCTACCAAGCATACAAAAAATTAGCCAGGTGTGGTGGTGTGTACCTGCAGTCCCAGCTACTTGAGAGGCTGAGGTGTGAGGATCACCTGAGCTTGGGAAGTCAAGGCTGTGGTGAGCTGAGATTGCACCACTGCATTCCAGCCTGGTCAACAGAGTGAGAATCTGTCTCAAGAAAACAAAAAACAAAACAAAAAAACCTTGTTAAGACTCAAGATTCTGTGGTTAATAAATGTCCCCACAAAGTATTTCAGTCTTGCCAGCATCTACTGAGTCCATTGTTTTCTGAGTCTCCCTAACAGGCTCATGGATAGAATGGATTAGAAGATGTGCTGTAGAAATTATAAACCAAGTGGCGTGCAGTGGCTCACACCTGTAATCCCAGCCCTTTGGGAGTCTGAGGCGGGCGGATCACCTGAGGTCAGGAGTTCGAGACCAGCCTGACCAACATGGAGAAAACCCGTCTCTACTAAAACTACAAAATTAGCCGGGCGTGGTAGCGCACACCCGTAACCCCAGCTACTCCGGAGGCTGAGGCAGGAGAATCGCTTGAACCTGGGAGGTGGAGGTTGCAGTGAGTCGAGATTGCACCACTGCACTCCAGCCTGGGCAACAAGAGCAGAACTCCGTCTCAAAAATAAATAAGTAAATAAATAAAATAATTAATTAATAAAAAAAGGAAAAGAAATTGTAAACCAAAAAGTATCTGAGACAGGTCTGAATCAATTTAGAATTTTATTTTGCTGAGGTTAAGGACAAGTGCTCAGGAGGCAGGTCTGTGCCTTTCTCCAAAGATGACTTTGAGGGCTTTGATATTTAAAGGAGGAAAGCAGGCTGGAGGAAAAAAAGGGAGGATATGGTCATATTACTGAATCCACATGTTGTGAGAAAGGGAGCAGGTAGGGGAATAGTCAATTATATATTCATCTTTTGTTCAGTAAATCTGCACTTTACGTAAGATAAGGTGAACTTAGAATAGCTACCTGTGGAAATTCTGTAACATTTTATCTGTAGCTGTCTGCTTAGAAATGAAAGGAAAGGCAGCTTCTTCCACAACTCAGCTTTCAGCTTAATTTTTTTTCCTTTGCCATAGTTGTTACCAGAAACAGGTCCCAATCAAGACCCCAAGAGAGGGTTCTTGGATCTCACACAAGAAAGAATTCGGGGCAAGTTCATAAAGTGAAAGCAAGTTTATTAAGAAAGTAAAGGAGTAGGCCGCGCACCATGGCTCACGCTTGTAATCCCAGCACTTTGGGAGGCCGAGGCAGGTGGATTACCTAAGGTCAGGAGTTCCAGACCAGCCTGGCCAACATGGTGAAACCCCATCTCTACTAAAAATACAAAAATTAGCAGGGTGTGGTTGCTCGCCTGTAGCCCCAGCTACTTGGGAGGCTGAGGCGGCAGAATCACATGGGAGTCAGAGGTTGCAGTGAGCCGAGATTGTGCCACTGCACTCCAGCCTGGGCGACAGAGTGAGACTCTGTCTCAAAAAAAAAAAAAAAAAAAAAAAAGTAAGTAAGTAAAGCAATAAAGAACGGTTACTCCATAGGCAGAGCAGTGTCGTGGGCTGCTCAGCTGCTTATGTTTACTTATTTCTTGATCATATGCTAAACAAGGGATGGATTATTCATGACTTTCCGGGAAAGGGACCGGCAATTCCCATAACTAAGGGTTCCTCCCCCTTTTAGACCATATAAGGTAACTTCCTGATATTGCCATGGCATTTGTAAACTGTCATGGTGTTACAGAAAAGAGGTCTGATCCAGACCCCAAGAGAGGATTATTGGATCTCACACAAGAGAGAATTCAGGGCAAGTTCATAGAGCAAAGTGAAAGCAAGTTTATTAAGAAAGTAAAGGAATAAAAGAATGGCTACTCCAGCCAGTCATGGTGGCTCATGCCTGTAATCCCAGCGCTTTGGGAGGCCGAGGTGGGTGGATCACTTGAGGTCAGGAGTTCGAGACCAGCCTGGCCAACATGGTGAAACCCTGTCTCTACTAAAAATACAAAAATTAGCCAGACATGATGCCACACTCCTGTAATCCCAGCTACTCAGGAGGCTGCAGCAGGAGACTAGCTTGAACCCAGGAAGCAGAGGTTGCAGTGAGCCAAGATCGCACCACTGCACTCCAGCCTAGGTGACAGAGCGAGACTGCATAGACAGAGCAGCCCCTAGGGCTGCTGGTTGCCCATTTTTTTGTGGTTATTTCTTGATGAAATTATAAACAAGGGGTAGATTATATATGCCTCCCCGTTTTAGATTATATATGGTAACTCCCTGACATTGCCATGGCATTTGTAAAATGTCATGGCACTGGTGAGAGCATAGCAGTGAGGATGACCAAAGTTCCCTCTCATCACCATCTTGGTTTTGGTGGGTTTTAGCTGGCTCCTTTACTGCAAACTGTTTTATCAGCAAGGTCTTTATGACCTGCATCATGTGCCAACCTGTCAAATTCTGTGACTTAGAATGCCTTAGCCATCTAGAAATGTAGCCTCATTTTGTAGGTCTCAGCCTCATTTTACCCAGCCCCTATTCAAGATGGAGTCACTCTGGTTCAAATGCCTCTGATATAGTGAATTGGGGTACCAAGTTTTTATTTTCCTTTCACAAAACACTGCAAATATTTTCCTTTCACAAAATACTGCTGGAAGCCTCTTCCACACCACCTCCAGGTGATTCTGGGGCTCCCATCCTCTACCCGACACTCAGACCTTGGTATCCCCAGGCCTTGATACCCCCATCCTCAGGGGCTGACAACCAGCCCTGGGAGAAGAGGTGCTGGGCTCCCTCCATCTGGAAAGAGGAGTCCTGGCACCAGCTGGTGAAATGATTTCAGGCCCTTTCCCAGCCTCTTCACATTGCCCAGGACTTTCCTATCTGACCCCTCCAGGATCCAGACTGGAGATGCAAGAAACCACTCTGACTAGGGACTGGGGTCTAGGGACTGGGGTTGTGAGGGGTCCAGCTGCTCCTTCGAATTCAGGGAGAGAAACCCAGCATGTGAGAGGGACTACTCAGAAAATTCTTTTGTGGTTGCTATGTCATTTGAGGGGAAAAAATATTTTTAGCCAAAATCCACATCCATGGCTCTGCAGGAGAAAAGTAAAGAAGCACTCTGCCACAGACGAGAATTCAGTCTGCACTGTGGACCCTGGGCTGGCTCACTGGCTCTCAGGATACCAGCAGGGGCCAATTTCATTCTTGATTCCTTTCTTTTCACAAAACACTAATTAGTTGGCTGCCTGACACCCACAGCGTTCCCTGAGCTTGTTTGCAGTCCTAGCAGTGGCAAGATTATTTTATATTCCTGGGTTAAGTCTTTTCCCCTACCTTCCACCTAAGGGACTGCCCCCCCTACCCCTCTATTAAGACTTCCACCCCCCACCCCACCCCATGCCCACCCCTGGTAGCTGCAGCCACCATGAGGCCAGCCTGCAGGCTTGGTTTCATGGGTCTTTGATCTCAATGGGATCAATAGTGTGGGTCAATACCTTCTCTTTTGATTTGCAAAGCACTTTCACAAGCACTCTTTTACCCCAATCATCACTGTGCTGGGCACACAACAACTCAATAAATTCTGAATTGAATCGGTCCTTATAACCACCCAGTGAGGCAAGTGCAGCAGAACTGATTATTTTCCTCCTCCTCTCTCTCTCACACTTTCTCTTTCTTTCTTTTCTTTCTTTCTTTCCTCTTTCTTTCTTTCTTCTTTCTTTCTTTTTTGATCCATTATAAGGAAATCCAAAGAATGTGTGATTCTGACACTAAGGCCACACAGCAAGAAAGTGGCAAACTGATGGGAGAAGTCCAGCCTCCTGCTGCCCGGTGTGAGGGAAGGGGGCCCTTCTGCTATACCCATGTGACTCCAAGGTGTGTTCTGTGGCTGCTGATCTCTCTTTTTTTTTTTTCTTTCTTTTTTTTTTTTTTTTTGTGAGACGGAGTCTCACTCTGTCACTCAGGCTGGAGTGCAGTGGTGCGATCTTGGCTCACTGCAACCTCCACCTCCTGGGTTCAAGTGATTCTCCTGCCTCAGCCTCCCAAGTAGCTGGGATTACAGGCACCATGTCTGGCTAATTTTTGTATTTTTCATAGAGACAGGGTTTCACCATGTTGGCCAGGCTGGTCTCGAGCTCCTGACCTCAAGTGATCCGCCCACCTCGGCCTCCCAAAGTGCTGGGATTACAGGCGTGAGCCACCGAGCCCGGCCTGATCTCTTGATCAGTATTTCAGTGCTCCTGGTGGCATAGGCCCTTCAGAGCCAGCGCAGGTGCTCTCCCAGGACTTTGGTGTAGGGATTCATGTGATCTAAGATCCCGCCTGTTTCCTTTCTTTTGCTCAGATGTTTTTCTGTAAGTAAAGTCACTAATGGGCCAAAAAGCATAATTTAAAATTGCCAAAGGAAAACAAATCAGTCTTTTTACTCTGAGAGCCCCTCTGGGAAAGCCAAACATTCCTAATAAATGATTCTTTCTATTCCAGAAAGACACCAAAAAGGGAACTGCAAAAATAACTCATTCATCAAAATAGTAGTTTGGCAGATAGTTCTGCGATATCACCAACACCCCCTCTCCAGGTTACTGAGAAATCTGGGGACAAAGAGAACTTAGATAGCAGTGGTGCCATCAGCTGCAACAGTTTAACTGGCCATGAAGGAGCCACTTGTCCCTTTGGTCTAAGCAGGTTTGGCTATTATTTTGCGGGAGTATGGTTAATCATATTAAGAAAAATTATCCAGAACTTGAAAGTTAGACAAAATGATGACTAAAAGTTATCTCCGAGTCTCCTTGAGCACTGTCCTAACAATCACCTGAGGGCCAGTTAACACCCTGGGGAAATGAAACTTTTGGTTGACTTACAATTGATTGGGACCTAGACTCTAAGAGCATGTGTTCATTTGTAGACAATTTGATAAGTTGCTATGATGATTAATTTTATGTGTTAACCTGACTAAGCCATGGGGTGCTCAGATATTTGACTAGACATTATTTCTGGCTGTGAGGGTGTTTCCAGGAGACTAATATTTGAGTCCATAGACTGAGTAAAGCAGATGGCCCTCCCAGTGTGGGTGGGCCTCATCCAACCCATTAAATTTCTGAGTAGAATAAAAGGTTAAGTAAGAAAGAATTCTGTCTCTCTCTGCCTGTCTTTGAGCTGGAACATTGATGTTCTGCCTTCAGACTCAGATTCAGACTGGAAGTTATGCCATCAGCTCTTCTGGGTGTGGACTTAGCCTTCATAATCATGGGAGTCAATCTCTCTCTCTCTCTTTTCTTTTTTTTTTTTTTGAAACAGAGTCTCACTCTGTCACCCAGGCTGGAGGGCAGGGGCGCAATATCCGCTCATTGCAACCTCTGCCTCCCGGGTTCAAGCGATTCTCCTGCCTCAGCCTCCCAAGTAGCTGGGAGTACAGGCACATGCCACCATACCTAGCTAATTTTTGTATTTTTAGTAGAGACGGGATTTCACTATGTTGGCGAGGCTGGTCTGGAACTCCTGACCTCGTGATCCACCCGCCTTGGCCTCCCAAAGTGCTGGGATTACAGGCATGAGCCACCGTGCCTGGCCGAGTCAATCTCTTTTAATCAGTCAATCTCTCTCTCTCTCTATCTCTCTCTCTCTCTCTCTGTCTCTCTCTGTGCGTGTGTGTGTGTGTGTGTGTGTGTGTACACACACATCCCATTGCTGTGTTTCTCTGTTGAACCCTAATACAATTGCAAATAAATTTTGTCAGAGATGCCCATGACATCTGTCCAGTAGAAGAAATTACGGTTTTATTGCCCTCTAGGACATGTGAAAGGAAAATATCTTGGGCCCCTTCAAGCTGGGAACTGCTCAGGGCAAACCTGCCTCCTATTCTATTCAGTCTTCCCTCTGCTCTCTGAGATAGATGCATATTCTGATTGCCTCCTTTGGAAAGGCTTATCAGAAACTCAAAAAAATGCAACCATTTGTCTCTCACTTACCTGTGACCTGGAAACCCCCCTTCCTGCTTCCAGTTGTCCCCGCCTTTCTGGATGGAACCAATGTACTTCTTACATATATTGATTGATGACTCATATCTCCCTAAAATGTATAAAACCAAGCTGTGCCCCGACCACCTTGGGCATATGTCGTCAGGACTTCCTGAGGCTGTGTCATAGGTATGCATCATTAACTTTGGCAAATAAACTCCTAAAATGATTGAGACTTGGCTCATCATTTTTCTCAATTGACAGACATTAACCAGTTTTGCATCTAATTTTGCCATCTTATTCTACCATTATTTTTCCCACTAAGTAAACATTTATTATGGCTCTTCAGAAAAATAAGTAAATAATTCTCTTTGATTTTGTTGTTGTTGTTGTTTTGAGACAGGGTCTCTATCACCCAGGCTGGAGTGCAGTGGTGGATCTCAGCTCACTGCAGCCTCAACCTCCCAAGCTCAAGCAATCCTCCCACCTCAGCCTCCCAAGTAGCTGGGACTACAGAAGCAGGCCATCATGCTGGGCTAATTTTTGTATTTTTAGTAGAGACAGTTTTGCCATGTTGCTCAGGCTGGTCTCAAACTCCTGAGCTCAAACAATCTGCCTGCCTTGGCCTCCCAAAGTGCTGGGATTACAAGCATGAGCCACTGTGCCAGGATATAAATAATTCTTGTGCACTGGATGTTCTTTCTAAAACAAACTACTGCTGTCTAGAGAAGGAGAACAAAGGAATCTGAAGCACTCAGCAACTCTATTCCTCACTGTCACTCACTCAGAGCTCCAGGGCTGGCACCCCACGCTATAGCAGAAAAAAAAACCAGAACAGAGGAAGACTCCCTTAACATTGAACTGCAGCCAGGCACAGCAGGAACTTCCTCACCTGGCGGGAGAGTGATCTATTCTAAGGGAAGGATTAGAGACACAGGCTGTGGAGGCCTTAAAGAGACCCATGGGAAGGGATAAGGAGTTTGAGGGAAGTAGGAGGCCCCCATGTGGGATATCCTCTAAAGGTCCAAACAGAGTCTCGGTATCCAGTAGCGGAGATGAGTTAGCTAAAGTGGAGCTTGAAGGAGCTAAAGGATTGCTTACACCCCCAGCACTAGCATGGAAGCCCATGACCACAGGGACCTTGGTTTGTTCACCTCTGTATCTTTAGGAAAGGCAGCAAATGAGCCGCCAAAGGAAGGTGAATCTGTACTGTAGAGCCAGCCTGATGAGGATGAACTACCAAAGGACATGAGGGAATTTTCTGGGTTGATAGAAATGCTCTGTATCTTGATGAGGGCTCTGGGGTGATGGAAATGTTCTGTATCTTGATGAAGGTAAATGTTTGTCAAAACTCATCAACTGGGCCAGGCGCAGTGGCTCATGCCTGTAATCTCAGCACTTTGGGAAGCCAAGGCAGGTGGACTGCTTGAGCCCAGGAGCTCCAGGCCAGCCTGGGCAATATGGTGAAACCCCGTCTCTACAAAAAAATACAAAAGTTAGCAGAGCATGGTGGCGCATGCCCCTGGTCCCAGCTACTCTGGAGGTTGAGAGAGGAGAATCACCTGAGCCCAGGGAGGCTGAGGCTGCAGTGAGCTGTGTTCATGCCACTGCACTCCAGCCTGGGCAACAGAGTGAGACCCTGTCTCAAAACAACAACAACAAAAATCTATTCAGCTGTACACTTAAAATGGATACACTTTATTGTATGAAAATTATAATTCAATGAAACTGATTTAAGAAGAAAAAACTGTTTGATAAATTAATTCCTAATTTCCTACATTTTTAAGATGGTTTGTGACTCATTCTAAGCAATTCCTGGTGTACAGAGGCCTGACTTCACTCTCTTACCACATTCAGAGGTAACATTTCCATTTCGAAAGCAAAAACTGACATAAGTGCAAATACTTTGGGAGACCCAGTGGAGGCAGAGTCTTTCCTTATGTGGGAGACGAGAATTTGCCACCCCAAAATATGCCTCTTTGGCATGAGGATTGTTGAGCTGAAGATAAGACGAGGCAGATGCAAGAAAGCTCTTTGCCCTTCCTCTATTTGCCTAAAAGTAGACACAAATTTACAAAGACAAATGGGATCCCACCCCCACCCCCTTCTCCCAGGGAGCACAAAGGTCTCCCACTGATGACAACGTTAGACCCTCAGTGACCTGAAGATGGCACCAGAGGAATCTACATGAACAAGCTTTACAGACCAGCCTTCATCTCACTTGCCTTTCCTCAAGTTGCTGCCCCTGGAGATTCAAAATCCTCTTCATCTTGTCACATCTCTAAAAATCTACTGTTCTTTGTTGAAGATGCTATATAAGCTGGAATTCAAAGCCACCACTATGAGAATGACTCATTCCCTGGGTAGCTCCTGTGTATATATGAAAGGCACATGTTAATAAACTTTGGTTTTTCTCATTAATCTGACTTTTGTTACAAGGGTCCGTTCCAACTAAGAATTCGTGACGATTGAGGAAAAAGTTATGTTTCCTCTTCAACACTTATATAAAATCACCTTTAAAATTAGAAAAAAACTAAGATAAATGTACAATTTGACATTAGCTGACCAAGTGTCCTTCACTTCAGCTGGCGAAAAGCAAAGAACTGTGAAAAATTAGAATTAGAAGGAATGTTAAAGATCATCTAGTGGCCAACTCGTTCACTGATGACTCATACAGATGAGGTAACTGAGGCCCAGTTGAAGAAAGAATAATTGGGAAATTCCTTCCTTTTCCTTCCAGAATCACATCTCTCAGAAATCTTCCTCACTTCCTCTTAAAAAGCAACACAGTGACATTTCTGCAAATAAGAGTCTGAGAAACACCTGCAACACAGGTCCTTCTGATAATGAAGATAAAAATGCCTTACACTTAAAAAAAAAGTCTAGTGTCAAATCACTCCAATATATCCAGTGTGAAGTTGTATTTTTAACTTATGTTTTCCTCAAGTAACATGGATAATAAGTCCTTTTGAGATAATAAAGCCTTTGTCTTTGGTGTTAAAAAAAATCTAATTTATTTTCTCCAAGTCAGGGACATTGATGTTTAAGATTAAAATCTGCAGTTGCTACAGCTGCTGCTGGCATAGACTTCTTGCACAAATACATCAAGATGTTTCTATTTGTCTTCAGATCCTTGCCAAGAGTTGAGCAATGGCTGAACATGGCATCACATCTGCTTTGGCCTGCGTGAAGAATTTTAATGTTAGTAGCACTAACATGTGTGGTATTTACTTCACTGGACATCCAATTCAATTCAGTCATTTCAATTTACTCTGATTGAACACCTGCTATGTGCAAGACACTGTGCTATGTGCTGATGGAGAAGTTACCAGGTAAAGTGCTAGGAGGGAGAGTTAGACACATGGTGAGAGGAGATAGAAACTTCAGGTAGTAGCATTCACTCATTCATTCAATGAACATGGCACCAAGCCAGGGTCTGATGTCTCCATTCCAATAGCTGCTTTCTTGAGCTATTAAGACACCTCTAAACTGAAACCGCCTTTGCAAAATTATGACTGAGACAGTGAAAGAGATCTAACCTAACTGACTCCATCTTGCTTCTAACCTCCAAGCTGTCCTTGTTCATTCCTGGGCATAAGCTGAAGTAACATTGGGAGAAACTTAGTTTATAGTTTAAACAAAGACGGTAACAGCCCTTTCCCAAAGCAGACCTCCTTCTTGCCTGGGAACTAGATTGACTTTATAGAACTAACATTAGCCACAAGATTAGAAATTATGGTTTAGGAGTCATGCAGCTGGAGGCTACAAGATTCTGACCTGCCCTAAACTGCTCCT
This sequence comes from Homo sapiens, assembly GCF_000001405.40. NCBI lineage: Eukaryota > Metazoa > Chordata > Mammalia > Primates > Hominidae > Homo > Homo sapiens. The sequence continues at coordinate 45,054,108 of NC_000003.12, read as the reverse complement.
AAGATCAGTGCTTGAGATATTTTGCAGCCCCTGCACTTGATGGATTAGCTGGCACAACCCAGATCAATAAACTGGCTCATCTGATCTTGTGGCCCCCACCCAGGAACTGACTCAGCACAAGAAGACAGCTGCGACTCCCTATGATTTCATCTCTGACCAATCAGCACTCCTGGCTCACTGGCTTCCCCCAACCCACCAAGTTATCCTTAAAAACTCTGCTCCCCAAATGTTTGGGGAGACTGATTTGAGTAATAATAAAACTCCAGTCTCCTGCACAGCCTGCTCTGCATAAATTACTCTTTCTCTATTGCAATTCCCCTGTCTTGATGAATCAACTCTGTCTAGGCAACAGGCAAGGTGAACCCCTTGGGCGGTTACAAAACTAGAAGAGAAATGAATGAGGGGCTGTGGCTATCAGGGCAATAATAAAATGTGATGGGAGTCCTTTGCCAATCTTTATTCAGTTTACCTAACTGTGAGCTTTCGTTTCTAGCTCTGCTCCCAAGGCAACAGACCATATTACAAGTTACTTACGTTAGTAAACAAACTACATTAATCTATAAACTAATTAAAACATATTGTAATGATTTCCCAGTGATATTCTTTAATAATTTTCATTTGGATACTGAAAATGAAAATCATGCATCCCACCCTGCTCTTCAGGAATGCTGAAGGCCAGAGCAGCTCACAGGTTATAGATTTTGCATCTGTAAGAGACAAGCACACCTCAGCATTCACCTTCAGCCCAAACCTCTGCATAGAGAACTACCAGACCTTTAGCAACAGCAACGTAATATCTTCTCACCTGAAAAAGAGAGAAAACCCATATTCAGGGCATCGGGGAATAAAGAGAACCAAACAGGTTCCACTGGGGACGGTGGCATTTTGGGGATTTCTTGATCCATCTCATCATAGCCATGGTTTGGGGTGGAGAGAAACAGGCACCTTTGTGCTGTTTTAGTCCACCTTTAAGTATCCAAAGTGACATTTTCCAGGTCCTCCCTCCCAAGTTCTTTGAGGACCCCAAGAGTCAAGAAGAGGGTTTTGAAGGTAACGGCTGTGCTAGGGATGGGCTTCTGCAGAACAAACACGGGCCACTGTGCTTGACCCCCATCTGGACAGCCACCCTGAGTTGGTAAGGACGTGATGAGGTGAGGAAGGGGGAGAGGAAGCAATAAGCAAGGGTTTGAGTTGGTCAAATCCTTCCAGCAAGTTCCCATGCAAGTGTTCTTGCCACAGAGGCCCATTAAAGGCCTGCTGGTGCTCAGGGGACATTGCCTCCCAGACATCTCCAGGGGCTACTCCAAAAACCCCTAGCCAAAGATCCCAGCTCACCTCAGCCCCCAGTCTCTCCCAGATCTGGTTTCTAGTTTACAAGGTAAAGCTCTCATCCTGGGCTGTTAGGAAGGGCCTCCAAGAGTAGACTCACCTGGGCCCTTCCCTCCCCCTCATCTCCCAGGGGAGGAAGGGGTATGGGGTATGTCTTGAAGCGTATTTTACTTTTGTTTCTGGGTTTGTTTTTTGTTTTTTGTTTTGTTTTTGTTTTTGTTTTGAGATAGAGACTCACTCTGCTGCCAGGCTGGAGTGCAGTGGTGCAATCTCGCCTCACTGCAACCTCCGCCTCCTGGGTTCAAGCGATTCCCCTGCCTCAGCCTCCCAAGTAGCTGGGACTACAGGAGTGCACCACCAAGCCAGGCTAATTTTTTGTATTTTAGTAGAGACGGGGTTTCACCATGTTGGCCAGGATGGTCTCGATCTCCTGACCTCGTAATCTGCCCACATCGGCCTCCCAAAGTGCTAGGATTACAGGCATGAGCCACCGCGCTCAGCCTGAGGCATATTTTTTAATCAGCTGTCACCTGTCTTCACCTTGCCTTCCACTTCCAAGCCATGATTTTAAACTATAGACAACCGGGGGAAAAGATACCTAGGCCAGAGTGGATACAAAATCCTCCAACAGTGAGTGACAAAGACCTTTGAGAAAGAAGAGCCTGGAGAAGGAGGAGGCCACAGAGGGTGATGCCTCAGATGGGAGTGGGGGAGAGAAGGGAGGGAAAGGGGAGAAGGGATGGGAAGGAGTCCCCAGGGACCAGGGGCAGTCATTGGACAGTGGGGATGGGAGTCCCGAGGCACGGTTGGGCCCATGGTTAGTCTCAGAATGGCAGTTCAAGCTCAGCCCTGAGCCCTGCAGGCACCGGCCCAGCCCAACGCACAGCCCAAGGGTGGGGCAGCTGGGCTGTAGGAGGCTGTGAGCTGAGGCCTTGCCTACTCCCCTGGGGCCTTCTGCAGAGTCCTGGGGAGAAGCGAGGCACTCATCAGTGGGGAACCGTGGTTCTAATTAGAGCCCAGAAACCCCTTATAACCAGGTTCAAGACCATCAGCCTGTGAGTGAGGAAAGGTCTAGGACCCTGACTGAGGACAAAGGGGAGTGGCAAATGAGCCCCATTTACCCATGAGACTGTACTAAGGGCTTTGCCAAGTGAGTTGCTGGCTGACATTTTCGCCAATGAGAGCAAAAATAGTTTATGCCATCAGACACCCCTACATCCTAGTTTTGACCAGCTTTTTCTTTTGCAGCGTGCATTTCCCCACCTGGGACCTGACAGTCCTCCCACAGGTAAAGTACACAGCTAAAAATGTGAGCCGTGTGACGGGGTAGCGTGGCTTAAAGGCCTAGAGCTAGGCCCATTCTTCACTAAGTTGGCCCAGAAGTACCAAAAACCTTCCAGGCACCTTTCTGTTTTCTCCTCTTTTGAGTTCACAGTCCCATTAGGTCTAGTCTCTCCTAGAAGCACTGGTTTTCCTAACCGGTACACTCTATTTCCACCCGCTAGTTAGAAGTGGAGATGTTGACTTTGGTCTCCTGCGTCTCTGGAAGGTGACCCTCGTAATTGTTCTATTCTCCTGAAAGGCCTGTGTGTTTCTGATTTGGTGACTGTTCAGGAGACCCAAGGTTGAGTCTTGGGAAGAGCATCATGAAGGCCACCGGGAGGCTGGGACCTGGCCCCTGCTGTGCAGTTCTTACCTGATTTGCTTCCTTCTGATGCACAAAGGAAGGTAAGGGGAGAACTGTCCAGCCATGGCTCCCTCTGAGTCAGCTCTCCAGGCTTGTGGACTTGTGGACCTCATTTTCGGGACAGATATCCCTCTCCTGTCTTTCTTGGCCTCTCCCTCAACACTCATCTTTCCAATGTTGCTCCTTATCCGTTACCACTATTTCTCTGCTACAGTTCCCGGTGCCTCCCCAAATCTCTTTTCCCCTAGCAAGATGGTCGTAAGCTGAGGTACCCTTCAAGGGCAAAGAACTCCCAGTTGGGATAATGTTGGTCACCAATTTCCTCTGTCTCTGTGTTAGTCCATTTGCAGTGCTATAAAGGAACACCTGAGGCTGGGTAGTTTATAAAGAAAAGAGGCTTATTTGACTCATGGTTCTGCAAGCTGTACACAAAGGATGGTGCCAGCATCTGTATCTGGTGAGGGCATCAGGAAGCTTCCTGTCATGGCAGAAGGTGAAGGGGATGCAGCATGCCACATGGCAAGAGAGGGAGCAAGAGAGAGGAGGAGGTGCCAGGCTCCTTTTAAACAACAAGTTCTTGGGTGAATTCATATAGTGAGAACTCACTCATCACCAAGAGAATTAGGTGATAGTGCTAAGCCATTCATGTGGAGTCCACCGCCATGATCCAATCACCTCCCACCAGGCCCCAACTCCAAAACTGGAGATCACATCTCAACATGAGATTTGGAGGGAACAAACACCGAAACCATATCAGTGTCCTAAATTCCTATTTCCAGCTTTGTTTCCCCTTGATGTTCTTAGCTCTTCTCTCTCCCAAAATGACCAGATTTTCACTCTCTCTCAGTTCATCTCCTCCTCAGTTCTCAGGACCTTCGGTCTTCTCCTCAACTCACTATAAGTCCAACTCACCAGTGTCTCCCACCCGTGCAGCATGTGTTTTCCGTATGCTGGCCACTGTACATGGCTTGTTCTCGGTCTTGATTGGTTTGGAACTTGTTTTACAGCCCTGTGAAGGTTAAGTGTATTTCCACTTTACCAATGAGGAAGAATTCGTATGAATTGTTCAAGGTCACAGGGCAATGAGAGTTGGAGTGGGAACTCTGGTCAGGAGATTCATCCCCATCTGAGCTGTCTGTCATGAAATCCTTTTCCTCCTCATTGTCTTGTACTCTTTAATTTCTTATCCTTTTCTTTCATAGGCAGAATCTAGCACCTTGGGAGCCAGAGTCATAGAACTGGCCAGGACCTGACCAACTAACTACTGCCTGTGCCCTGTAGCCAAAGACCCCCAGGAACAAAATTGGATTTTTTAATTTGTTGCAGTGGGGGAGTCTGTCTGTGATGAGGAACCATGGGGTGTCTCAGTAAGACGGTGTTAGAAGGGACTTCTAATATATATGGGCTCATGTTAACTGATTTGAGAGACGTCTTAAGGAAGCAGGGGTTTGCGCTGGATTGGATGCTATCAGGAGGCAGGAGCAATACTATGAGAGGGCATCTTAATTTTTATGCAGAAGGTGGAATGCGTGCAGCAGGGCTAAAGCTGTGATTGGTTAAAAAAACAGCAAGCAGTCAGTTGTGTTAGCTGGAGTGGGGGATATTTAGTGATTCTTGTGATTTTCACAGTGACCTTGTTTTTGTCCCTACTCAGACGTGATTACAGAATGGTCTTGTTTTTGCCAGCCCCTGTCTGATGCTGGCAATCTGTGAGATAGGCTGTGGTTCAGCAGAAAAACATTACAGCCCAGCCATGAGCACCTGGCCAGTAAGAGCCAGCTGTCAGGGACTACTTTTCTCTTTCTGGCTACAAAGGCAAAGCCTCAGTCCTTAAGTTTCAGCCTGCTCTATATCCCAGACTCATATCTTCATGTTGAATAATGGTCATCACATTTGAAGAGGAAGAAGAAGAGGAGGGATAGACAAGAACAAGGAAGCAGGTTTGTTTGGGGGTGAGGGTAAAATGACATCTTAGCTTAGAGGATTCGTGTCTCTGTGAACTGAATGGATCCGGGGTTCCATTCCTCTATCTGGATAGAATGGAATCCAAAGCCACGTCAGGAAAAAGGATTATGATACCATTGGTGTGCAGGTGTCTTCTACATTATTAGAGAAAGTTCCAGGTGGAGGGGTGGGGAAGGCAATTATGGAGTGCCTGTTCCTTAATACAGATAATTCTCTTAGGAATGCAATCCTTTCCTAAGAGAACACATCTAAGGGAAGCAAAGCTAAGGTAATTGTACATGCCGATTTTCTGGTACATCTCTGATTTTAATAGTATAATTATTCCATTACCTTGTTATAGCTTGTATAATTTTATTATACATATTATATTTTGCATAATTTTGTTTTAGTGAAGGGAATTCATTACTTGTCTGTTCTCTGAGAAGCAGACAGGATGGGATTAGAAGTGTAAGAGATGTTTTGGGGGCAACACCTGTGAAGGATCCAGGGTTCAAGGGAGCAGGAATAGGCAGGGAGAGCCCTCCACAACACAGGTCCCACACCTGTGTAAAAGAGAGAGCAGGAAAGGCTAGGTGGAAGAACCTCAGACTGCAGTACAGTTCTGAGAACATCTTGGCCAGATTGCTGGGGAGTTCCCAAGCTAAAATTCTCCATGAGAGGAGTCACCCTCGTTGGGTAGGAATGGATCAGCACAAACGCTCCTACGTACTCAGTCACTGCCCAGAGGCAGCCGGGGTAAGTCTGGTCTAGTGTCCTTAGGGGTGGCAGCCAAGGCTGTCAGTCCACTCTGCTCCTTGCAGCAGGTTCTGTTAAAGGGATCTGAGTGGTGCCCTCCATGGCCATATTGGCTTCAGCTGCCACTACCACTTTTTTTGAGTCTTTGAATCCATTTAAGTTCTCCTAGAAGCGGAGGCCAAGAAGGAATTAAACATACAAGAGATTGATTAAGGGAAATACCTGTGAAGGATAAAGGCGGAAGAGAGCAGAAAAAAACCCCTATACAAATGTGCCTTAAACTGTATACTGCTGGTGAGTAAATACATTCGTACAAGAGTCTTTGTTTTTGTTTTTTAAAAAAAGCTTTTGTTGTGCATTCTGAATTTTGCTTTGGGAAATATGGTTTCTTTATGTCATGTTAAGTAACAGAATTGCAATTAGAAGCATCAAAAATAAATAAATTCTACTTCAACTACTACATTTTCATGGCACCTTTCTGTGAGGAAATTTGCAGCTACCCTCTACCTCAGTGGTTCTCAGCTTCTCAACTGGGGGTAATTTTTCCCCCCAGGGGACATTTGGACTGGTCTGCAGACATTTTTGGCTATCACAGCTGAAGCAGGGTATTGCTGGCGTCTAGCGGGCAGGGGTCAGGGATGCTGGAAAACATCCTACAATGCCCAGGACAGCCCCCACAACAAAGAATTATCCAGCCCCAAATGCCAATAGTGGCGAGGTTTTGAAACACTGCCCGGCTGATCCTCTTAGTCCTCTTGCAAGGAAACCAGCAGCACAGGTGACTTAAATGGGCACTGAGGGGCATTCTAGATAGGCTTAGTGGGGAGACTTCTGAGACTGGGAGCTCTCATATGGAAAGGATTATCCCTGAACCAGCCCCAGAGCAACAGGGCAACATACAGCCATCTCCTAATGGTAGACCATTCATGGAAATCAAGCATTCTGCAGAATAGCACCCTCTGTCCTATTTAAATGGTAAACTCTGGCTTAATGAATGCCCCAAGTCCCCAGTAGATTTCCAAATATGTAACTAAAACACTCACACACGCACGCACACACACACACACACACACAAATCCCTTATGTAAGTTACAGAAACTATCATGTCAGAAAGTAAAATGCCGTAAAACTCGATTCCAAGCACTACACTTCCTATACAGCAACATCTGAAAGAGGTGTACCCACACCTGCCCTGCCATTCTAACCATTGTCTTTGGGATGTAATCTGAAACTTTCCCAGCCTATCTTGATTAAAATCCACTGAGTCTTGTGGACTGTCAATAGAAATTTTTCTTAAAAACACTGGATGAAAAACATTGAGAGATACATTTTGTGGGGTTTGAGTATTAAAAATCCAGAAGCAACACAGCTTGCCAGGACAAAAGAAAAAAAAGCCAGAGGTATATTTGACATGGAAAATGTTCACTGGAAACATGTGAAGCATATGCTTGTATTTTAGAGCCCCAAAACACTTTTGGGGGGCCAGGAAGAAAGATTTTGTTGACATTTTTTTCCTCCTCATTGACCTCTAACTCTGTGTGTTGTCCTAGTCAAGCTGGTAAGCAGCTCCAAGGGGATGCTGGATCACTGGAGATGTTAGGAGCCCTACATTGAGAGCATGGAAACCTGGATTCCACCTCTGCTTACTTTGTCTTTATCAGTGGTACTCAGAGATGCAGATAGCTTTGTCCTCAACTGCAGGACATGGACATAAACACGAAGGTACGGCCAGGCGCGGTGGCTCACTCCTGTAATCCCAGCCCTTTGGGAGGCAGGCGGATCACCTGAGGTCAGCAGTTCAAAACCAGCCTGGACAACATAGTGAAACACTATCTCTACTAAAAATACAAAAATTAGCCAGGCGTGGTGGCCCGTGCCTGTAATCTCAGCTACTTAGGAGGCTGAGGCAGGAGAACTGCTTGAAGCCAGGAGGTGGAGGTTGCAGTGAGCCAAGATTGCACCATTGCACTCCAGCCTGGGTGACAGAGTGAGACTCTGTCTGAAAAAAAAAAGAAAGAAAGAAAGAAAGTACAATGTTAAGTGTATGTAAGCCCCCAGTTGGGCTCCATCCACCTCCACCCAGCTCTGTGCCCTGGGAGTCTGACCAGACTGCATTGCCCGGACCCACGGCTAGCTGGCTTCCAGCTGGCTTCCCCCAGTGGAAAGCACCTGCAAGAGTTAAGAGGTTGTACAGAGGCAGGTGCTGGGCTCTTTCCTCCCAGTCTCCTCTGTGTGCTTTGCTGCATTTTCTGTCTATGGCTATGTCCTCCACCGAGAGATCGCTTATTGCGTGGACCGGCTATGGCTCCAGCAGCATTATTTCCTCCTGTGGCCTTCTGCCTGACAGGGTACTTCCCGCTGTGGCCAGCCTCTGAATGCCTTAATATCCCTTGTCGTTTTGCTGAATAGTACCCAGAGCTGTGTAAGTATGGGAAGCACTCACTTTGCACAGTAGTCTAGGACTGTAAAATGGCCATGTAAGCTGAAACCATGCAAAACAATCTTAATAATCGATGGGGAAGAGGACGATTGTCCTCTGACCTTTCAAAAATGTTTGTCAAAACATTAAACTTTCTTACTGTCAGTAAGAGAAAAAGTCGCAAAAATTGATATTAAATACACTAATTGAAAACATTAGAAACATTGGAAATTAAAGTGTTTTCTTTGTGAAAATCTTACCGAGAACCGTTTGGACAGTGCTTGCCACTTCCTTCCCATTATATATAGATTTCGATTCAGTGGGTATCTTTTCTATTCCCGGAAAATTGTCATCCTCCTTCTCAAGCTTGGATTAGTTCTTACATTTTATCTTTCTTGCTTTCAATGTCACAAAATATCTCTAAGAATTCCTTTTCGTGGTTTTTTGCTGGCATCATTTCCTCCAGGACATCTTTATCCTTTTTGCCACAGGCACTGTTGTCATTTATGTAGATAAGCTCACGGTCACTACGTTCCTCTGGTTGCATATCCAGAACTTCAAACAGCAGCAGCATCCACCTTCCCACAGTCAGCTTTTTCTTTTCTAACTCCATTTATATTCTACACAAACCTCACTTCCATCATTCTCACTTTGCATTTCTTTGCTGCATTTTTATCTTTATTAGTCAGTTCCCTCTTTCAATTATCCATTTTTGTAAACTGTCACATGAATTTCTCACCAGAAGACAAAGTGCAACACAACTACACACTGTGCTGCCAGTGGATGAGCTGAATAACAGGCACATGGTGCCCAGTCACCAATACACTTTGAAAGAAGCAATGTGGTGGGTCACTGATCATGCAGCATATCTGTTAGTGATGTGTGGCCTGAAGAGTTAGCAGTGAAATTATACTTTAGCAAGGGGCCAGGTGCAGTGGCTCACACTTGTAATCCCAGCACTTTGGGAGGCCGAGGGGGGGACATCACTTGAGGTCAGGAGTTTGAGACCAGCCTGGCCAACATGGTGAAACCCCATCTCTACTAAAAATACAAAAATTAGCCAGGTATGGTGGCATGTGCCTGTAGTCCCAGCTATTCAGGAGGCTGGGGCTGGAGAATCACTTGAACCCAGGAGGCAGAGTTTGCAGTGAGCCGAGATCATGCCACTGCACTCCAGCCTGGATGACAGAGCAAGACTCCATCTCAATAAATAAAAAATAAAATAAAATAAAATTATACTTTACCAGTATAACAATGTAGCTGAAATTTGAACTATCTGGTTGGGGGACTGTGTTATTTAACTAAAACATGATCATTGATATTTAAGCATATCAGAACTGTATAAATTGAGGACTGCCTGTAATCCTTTCAGTCTTTTTTTTTTTTTTTGAGACAGAATCACACTCTGTTGCCCAGGCTGGAGTGCAGTGGTGCGATCTCGGCTCACTGCAACCTCTGTCTCCTGAGTCCCAGTGATTCTCCTGCCTCAGCCTCCCAAGTAGCTGGGATTACAGGTACGTGCCACCATGCCCAGCTAATTTTTGTATTTTTAGTAAAGATGGGGTTTCAGCATGTTGGCCAGGCTTGTCACAAACTCCTGACCTCAGGTGATCTGCCCACCTTGTCCTCCCAAAGTGCTGGGATTACAGGCTTAAGCCACCAGGCCCGGCCTCATTACAGTCTTTTGAACTGAGTTGGAATCTGTTTCCTACTGGGACATGACTGGTAAAAGGGTGCAACTAACTCTCCAAGGGAGTGGGAGAATAAAAAAGCTGTGCAAAGTTTAGTCAAGCTCTGCCACAGAGTCACAGAGCCAGCAATCAATGATCCTACCATGCAGGAATAGGCAGGTAGGAAGCTACTTAGGGGCATAGCACTCTCCTAGGTTCATGCTCTTTAAGAAGAGGCCTCTTGAGAGGGCTAATTCCAAAGCAAAGGCTGAGAAAGCCATGCTTAGGAACTAGGAATTTGTTGAAAAGGAACTAGGATTTAACCCAGCCGCACAATTGAAAACATTCTTCCTCTACTGAAAGACTCATAGGAGCAAGCTTTTGGGAACCAGACGGATGAGTCATCATTTAGTCTTCAAGATCTTTTAATTCTCCTGCCCCCTAGTTTCCAGTTCCCTCCAACATTCAGGCTTTGGGTCTGCAATGGCTCCATGACACAAACTTCTAGTTGCTTCCCATTTGCCCTTTCCTTAAAGAGTTTAATTTAATTTGGGTGTCAAGGTAACTACTTAAAAGATTGCACTTCTCAGCCTTCCTTACAGCTACACACTGGAAAAAGTTCTGGCCTATGCGATAGATATAAGGAAAAGAGAACACTCCTTAAAGGAAGCTGACTGGAGGCCAGGCACGGTGGCTCATGCCTGTAATCCCAGCAGTTTGGGAGGCCGAGCCGGGCAGATCACCTAAGGTCGGGAGTTCAAGACTAGCCTGACCAACATGGAGAAAACCCGCCTCTACTAAAAATACAAAATTAGCCAGGCATGGTGGCGCATGCCTGTAATCCCAGCTACTAAGGAGGCTGAGGCAGGAGAATCGCTTGAACCTGGGAGGCAGAGGTTGTGGTGAGCTGAGATCACGCCATTGCACTCCAGCCTGGGCAATAAGAGTGAAACTCCATCTCAAGAAAAAAAAAAAAAAAAAGGAAGCTGACTCGACCTTTCTTACCCATTCTTCCTTTCTGAAGTGGGGATAATAATGGCTGGAGCTCCAGCAGCCATCATGGACCCTGAGGTGACCTCAAAGATGGAAGCTCCATGCTAGGATGGTAGAGTGGAAAAATAGAAGGAACTTTGATCTCCAATGACCATGAAGTGGCCAGACCAGCACTGGACTACCTGGCTCAAGTTTTCTGTCTTGTTTAAGTCTCTGTTTTTATTTTTTTAATATATTTTATTTTATTATTCTTCTTTTTAAAGATGAGAGTCTTGCTATATTGCTTAGGCTGGTCTCAAACTCCTGGGCTCAAGCAATCATCCTGTTTCAGCCTCCTGAGTAGCTGGGATTACAGGAGTGGGCCATCATACCTGGCTAAGTCCCGGTTATTCTGGATTTTAAACCAAATCTAATCCTAGCTGATAAGCATGCCTACTTCCTACTGAAATTAACTGATTACACTAAGTTCTTCAACTCCAACCTCTGCTTCTTGTTAAAATCAATTTAAAACGACCAATCTGATTGTCACCAAACCTGGTTAGTGTGCATGGTACCATTGCTCAATAGCTAGAGTGGTAGGAATTTCTTGAGGAAGACTCAAGAAATGGGAAGAGATATTCTAGGGCTGATGAGTTTTTTTCCAAAAGCCTAACCTAGGAGGCAGCTGGCTTCACATAAGTCTGGTTCCCAACCACTACATCTTGGAATCACCTGGGGAGCTTTAAACACTACCAGTGCCTGATTCTGCTCCCCAGAGATTCTGATTTAACCAGTCTAGAGTGTAGCCAGGGTATTGGGTTTTCTAGAAAGTACTTCAGGTGATTTTACTGTCTGGCATGGCCTGAGAACCACTGACCTAACTTTCAATTTGGCCAGATCCTTATTAGTTCAGAGCCAACTGCATTGCCAGACTATCTTCCCTAGAGAATTGTCTTTCTTGTATAATAAGGAACTAGGTCACAGCTGAGCTCACTGTGGTTTTTTCCTACCCAGGTAAAGTCATGCTTTTTGTTATCTCTTATGTAGGGGAGTTTCGTTTCCAAAGCTTTTTCATCGGTACCATTGTTCCACAATCTTCATAATTGTGTGCCAAGCAGCAGGGCAGAGCCTTTACACAGGTGTAGTCCACAACAGCAGCGTGAGGGAGGGAATAAGCCCACCTGCCAGATGGGAAAACAGCCTCAGAAAGAGTGATCCTAAGCCTGGGTCACTGTGGTTCCCAGTGGATGATCTGTTCTTCACCTCCCCGTGCACATCTCTCATCATAGAAAGCTAGCCTGGCTCGTGGAAGCAGAGTATCTGGTAGCTAAACAGATGTGGACTCCAGGCCCTTCTCTGCTGCCTTCACTAATGGCCTTGGAGAGAATCATTCATAGGTGATTTGAAGTGATACAGTAACCACAGATAAACCAGCCATGGCTGACTTGAGAGGCTAAGAAACTTGTCTTCAGCTTTCATGTCTGTGAACTTGGCTCTGCTGCTCCTCCCATTTCAAATCATGCAGATGAAGAAACCACAGTTCAAACAGTGTGACTTCTCCAAGGCCACAAGACTAGAAGGTGGCAGAGCTGGAATCTAAATCTAGAGTTTCTTTCTGACCTAGTGTCACTGCCACTGACAACCTGGTTTAAGAAAACCCTAGAGGTTAGAGGAAGCCCTAGTTTCCTAATTTGCCTTTGGCCTAGCTGTGTGGCTTGCCTGTCCTCATCCAAAAAGCATTTTCCTACCTTATTGTCCAATTTTCTCAACAGTGCAAACCAGGAGAGCTACTCTCAAAAGCAGCTCCATCCATTTGTCTTTGAGCTCTTAAAAATGCCGAGTGTCCTGTCAGGTGGTAAACAACAACTCAAGAGCAGGCTCCAGGCAGAGTGCTTGGTGCATAGTAGGCACTCAATACTTACCAGGTGTTGACTTGGAGAAATGGTTTGCAAAAAGCTACTTCCTACTAAAAAAGTGAGACTCCTGGGCTCATTCTCTAGCAAGGTGTGTGACCATGGCTGGTCATTTAGCCTCCCTGTACCTCAGTTTCTTCTTCTAAAGATTGCATTGGGCCAGACACTGTGGTTCATGCCTGTAATCCCAGCATTTTAGGAGGCCGAGGTGGATGGATCACCTGAGGTCAGGAGTTCAAGACAACATGGTGAAACCCTGTCTCTACTAAAAATACAAAAATTAGCCAAGCATGGTGGAGCACGCCTGTAATCCCCACTACTAGGGAGGCTGAGGCAGGAGAATCACTTGAAGCCAGGAGACAGAGGTTGAATTGAGCCGAGATCACATCACTGCACTCCAGCCTGGGCGACAGAGTGAGACTCGGTCTCAAAAAAAATAAAAATAAAAAAATAAAGATTGCATTGATGTTTCTCCCCTGGCTGTGTTCTCACATTGCATGAAACAACAGTGCCTTCTAGTGGAGAAAAAGGTTAGTTGTTTTGTGGGTTGTGCCATGATTTTCAGCTTGAAAGATTCATAAACCATGCTCATAGATGAGTCACCCATGAAAAGCAGGTGAGCTAGAGCTTACCATTAGGCCTCAGAATAGCCCTAAAAAATCTGAGTGGAAAATGTGTTTTTACAGGAGGCTGTACCACCAATCACAAATACACATCAATACACATCACTATCAACTCTCCTTTACACATCTTTCACAATCACATCAAGAAAATCTTAAAACTTTCTTCAAGATCCAGGAAGGACTTGATTTATATAGCAGATGGCATGTGGGCTTTGGAACGCAACAGACCTGTGCTGAAATTCCAGGCCCATCACTAAATGTTCTCACAAAAGTTATCTTTATACCTCATTTTCCTCAATTATGAAATAAGTTTAGTAATACCTCCCTGCTAGGTTTATGAATATTAAATGTTGCCCAGCTCATGGCGAGGGGCTTTGGGGTCAGTGCAAACATTGTTAGTTTTGTTTTTATTAATATCTCCTTTTTATCTGTGCAAAGCCAAAATCAAAGGAAAAAGTGTCACCTGGGGGTCTAAGGCATTAGGGCCACATCAGCAGAGCAGTGTTTTCGGATGAGGCAAAGATGTGCATGTTTGCGCATGGAAGAGAAGATTGCTTTCCATGGGCCAGCTCCAACCGAGGCCTGAACCAGCCTTTCTCTCCCATACAACTAGTGCTTATGCAGCAAAGGTCATGGTTTATGGTGGGTGGGAGAGACCTGGGGGAGTTACGGAAACAGTAAGACTGTTATTTGCAATGGTTCAAGCAGGAGACTTGAGCCCCACAGCAATGGAATTGGAGGAGAGGGAACAGATCAGAGAGTTCTTTGGGAAGCAAAAATCATAGAGTCCTGGTAATTACTTGGATCTCAAGTGTCTCAAGACAGACACTAAGTCACCTTTGATGCCCCACAGGTTTGGCGTTTGGGTAACTGGGCAGGTGAGGATCTTCACAGAGATGGTAAACTCAGGAAGAGGAGCAGATTTGAGTGGAAAGACCCTGAGTTCCCTTTTGGACATGTTGACATAGGTGCCTAAGGGCTTCTAGGTGGTGGTGTCTACCAGGCATCTGAACGTGTACACATTTGGGATTCAAGAGATAGCAATGGCCAATAGTCACTGCAGAAAATGAGACAGTCAGTGAAGGGGATGAGCCTTGATGGGCAGAGGAAACAGCCACCATTTCCATTCTACAAAATAGCTTTCTTATCTGGAAAGGATTCTACAAAAACTTTCCTGAGAACAGTGGGTAGAATCTTGAACTCAGGAGTCTTAGAGATCATCTAATCCAAACTTCATTTTGCGGATGAAGAAACTGGGGGCCAAGATGCCCCACAGGCCTTCTCCAGGGTCCCACAGCCAGAACTGCCAGGACCAGCCTCAGGTCTCCCATGCACCCCTTTCTTCACACGGAGGGTCTCCATCTGTACTGCCTCCTTCCAGCTCTTCCTCCCCTTGGCCGGGATGGGCTGGGGTGAGGAAGGGTGAAGGAATGACCAGAAGGGAAAGGAGGAACAGGAACAGGCACAGCAGAGGTGGTGGAGTGAGGAGAAGAGAGCAAGACTCAGCCAGGTCTGTGCACATGGCTCCCACACACTAGTGAAGGCCAAGAGCTGACAGAAGGATCCTTCCCAGAAACCACCTCCTCCTGCTTGGCCATCCTCACAGATGCCGAGGGCAGCACTGTTCTCCAAGAAAGGGCTTAGGCCAGTGCCCCTGCAACTTAGTTTTCTAGCATTCCCCTAACACAATTACCATTAGCACAATTGATCAAATCAGAACAGGTCTATGACATATTTTTATAAACACAATTAAACACTACTCTTAATCAGATGAATAGAGTTCTTAAAAATTGGCTCACATATCTAGCAGAATACAGCAGGATTCAGCATCAATAAGATTCCTATTTTTCACTTTTAGAGTTGTTAATGTTGAGAAACTTTGTTCAGATAAGTAAGTTGGTGAGACTGAAAGGAGTTTTGTTATAGCAGTGTCACTTAGTCCTTGAGCTTCTAAGGTAAAGGTCAAAAGTGTTCTGTCAGGAGGGAGAGAATTAGGACAAATACCTAAGGCATGCGGGGCTTAAAACCTAGATGATGGGTTGATAGGTGCAGCAAACCACCGTGGCACATGTATACCCATGCAACAGACCTACACATTCTGCACATGTAACCCAGAACTTAAAGTAAAATAAAATAAATTGTTAAAAAGAAAAAGTGTTCTGTCATTGGAAATTACTTCGTATGGTCTATCAGCTGAGAACTTGATTAAGCTCATCTTGGAGGTTAAAGGCAAAGGATTAGAAACCACTAAGTTTGCAAAACGATTTTTCACATGGCCTTTTACTTAACACCTAAACCAAGATTTCAATTCGTCTTCTGTTTGGCATCCCCAAGGATTTTTACACACCAGG
Source organism: Homo sapiens (assembly GCF_000001405.40). NCBI lineage: Eukaryota > Metazoa > Chordata > Mammalia > Primates > Hominidae > Homo > Homo sapiens. The sequence continues at coordinate 45,038,444 of NC_000003.12, read as the reverse complement.
CCACACCCCATGGTAAGAGCAGGAAGGGTGAAGAGCTGGCCTTTCTTTTGTAAAATGGAAAAGGGAGATTGCAAAACAGGAGGTGGGAAAGAAAGCCTGTTCCCCAGGCCTGCACCAAGGTAGCTCAATTCTAGTAAGGAGTAATACAAAAGAAAAGAGTAATAGAAACTGAGTCACTTAAAACGATCATTGTTTGTATAACCCCTGGGAAATTCTCCAAAGTGTGTACCTCTGAGGCAGGGCAGGGACTAGTGAGATGAGTGAGGCATTCACCTGGGGCACAAAATTTAAGGGGATACCAAAACTCAGTAAGCAAGAGAAATAATACTTGAATGCAAATTTTTTTAAAAATCAGAATTAATGTTCAAAAAATGGTGAACAAAATGTCAGAATTTTAAGTAAAGACAAGATTGAAGGACAGGTATACTCAATTCGAAGTATGCAGATCTCAGCAGCCCAGATGTAAGCACATGGGTGGTAGATGAAAGATGGGTGATGATACTCTTGCCCATACTGCCACCTGCTGCTGGAAGTGGAAAATGCCGACTGTCTTCCCAAAGAGTGTCACAGCAGTCGACCAGGTTCCACACTCACACGCAGAGGCATGAGTGCCCTCTTGTGGGCAGCCACCCAGTTCAGGAACTTTAAAAAAACCCTGTTCAGCCGTGCCTGGTGGCTCATGCCTGTAATCCCGGCACTTTGGGAGGCCGCGGCCGGCGTATCACAAGATCAGGAGATAGAGACCATCCTGGCTAACACGGTGAAACCCCGTCTCTACTAAAAATACAAAAAATTAGCAGGGCGTGGTGGCAGGCGCCTGTAGTCCCAGCTACTCGGGAGGCTGAGGCAGGAGAATGGCGTGAACCCAGCAGGCGGAGCTTGCAGTGAGCCGAGATCGTGCCACTGCACTCCAGCCTGGGCGAGAGAGGGAGACTCCGTCTCAAAAAACAAACAAACAAAAAAAACAAAAAAAAAAGCAGAACAAAACAAAACAAAACAAAACCCTGTTCACCTATATCCCGCTAGGAAGCTGAGTGAGGGATGAAAAGAATCCAAGACTCGGAGTTACAAGATGTAGATTTCAGTCTAAGCTTTGCCTCTCGCTTGCTGAGGGGTCTGGAACATACCACATCACTCTTCTGAAGCAGTTTCTGGGCTTATGCCAATGGATCTCATCACCTCCTCCAACAATCGTTGAAATTGTTGAATTTCAAGAGGTCCTTTCTGTGATGATGAGGAACAGGCTGCCTGGCATGAAGTACGTACATAATTCTCTGTAAGCTGCCTCCCCCAACCACCCCATCTCAATCGATCAAATCAAACTATCATCCACTTATTATTACTGAAGGCGAGACACACTAGAAGACAACCAGAGAGAAAAAGTTACTGCAGAAGCCCAGACAGTGGAGCACTGGCGGTGGCTGAAGGATAAGGAAGACTCCCCCAGGAGGGGTCACTAGAGCCAGGCCCACGATGGCTGGGTGGGCCAGGTCAGGCCAAGAGCTGGCCAACAGCCTCTGAGGACCACTGGGCCACTTCTCTGATGTTTTATTTCAGTGACGTTCTGGCCACACGAAGCAAGCATTGCAGTGGTGGTGGAAAGGCCAAGGCCTTTGGAAACAGCCCTGGGTTAAATCCCGGCTCTGCTACTTACCAGCTTCAGGACCAGTGGAAGTCCCCAAACCTCCCTGAGTTTCAACTCACTTTGCTTATTTTAAATGGTGATAATAGCACAGCTTGTCCTGGGTGGATCACGTGAAATAAGACAACGTATTTAAAATGCCTGCGCCTGGACCCCTGAGCAGCTTTCTGTGAAGAGTGGGAAGGAAAAGGACGCACGGGTCGGGCAGTGCTGGCCGTCGTATTTGGCTCCCGGGATGTCCTGAGGAAGAAGGGGAATGCCCAGCTCCCCACTCCCCGCCGACCCCATAGCAAGAGTCAGCATGTCAGTGCCTCCCAGAAATAGATCTACAGCAGGAGAGGTCAGCAGTGGGGGCATCCCCCTAGAAATGGGGCGGGGGGTGGGGGCGATGCTGGATTCCAGCAGATGGAAACGATTCTACAAAAAGAAGCCTGGAGCTTTGAATAGAGCTGTAACGTAAATAAAATATCGTGTCAGTGTTAGTTTCCTGGCTTTGGTAACTGTGCTGTGCTTAGCAGCAGACCGGGGCGTTTTCATCTCCCTATTCTTTCCCTCCTTCCTCTCCTCAGTCCTCCGCTCATTCCCACCCTCCTGTGGCATGAAGCGCGTGTGCTCAGCTCGCCCTCCTTCACCTCCTCCCTTCTCGCCTACTTCATCACGGAGGGAGCTTTCGAACCGGCTCCTGGGACCTCCTCCCCGCCCCGCGGACACAGCACAGACTGCAGCGCCTCTCCTCTCCGCGAAGCTGCACCAACTTTATTTGCAAAAAGAGGCTCCAAGCGCACGGAGAGGATGGGGGCTGCAAGGTCCCCACCCTCCTCCCGGCCTCCCGCGGCCCCTGCCCTCCTCCAGGCCCCCCACGGCCCCCGCCCCGCCGGCTACACGATCCCGAACTGGCAGATGTAGGGCAGCTGATCGCGGCAGCGCTTGTCGAACCACTTGCCGTTGGCCGCGCCTGACAGGACCGCGCAGTTCTCGGTCTTGCCGCCATCGGGTTGCGCGGTGATCTCAGTCTCCCAGTTCTTGTAGGCGATGCGGGCGCCGGTCATGTCCACCCAGGTGCCCTCGGCCGCCATGTCGTTGAGGCCCAGCCAGATCTCGGCCTCGTTGCCCACGCTCTGGCGCAGGTACTCATACAGGGCGTCGTTCTCCGAGCCAGTCTGAGGGGTGCCCAGGGTGCCCCCGCGCGAGATGCAGTCCTCGCTGGCCTCGTGGAAGGTCTTCGTCTGGGTGAAGGCCAGAAAGCATTTCATGTGCACCTTGGTCCCCTTCAGGCAGACTGGGAGTGGGGAGAAATGGCTGTCACCGAAGGTCCCCCTGTTCCCCAGGCAAAGAGCCAACCGCCCAGGCCAAGCCCACCGTCCTCCATCCCATCCCGTTTATCCCATCAGTCCTGACAGCCCCTTAGACCCAGGCAAAAGGGGTCCTGATGGTTCATGCACTTTGAGGACCTGGCTGTGGTGGCCACTAATGTACAGATCCAGATCCCCACTCAGGAGGTCTTGGTGCTCCCGCGGCTGGGAGAAAAGGCAGCCCTTGTGCTACAGAAGCACCCAGCCCCAGCTGACACCCCTTCCCAGGCCTCCACCTCAGTCATTTCTGGCCTTTACCCACCCCATCTCCTTGGGTCACAGAGGCTGGCCTGGTGCCTGCACTGCAGCTCAGCTCTCCCTCTGCCCACTTCCTCTTCCCCCCGCCCCCACATGTGTGGCTCCTAGGGCTCACCCTAACAAATTAGCTCTGTCTCAGAGTCAGCTTCCCAGGGAGCCCAGCCACAGCCACCTGCTCTGGTTCTCCTTCCTCCATGCCCCTCCCTAAGATCAAGCAGCTTGCAGGGCCAGGGCACCTGCCCACCTACAGCCTAGGCCACACTTCATGTACCCAGGGCCCCAAATCCCTACCCAAACAGCCCAAGCAAGCTTCCAGGGCCTGCCAAGTGCCTTTTGCAGGGTCAGTTCTCCTGAGGGCTGGTAGGGTGGGGCTGAGTGGATAGAGCTGAGACTGCAAGAGAGAAGACAGGAAGTGCTGGGCACAGGCTGTGGTCAGAGGCCGGCGATCAGGCAAGGGACTCTGAGGTGTCCACAAATTCTCAGTTTGAGCCTGGCCCCAAAGGTTGTGATGAAGGCACATATTTGGTCAAGTTAGGAGGATAAAATCTATTTTTGTTTTGCAGTTTGCATTTTCAGCTTGATTTCTAGCTGAAATATCTAGACATACTCTGATTTCTCCTGAGATCGTATAAATCGTTCACCTTTTACTAAAGATTTCTGTGGAAAGGAATATCTTGACAGACAGGTGTATGTCTGCATTTGTCCTCTTGCTGGTGACCCCACCACTTTGGGGGATGTCTGCACTCCCCTCTATCCATTCCCACTCAGTTACTTCCATTTCACTCAACAAATATCAATGGACAGCATCCCAGTGTCCCCATGGGCATCTGACACCACAACCGACTTTAAACATGGGGCCTGAAGCATTACAGAGGTGTCTACCCACAGACTCTGCCCCAAGTCAGCTGTCCTACCTCGTGCTATCCTACAGCTTAGCCAAGCGGCCTTCATTGCCTTTCCTTCCTGCTGGTAACACTGACGTGCTACCTAGACTTTTGTTGGGGATGAAGGATTCACTGCCCTGGCTGCCAGGAATGCTGCAGGAAGAAAGTCCTCAGCTTTCAGCCTCCTGCAGGGACTGCCTCAGCAGAAGACAGCCATCTCTTCCAAGGCCGTGCCCCTCCCTAGAGCAGCCTACACCCAAGACTGACCCATAAGCCCTCTTGCCCCGACTCAGGACAGTGCCGAAGGGTCATCCCGTCATCAGGGCTCCTGAAGTCAGCTGAGGCTTTCGTGGCACCACAGTACAGCTCGACTTCTCCTTCTGCCCACTCCTGCTTCCTTCCATCCCTTCCCTAGCACAGGGGTTGATCCTGAGGGTATCTCCTGATAAGTCTCCTGTGGGTTAAACTCCATCTCAGAGTTGCTTCCTAGGACCCTCACCTGAACCTCCCTCCAACACATAGGTAGTCCTCAGTCAATGCTACTTCTCGTGATACTATCATTGCTGCCAACATTTTGTTGCTCTGGTCTATTCATGATCCTGTCGATTTATGCTAGTCCTCCACACCTCTGCTCCTGCCCTGCCATCTGCTTGGAATCAACCCTCTTTATCTTCTCTGATTCCTACACAGCTTTCAAGGGCTCAAGTGATTCCATGAATATATTGAGGTTCCCAGGGAGCAGGGCCCTGGCTGCATCACCTCTGCCTCCTTGTGCCTGGCAGAGATGTACCAGGTGGGAACCTCCCATGTGTATGCTGGTTGGAGGAGGGAAAGGTTGCCCCCTGATTCCTTCAACTCTGGTTAGGTCAACAGAGCTCTGCAATGCTTTGGGTGGGTTTATTGAAAAGGTGATCTTTGGGTTGTGAGGACAATGAACAGGAGAAGGCCCCAAGAAGCCCAGCAGCTTCCTAGAAATCAGCAGACATGGGGGCTTTCATATGTCATGCTTTGGGCCTCCATATGTCATGAACTTTTTTCAGGGAGGTCCCCACCTCATTACCTCACCCCAGGTGGCAGTTGATGCCTGGGTTACATTGACTTTGCACAGCACAGAGCTTAGACATGAGAGAGACCTTAGAGTTTACCCTGCCTACCTTACAGATGAGGAAACTGAGGCTCAGAGTGGCACTGGGCTCATTCTAAACATACCCGCTGTGCCAGGCACTGTTGCCTCCAAATCCCTTCTCTCTTGTCCACCTCCACTATAGAGGCTGGAAAAGCTACATTCTTGCATTCTCAGATGTTCTTAAAGCTGCAGGTGGCCATATGATAGATTTCTTGTCAATGAGATGGAAGTGGAAGACTACGTTCCCTATAAATGAGACAGATGTGGTTGGGCTACTCTTCCTCCTTCTTGCCTTGAATGCACTCATGATGCCTGGAGTTGGGGCAGCCATCTGAAGACCATGAGGTGAAACTTCTGAACAAAAACTTATAACTACCTACTTGCAGACTTACTTTTTGTTTAAGCCACTGATAGGTTTCCTATTACATGAAGTCAAAAACACCTCTGGAGATGCTCCCTTTCTCGAGCACTCTCTTCCTACCTGCCATGCCAAGCAAGCTGTCCAAAGTTACATGTTTGTCCTTCCTTCAACAGAGATTGACTGAGTGTTGCTATGTGGCAGGCACTATGCTGGGCAGGGTAGTGGAAGAGACAAGGGCAATGAAAAGCAAACATGGCCCTTGTGTTCTCAGGGCTTACTATAGTCTAGTGGAGGCAGCAGACACAAATCAGGAAATGAGTGTATCATTACAGACTGCAGTCAGTGTGATAAAAGAAAGGACACTGTTCTGGGAGAGCTTATAACTGAGGAGCTGATTGAGATGAGGGATTAGTGACTCCTGAGAAGATAATGCTGGAGGCATTTATTAGGTGGATCTTGGGGGAGCAATTCAGGTTGCCCAAACAGCACATGCAAAGGCCCTGTGGTGGGAGTGCAGAAGGATGGCAGTGTGAATGCTGAAGGAAAGCATATGAATGGGAGGGAGTGTGTAAAACCATCCGGTGAGAAGGCTGTTGGGGGTTTCTGAGGAGGCAGGCGGGGAAGGGAAGGCCTTGCAGATGGATGGGCCTTGGTCACAAAAGCAACAGGTAAGAGAGTGGCTGTGGACACAGGGTGGTTTATAGATTTGCTGAGGAGTCAAGGTGATTTCCCAGCTGATAACTCGAGGGGCAGCATAGCAGAGCTAAGTGAGGCTCTGCTCCTTTCGGCTGTCACAAGGTCCTTCTCGGTGGAAAATAAGGGTGAGGATGTAGTAACAGGACCACTGCACGGGTGTGCTGTGAATGAGTTAACGTGCATCAAGCATCAAGAACAGTGCCAGAATGTAGTGGGCTCACATGTAAATAGTCATCAGTATTGTGAGTCTGCATCAAGCATCAAGAACAGTGCCAGAATGTAGTGGGCTCACATGTAAATAGTCATCAGTATTGTGAGTCTGTGTTCTCCATAGAATGGAAGGTGAGGTCATATAAAGGTAGGTAAATCGGAGGTATGTGGAAAATGCAGACTATATGACAGGAACATGGGGAGTGAGAAACAATAGGCTGCCAGGTATGCTGGCCAGAGGGCATGACCTTACCATGCGCCTGGGCCCTGTTCTTGGTGATTCTGTGCACCCTCCCTCAGCTGGCTAGTGCAGAGCCAGGAACACCAAGGCCCAGCTTGGCACTGGGCAGCCTGCCTCCATTCAACTCTTGCTCTTCCACGAGTCAACTAACCAACGAGGTGAGTATGAGCCAGGTTCAGGACCTGTCTATGCCTCAGTTGCTGCTGACACATCTTTAAAATGGAGCTGACATTTCATGGAGCTGACAGCTCATCTTTAAAATGGAGCTGACAAATCCCACCTCAGCAGAGTTACGATTAAGAGAGACAGGGTCAGCAAAGCTGCTGACACACAGGAGTGTGGAGCTCTCTGGGGCTGCAGAGGCCAGCTGAGTGAGGGGCTCCTGGGAGCTTTGCTAGGGTGGGCCACTACCTCTGCCCCATCGAGCGCTCCAGGGTCACTTCTGGTGGGCAGTAGTGGATTCTTGTTGGAGAATTTTTTGTCCTCTTGGGACATCCCCACTTCCACACCACCCAGCTGTGGCCAGAGATTTGGCCGTACACATCCAGGTGAGTTTTGCAGACACGTGTCAGGGGATCTCCCCAAGAGAAAGAGGTGGGGCTCCCTGAACCTGGTGCCTTCACCCATAGGCCTGGACTAATGGAGCCAGGACCCTGATGCTGAACGGAGGCGAGAAGAGCATTGCTGGCTGCTGGCCTGGGCCCTTCTCTCAGACGCTCCTGCCCAGAGAGGCTACTGCCTGCACTCACCCGTCTGCAGGGCCTGCTGCTCCTTCAGCAGGGCCACCTCCTGGGCCAGGGTGTCCAGACGGCTCTTGAGCTCCTCAAACATCTTTGTGTTCACAACATCTGAAGCAGGAGGAAATATGTCAGGGTGGGGCAGGGACTGAGCAGGAAGGATCCTACCTTAGCTGCAGAGGGATGAGAGGAAAAGACTCCCCTCAACCTTGATATCTTGGGAAACTTTCTCTCTCTCTATCCTTGCTGGTGGTAGTCTAATTAACCACTTGTGACTTCTGCCAGGGGGCCCATCCTTCACTTGCTCCTGTGCTGCATTTGTTTGGGATTGTTGCTGGGGATCAGATGGGGCTGGGATTAGCAGAGGCAGGGGTGAGGGTGTAGGCACAGGCTTCAGTGATCCCCCACCACCCAGCTACCTTTTCAGCTCCAGGGAAGAACAGCACAGGAAGCACAGCAGGAGCCCTCAAGAAGCCCCCAGGTTCACTTCCCCAGGCTGGAGGAATGCGACACAGACCAGCAGGCACTCCAGCCTGGGGCACGCATATGCAGGGCTTGGAGGTGCCACAGACACGGGTGGCCTGGGCGAGCTGCTCAGCCTCTCTGGATTTGGTTCCCTCATGTATGAAGTGGATGATGACAGCCCCACCTCCTAGGACTCTGGAGAAGACTAAGAGAACTGAAACGCAGAGCTGCCTACCTCAGTGCTTGGCTGAGTGTGTGCCCATCACAGCTACTAATAAGATGAGGGCAGAAGGAACCCAGGTTTTCCACTCTTACAGAGGAGGCCAGGCTCTGGGCTAAGCCGTTCTACATGTCACCCCATGTGATGCTCATAATCAACCCTATGACACAGGTAACGTGTCATTCTGTACCACCAGCATTTCACCATGAGGAAACCCAGGCTGCCCTAAACCAACTGGCCGAGGATGGCAGAGCCCCAGCTGGCAGGGCTGGCCTGGAACCCAGGTGCACATGGCTCTGAAGCCATGCTCTTCCCCACCTTCCCCATGGCACACAAACGGATTCCTAACAGGAGCTGTCCTGCTGGCAGCCAGTCATGTAAGAGTCAGCAGGGGAAGGCGGGGAAGCATATTTCTATGTGTGTGTAAGTTGAGGGTGCCGGGAAGCATATTTCTATGTGTGTGTAAGTTTAGAGCTCCTGGGGCGGACCCTGGTCTTTCTGAAACACCAGGGCTTCAGGAAAGGCTGCACTCAGCTTGGGGAAGTGGGTGGGGAAACACTTTAATGGTCCATTTGGCTGTGTCTGCATACATTCCACACTCACAAAGAGTGAGATCAGAGCCTTCGTCCACCCATAAGGTGCCTTTGCAGAAGAATCACAGGCAAGACACATGGTTGTGTATATAGAAATTAGCGATGTAACTTACCAAACTGGAGCAAAAACACCCTGATGAGCAAGGCAAAAAAAGGGAGAGTTTGGGGCTGGCAAACCAGCCTGAGGTCATGTGTGCCTCACACAGAGACTGCCTCCACCAGTTATAGCAGCACTGTACCCAGTCACGTGATGTACCAGCATAGGGTGCCATGTGAGGCTGTGCAAGGGGGCACTGAAGAAGGGCATTCTGCTGAGGGACACATGAAGGCCCATTTGTCTCCTAAGCCTTGCCCTGGCTAGAGTGGGTCAGACCAGAAAAAGAGATGCCTTTCTATAATTTGTCAGTTTAGAGGAGGTACCTTTTGTAATTTGCACCAAGGTGCCCATATGTGCAAAGTTTCCTCCAGGGACTGTCCAAGGTACAGGAAGCTACTCTCATTAGCTCCACCTGAGGAAGCTGTGGGAGTAGGTGTCTCTACGGCCCTGGGCAGAGTCAGGAGGCCTTTGTGCTGGCCCACTCTCTGAGCCTCAGGTTCCTTCTGCGTGATGTTAGAATGGATGCCCTCCAGGTTCCCCCAGTTCCCTGTTCTAAAGGCCTGTGACTCCTATGAGGCCATCCTTCCCTCCGGAGCTTCCCTGCCAGGTGTGACCATGTGGCCCCAAGAACAGATGAGCTCCCAGAAGTACTCTAGGCTCCCCGCTTCTCACCCACCCTGAGGGCCAGGACAAGGACTTAGCATATGCTGGCATTCCCTTCCTTTGCCAGTCCTGCCACTTGCTCTCCCCCTCTTGGCCCTGGCACCAACTGGTCTCCTCTGGCATGACCGTCCCTTCTTTGGACTTTCTCCCGTACTTTTGGGCACCAGCCCTGCAACTAGATTGCCCCTGAGATTCTCATTCCTGGCTGCTCCTAGGAATCCCTGAAGACCTGTGGAAAAGGCAGATGCTAAACTCACCAAGATCCCTAAACCAGCATTTCCAGGGGTGGGGCCCAAGCACCTGAATTCTTAACTTTTATTTTATTTATTGATTTATTTTTGAGACGGAGTCTCACTTACTCTGTCACCCAGGCTGGAGTGCAGTGGTGCAATCTCGGCCCATTGCAACCTCCACCTCCCAGGTTCAAGCAATTCTCCTGCCTCAGCCTCCTGAGTAGCTGGGACTACACGTGTACACCATCACACTCAGCTAATTTTTGTATTTTTAGTAGAGACAGGGTTTCACCATGTTGGCCAGACTTGTCTTGAACTCCTGGCCTCAAGCGATCCTCCCACCTTGGCCTCCTAAAGTGCTGAGATTACAGGCTTGAGCCACCACGCCTGGCCAAGGCACCTGGATTCTAATGTATCTCCCAGATGATGTTGATGCCTGAGTGAGAACCACCATGGTTCATGTCTTAAGAGCAGAGACGGTGTTTCTCTGCTGTGTGTCCAGCATATAGACTGGTGCCTACGTGGAGAAAGAGCTCTATAAGTGCCTGCCATGTTGGTGGGCGGGAGACTGCCATGGGTTTCAGCGAGAGGCAGGGCCTGGGTGGCTGTTCTGTTGGCCTGTAGCCCTGGAACTCCAGGGGCCCCTTCTATGGAGACCACATAGGGCCAGGGTTCAAGTGTGACAGCTGGAGAGAACCAAGGCATCACGTGCTCTGACCCTTTTTTTTTTAACATGAGTTTAAAAAGATTTACATAATTATATTAATACTGAATCTTTGGTAAACTTGAGAAGCTGGCGATGGTTTTCCACATTCAAAAATTCTATGATTTGCCTTTGGAGCTGCATCTTTTACAAAGGCTCTCCCTTGGTGGCGATTTTGGCTAATGCTCATAGACGTAACTATGCACGGTATTGTCTTCTCTTTTTAAATGAACATTTTGTGGAAGGTAATATACACACATAATTTTTTAAAATCCAAACAGTTCAAAAAGCTGGTTTCTTTCCCAGTTGAGACTGCGCCCAGCCCCTGGTTTTTCTTCCCAGAGGTAATCACTGTTACTCACTCTTGTGGATCCTTCCAGAAAGAACTTATGCACATACAAGTAAAAATGTATTATTATATAAATCCCTTTTTCAAAGCAAATGTCAGCATCATACTCATTCTCTTTTGAATGTTTCTTTTTTCACTTTGTAAACTGAATCTTGAAGATGATTTTTTTATCAGCAGCCAGATTTGCCCCATTCTTTGTCACAGTGTTGTGAGGCCCCATGGCCCCGATGTCCCTTTATGCACTGCACTAGTTCCTGGCCAGTGGGCAACTGTCCATTTATGAAGAGCCCCGGGAGGGCCTAAGGGAGGCCCCCACAGCCCCTTCTTTCCTTTTCTGTGCCCTTGGTCCTAGCTGCTTGTTTCTCTGCCTCAGTCCCCACCCTCATCCCCTTGGACTCTCTTCTAGCCTCTGCTCCCTGGGGGGGTGACAGCCCCGTCCATTGCCATGACATTCCACTGATGTTGTCTCAACACAGCCTGGGGTGACCTCACTGCAGGCGGGGCTGCAAGGGCAAGTCTTGCTGTAGCCAAAGCAACCGAGGGACACCCCAATCCCCAGAGGCTACAAAGCAGAGCAAAGCTGCTTCTGGTGGACTAGTCTGAGTTACATTTATTTCCTGAAGGCTGTGATATGCTACAGAAATGAGAATTCATTTCTTCTTCTTTTTCTTTTCCCTGTGCATCAAGCAACAAGTGAGGTGCCTTTATATATTTTGTATCATAAAATCTTCATGAGAAGTCTTTGAACAAATACCACTGTCCCCATTTTACAGTTGAGAAAACAGGTTGGAAGACTCCAAAGCCCAGCCTGTGCAGCTCTCCCTGGTAAGGGCTGAGCGCTGCCAGACTCCCAGGCCAAAGGTTTGGTTTCTTTAAAATATTGGGGATGAGGGGAGGAGAGAAGAGCAAAGATCAGTTTGGATGATCTGGAAGGTTCTTCCCAACTCTAAGGGTCAGGGATTCTTATGATTCTGACAACCAACTCTGCTATGAGAGAACTCCCCCAAGCCCCAAAGCCCACTTTACTCAAGTTCCCTAGATGACTCAAAAGGAGGAAAATGAAGGAAAGGAGCATGAGGACACACTAAGGAGAGGGGGACCTGCTCCCTGGAAGATGGCACAGGGCTCTGTCCCCCTCCTTACCTTTCTTGGCATTTACAATCTTCTTGGGCTTCTGGGTTGGTGGCTCGGTGGTGACCTGGGTCAGGAGGGAGAAGAGGCAGAGGAGGAGGTAGGCCCCCCAGAGCTCCATGCTGCTGCGCGGGCGGGGGCTGCTGCTGCCTGCAGCGGGTCTGGGTCCGAACGCAGTGACAGCCACGGCCCAGGCTGCACGTCTTAAGGCAGCAGCCAAAGGACCTCTGTCCAGGAAACCCTCCCCAACTTGGCTGCAGGCGTGCCAAAAAAATAAAACAAACACACAAGCCTGCAGAAGGATGAAGTCCTGAGGGCCACAGAGCCTCTCTGCCAGGGAACACCCACGCAGCATCCTGGCCCTGCCTTCTAGAAAGAAGCCCTTATTTCCTAGGATTCTGAGAAACACACGGTGGTTGTCATCACATCTGCGGAGCAGCTACCTTGGGTAGGGGCTGAGGCTGGCTGTTCACTAACATTAACTCACAGAAGCTTCACACCCAAACCACGAGGGAAGCACTGTCCTTTCCCCATTTTACCATTGAGGAAATTGAGGCTCGGTGAGGTTAGGGAATTTGCCCAGGCTACCCAGCTGTCACGGGGTAGCAATGCCCCCTTATAGGGTGATCTGGGGCTGGCTGTCTGATTGGTTTAGAATATTTGTTATGATTATTTTGTGGCTCTGTCTCCATGTACTTGATGCATTTTTTGGTTAAAAAATCCAAGGGATTCCTTCCCTTCTTGTCTTCCCTTTCTCCTGAGTCCTGTCCTAAAGCCACAAAGTGGGGCATAGCAAAGGTGGCGGAGGGAGAAGCCATCGTGCCCCAGAGGTACCAGAGAGGATGTGGGGAGAATGTGCCCTCAAGGGGTGGACTGGTGTGGGGTGTGGGAGCCCAGCAGGGTGGAGGGAGCATCCTGGGGAAAGCAAAGGCCCTGCCTGGAGTGCTGGAGTCCAAGTGAGGCAAGGAGGGGATCCATGTGGGAGAGAGGCTGGTGGCAGAGACGGGAGATTGGTTACACACAGGGATACTGATCAAATAAATCTACTGAAGACAGTGGGAGTTAGGTTTCCTATTGTCAGAGAAGGAAGTTATGTATATGGAGAGAAAACTGGAATGAATCCTGTTGTGTGGGATTAAAATCGGAATGATCAGTGTACCCTTGTGGCCTTGAATACATAAAGATAAGTCCATATATATAGATGGAAATGTGTGTGTGTCTAGTCCCCACAGTCACTGGGGGGCCTGGAGCAGCCAGCCCCGCATAGCCTGGAGCACTCCTAGCACCTGAATACTGGCTTCTGAATATGACTTTCCACTAAAGGAACCAGAGCACCTTGCAGAAACGGCTGATTCTAGCACTGGGAAGTAGGAGTGGGGTGCAGAAAATGAGCCCGGAACTTGTTGTTTTGCCAGAAAACAAGGAAGTGCTTAATGAATAATGGGAACACGTCAGTAGGACACAGAGCCAGCTTGAAGGAGCCTTCAGTGGTCAGAATCAGGGACAATTTGAGCACCAACATAGTGACAGTAACAGATGGGAAACCACCAGTGCACACAGATATAAGTAAGTAAGGGAACGCATTGAAAGTCTGATGTTCTTCAATGGGATGTTTACATAGCCTCAAAGTATCTGCCCACAAAACACTTATCCATTCCAGAGAGAAAAAGAGCAACTTCATGGTGAAGAAGGCTGGCAGACATCACCTCATCTGTGACCAAAGTAAACATCAACAGGGCCAATAAAAAGCTTGCAGCACCTGGGGGGCTGCAGTGAGAATGTGGCATCACTCCATAGGACTCCGGCCAGAGAGACATCAGACAATCCCAAATGGAGGAGCATTCTGCAAAATGACTGCCAGTAATTTTCAAAGCTCCTGGCTGAGGAAGTGTTTCAGGCTGAAGGAGACTGAAGACACAGAACTAAATGCAATATGTGATTCTGGACTGGACCCTCCATTCTCAAGGATGCAGTTGGGACAACCAGAGAAATCTGATGGGGTCTGAGGAGCACACGGCAGTGATGTGTTGTCACATGCTGCATCATGACAGTTCAGTCAACAACAGGCCACATATGTGATATGCTTCCATAAGATTATAATGGGGCAGAAAAATTCCTAACACCTAGTGATGTCACAAAGGGTTGTAAAGTCATAGTGCAACTCATTATTCCCAAGTTTGTGGTGATGCTGGTGTAAACAAATTTACTGCCAGTCATATCGAAGTAGAGCATATAAGGTCATGTTAGCACATAATACTTGATTTTGTTAGTCCGTTTTCACACTACTCTAAAGAACTGCCCAAGACTGGGTAATTTAGAAAGGAAAGAGGTTTAATTGATTTACAGTTCCACACGGCTGGGGAGGCCTCAGGAAATTTACAATTGTGGCAGAAGGTGAAGGGGAAACAAACACCTTCTTCGCAAGGAGGCAGGAGGTACAATGAATGCAGGAGGAACTGCCAAACACTTATAAAACCATAAGATCTCATGAGAACTCACTATCACAAGGACAGCATGGGGGAAACCACCCCCATCGTTCAATGACCTCCACCTGGTCTCTCCCTTGACACATGGGCATTATGAGGATTACAATTCAAGATAAGAATTTGGGTGAGAACATAGTCAAACCATATCATTCTGCCCCACATGATTGTGCTTTGAAATGTGAGAGCATGAGATTTGGGAGGGGCCGGGGTGGAATGATATGGCTTGGCTGTGTCCCCACCCAAAATCTCACCTTGAATTGTAATCCTCATAATCCCCATGTGTCATGGGAAAGACCAGGTGGAGGTCATTGAACCATGGGGGCAAGTTTCTCCCATGCTGTTCTCGTGATAGTGAGTCTCATGAGATCTGATGGTTTTATAAGCATCTGGCATTTCCCCTGCTTGTACTCACTCTGTCCTGCTGCCATGTGAAGAAGGTGTCTGCTTCTCCTTTGCCTTCCACCATGATTATTAGTTTCCTGAGGCCTCCCCAGCCATGCAGAACTGTGAGTCAATTAAACCTCTTTCCTTTCTAAATTACCCATTCTTGGGCAGTTCTTTATAGCAGTGCGAGAATGAACTAATACGATGATAATAAATGACCGTGTCACTGGTTTATGTATTTACTGTGCTATACTTTTTATCATTATTTTAGAGTGTACTCTTTCTACTTTTTTTTTAAAAAAGTTAACTGTGAAACAGCCTAAGGTGGGTCCATCAGGAGGTTTTCCAGAAGAAGGCACTGTTATCATAGGATATGATAGCTCCATGTGTGTGACTGTCCCTGAAGACCTCCCACTGAGACAAGAGGTGGAGGTGGAAGACAGTGACACTGATAATCCTGACCCTGTGTAGGCATGGGCTAATGTGCGTTTGTGTCTTAGTTTTTAACAAAAAGTTTAAAAAGTAAAAAAGTAATAATAACTAGAAAAAGCCTATAGAATAAGGATATAGAGAAAATAATTTTGTACAACTGTTCAATGTGTTTGTGTTTTAAGCTAAATGTTATAAAAGTAAAAAAGTTAAATGAGTTCAAAAGTTTACAAAGTAAAAAAAGTTATGGTAAGCTCAGGTTAATTTATTATTAAAAAAGAAAACCATTTTTTAAAAAAATGTAATGCAGCTTATGTGTGCAGTGTTTTATAGAGTCCAGAGTAGTGTACAGTAATGTCCACGTTCACTCACCACTCACTGACTCACTCAGAGCAACTTCCAGTCCTGCAAGCTCCATTCATGGTAAGTGCCCTATACCAGTGTATCATTTTCTTTATCTTTTATATCAGGAGTCCCCAACCTCCAGGCTATGGACCAGTACTGGTCCACAGTACTGGTCCGTGGCCTGTTAGCAACTAGGCCCATCAGCAGGAGGTGAGTGGTGGGTAGGCGAGCATTACCACCTGAGCTCCGCCTCCTGTCAGGTCAGCAGCAGCATTACATTCTCATGGGAGCACAAGCCCTATTGTGAACTGTGCATGAGAAGGTCTAGGTTGCACACTCCTTATGAGAATCTAACGCCCAATGATCTGAGGTGGAACAGTTTCATCCTGAAACCATCACCCCAACCCCGCATCCGTGGGAAAATTGTCTTCCATGAAACCAGTCCCTGGTGCCAAAAAGGTTGGGGACTGCTGTTTTATACCATATTTTTACTCCACTTTTTCTATGTTGAGATACACAAATACTTACCATTATGTTACAACTGCCTACAGTATTCAGTGCAGTCACGTGCTGTACAGGTTTGTAGCCTAGGAGCAACATACCATACCTGAGAGCCTAGGTGTGTAGTAGGCTATGCCACCTAGGTTTGTGTAAGTACACTCTGTCATGGTAGCACAACGATGAACTCGCCTGACAATGCATTTCTCAGAACGTATTCCCATTGTTAAGCAACGCATGACGGTATCCCTGTTATGGTCCTACTTGATGGTGTGCTGTGATTATGTAGGAGAGTGTCTTTGTCTGTAGGAAACACACATACTGAAGTATTAGACAGCGATATGGTACTGTGTTGACAACTTACATAGTTCAGGGGGAGAATGTTCTTTGTACTGTCGTTGCAAATTTTCTGAGTTTGAGATTCTTCCAAAAGAAAATACAATACTATGTACTTCAGGCTTTTCCCTGCCTTCTAGGGACCCCACCTTCCCCTGTCTGACTTAGGGAGGGATCTCTTATGTAGTAGGCCAGGGAAGCAGGAGGCCAGCTGGGCTGGCCCAGTGCACAGTAGTCCTGCCAAGGGTGGGGGCCCTGAGCACGGAGCAGAGCATTTGCACGGCCCCTCAACGACACTGGGCTCCACCTCTCACATTCTCAGAGTGGGAAGGGTTTTATATTCACAGCTGGGCCCTCGGGAGACAATTTGGAGCCTGATGATTACATAACCTAAAAGGGGCCTTGTTCCTGGAACTCTGGGTGGGTAGCAGATGGTAAAAGAAAATTAATATTTTTGTTAACTGCTTTGCTTTCTTGGTTTTCTCACCTTGGCCCAACTCTATCTTGGCCCTTCAGTGGTAGGAAAATGAACGAAGTATGCTTTCTAAACATGAGGCAACCAGAGGCCCCATGTTTTCCAGGGCTGGCTGATGGTTGAAGCTATGGGGACTGTGGTGGCGTCTCACAGGGCACCGAATGCAGCCAGGGCAGGGCAGAAGGAAGGTGGCCCTCAGGCTGAGGAAGGGACACAGAGGGTGTGGCCAGCTGAGGGGAGGAAGGAATGAGCACAGGGCTCCAGGTGGAAAACACACAAGCAGAGTCTTGGAGCCAAGCAAAAGCACCTTGCATTCCAGATCCCGAGCCAATGAGGACAGGGTGGGGAAGACATAAAGCTGGATATGTAGCTTAGAGGAGCCATCAAGCCATCTTAAAAGACTCTGGATATGAGCCTGGAGACCACGGGAGACCAATGGAGAACCACGCTGAGGAGGGCTGGGATCAGAGCACACTTTGGAGGGAGCACTTTGGCTGCTGAGCATGGAATGCATTGGGGTGCCCAGTGAGGTAGCAGAGAGATATTAAGCATGTGTTCAACATTAGCCCCCAAGCAAGGGGGGACACACCTTCACTGGGGGGAGTGTGACTCTCCTACTAGCCCGGCAAGTGAACTATTCACACTTCAGGAAGGAGACATGCTTAGGAATTTCCATTAAGCAGTAAGCAACGTCTTTGATCTTTTCACCTGCAGGTTTTCGAGGTGTGTGTGCATGTGTATACGTGCACATGCTACACAGAGCTCCTCGACAAGCACCTGGGAGTCCGCCTGTGCTGATAAAATGACTTACGTAGAATCAGGGCAGGGAGGAAGTGGCTTTTGCCTTGGAGCCTCTTCAAGTCTAGGTTTGGCTTGTCTCTCGAGAAGGGTCTATACAGCTGAGAGACACATGGACAGTTCTGACAGGAGGCAAGTTCATCTCACAACTTTAAACATACCCATATGTTCTCATCATTTAGCTCCCACTTATAAGTGAGAACATGCACAAAGAGGGGAACAACACACACTGGGGCCTTATGAACGGTGGATGGTAGAAGAAGGGAGAGGATCAGGAAAAATAATTCATGGGTTCTAGACTTAACCTGGGTGGTAAAATAATCTGCACAACAAGCCCCCATGACACAAGTTTACCTGTGTAACAAACCTGCACATGCACCCAGAACCTAAAATAAAATTAAAAAAGAAAGATACAAACAAAAAAAACCCCCAAAATCATGGAGACAGAAAGTAGGATGGTGGTTTCCAGGGGCTTGGGGTGGGGGGATGAGGATACACATCCTCATCCTGTGTTTCTGGATACACAGTTGTAGATAGGAGAGATGAAAAAGTTCTGGAGATAGACAGTAGTAACAGCTGCAAAACAATTTGAATGTACTTAATGTCACTGAATTGTACACTTAGAAATGGTTAAAGTAACAAATTTTTTTTGAGACGGAGTCTCGCTCTGTCTCCCAGGCTGGAGTGCAGTGGTGCAATCTCAGCTCACTACAACCTCCGCCTCCCAGGTTAAAGCGATTCTCCTGCCTCAGCCTCCTGAGTAGCTGGGACAACAGGTGCCCACCACCCCGCCTAATTTTTTGTATTTTTAGTAGAGACGGGGTTTCACCGTGTTAACCAGGATGGTCTCGATCTCCTGACCTCGTGATTCGCCCACCTCGGCCTCCCAAAGGCTGGGATTACAGGCGTGAGCCACCATGCCCGGCCCAAAATAGTAAATTTTATGTTGTGTATTACCACAATAAAAAGTTGTAATAATGCAAAAATAGAATCACCCAAGGCAATTGGTAAAATAAATAAATAATGAATTCTCTCTTGTGAATAGAATATTGTCCTGTGTCATATCTGTGGGTGTGAAAAGTGCTATTTCATTAAATGTAAACATTTAAAGTACATCTCTATTTTTCGTAACCTGGTTTGGGCATTTCATCATTTTTTTATTGCTTCAGTGGTCCTCAAAAAATGCAAACTGGCCAGAAGCGGTGGCTTATGCTTATAATCAAAATCCCAGCACTCTGAGAGGCCAAGGCAGGAGGATCAATAGAGGCCGGGCATTCAAGACCTGTCTGGGGAACATAGGGAGACCCCATCTCTACAAAATAATAATAATTTAAAAAAAGCCAGATGTGGTGGCATGCACCTGTAGAGCCAGGTACTCTGGAGGCTGAGGTGGAAGGATCACTTGAACTCAGGAGGTTGAGGCTGCAGTGAGCCATGATCACACCACTGCACCACTCCAGCCTGGATGACAGAGGGAGACCCTACCTTTAAAAAAAAAAAAAAAGGGCAGGGGTTCAATAACTCTTGATCTCTGAGTTAATAAGCAGGTTAGAAGAGGCCATCTAGTCTAACCACCCCTCGATGTGGGATGTCCCTTTCCATTGACCCTGTCAGATGTCTCCATATGTTGCTTAAACCCTTCCAGGAACAGGAAGCTCATTACCTGAAAAGCAACTAGTTTCATCGTTAGACACTTGGCTTGTCCTCAGGATCCCCCTGTGGTGGGGCAGGTTGGCCTCCGGGAAACCACCCCATGGTTCCTAGTGCTGGCCTGTGGAGCAGTCACATGAGAGGCCAGCCTGTCCTTCTTTGACTGTCCTTTCTCCATGTTCCGTTCCTTTTTTCTTCTCAATGGATCCTCTACAATATGGTTCCTGGATGCTACAGATTTCAATCTACTTCAATCTTCCAGAGAATCCTCACTGCATAAAACTGTGCTTGTTATGGTCTTCATTGTGGTGCAGATCCCAGAACAAAACTTGCTTTCACGGGCCTTCCTCTGGGCCAGGGCAAGTGCCTCCTGTGAGCAGACTAGACCCTCTATTCAGGAAGCCACAGATTCATGGGCTCTTTGTAGCACCTGGGCCTCATTTGTTGCCACTGTTGAGTTTATGGCCATTAAATATCCAGATCCTCTTGTCCACCCCCAACTCTCCCTGGCCAGGTGTGGACTGCCATTGCAGCCACCTGCAATGGATTCACCGATAGCCCTGGTGGAGCCAATTTTACCTTCTACATATGGAAGATGATATCAGTTTCATCTTCCTTGCATTAAAGATCTGCTGACACTGTCCACAAGACCTCAACTGGCCCATGGCGCGGCAAGTGGGGGTGGCTTCAGCCAAGACAGTGATGCTGCATTAATGTTCATGAGCGACCCCAACCCTCAAGGAAGTGTCTGTTCACTAACACACCACTCTCACAGCCCAGTCTTTTCATACTAATCTCCCTGTACAAAGAATGATCTTAATAACAAAACAGGCAAAAAAAATCAGAGGAAGAGAGCTCTAAAGGCATATTTCAGCTTTCAAGGTTTTTTTGTGTGTGTGGTGGTGTTGTTTCTTTTCTCAAAGCTGCTGGAAGTCTCAGTTATACAAAACAGGCTTTGGTCACTCCACCCATATTAGCCCGAATAACATGCAAACTTCTGGCCCACCATGGAGCCATTCCAGCCCCCTACCCCACCCGCAACCCTCACCCGGCACAGATGTTTCCTTTTAGTTCCACTGGCCCCATGTCAACAGAAATGTGGCCCGGCTATAACAGAGGCAGAGAACTTTCCACATGCCCTTCAAAGGTAAGAGCATATAGACAGCCTGGTGCAGGGGCTCACACATGTAATCCCAACTCTTTGGCAGGCAGAGCTGGGAGGATTGTTTGAGCCCAGGAGATGGAGGCTGCCGTGAACTATGATCATACTACTGCACTCCAGCCTGGAAAACAGAGCAAGACCCTGTCTCTAAGAAAAAAAAAAAAAAAAACTTTGTTGGCCTAGTACTCTGTCATTCATTCAAGTATTGGCTCTGTCCCTGTGTACCGGGCCCTGAGTTAGGTAGGTCCTAACTCAACCAAATCTTAGCTCTCAAGGGGCTCACAGTCCTTGTTGTTTTATCCTTAAAGCTCTGTAGTGTGGCAGTGGAAAGAGAATGGAGTCCCGAGTTCCAAATTTGGTTGAGATACCTGGCACTTGTGTCGTTTTGGATGAGTTACTCAAGACCAAACTCCTCTTCTGTAAAGTGGGGTAATAATCTCTACCCTGCTTGCACATGGGATTCTTTCAAGGAGCAAACTGAGGTCTCGCATGGGAGACAGCTGAGCAACCTGCAAGGTTGTGGGAAGGAGGAGGGGTGGTCTGAGCCACCACGCTGTCCCAGTGTGTCAAGGAGCTTGATAGCCTCTTTCCACACCTCGATTCCTTCCACTCCAAGGGACAGTAACTTAATCACCTGATTTGTAACTTTGGGAATAATAAACTGGGCATGCACTTACCTGATGCCCTCAGCTATAATAGTTCACACAAGAGGAGAAAAACAGATAGCCCTATAGAATGCTACAGGAGATTTCAATCTTCTTTAGCTGAAACTCCCTGACTTCCCATCATGTCTGAGAATTTGGCAAATATAAACCCAGCTGTGTGTTTAGGGATCTTTGAGTTTCTAAATCATCACACTATCCCTACACAGCTTTGCTGGAGGTTTTGCAGGTTTCCCTTTCCCCGGTAGAGTTCCTCTATGTTCCCAAGCCTGATTCTTATTCCACGTCCAGAATCTGCAAATGCCCCCAGGGAAGGAAATGCCAGTGACAGCCTGCTCACTTCAGAAAGTCTCCCCCTTCTCTGGAATTTTAGGCCATGAAATCCTCTTTACTTCCAGAGCTTCCCAAAATCTTTAATGATATGACTCTTGAAATGCATTCAGCATTTTTAGCTGCAGCAGCATGAATGGTGGTCCACCATGACCTACATATCCTACCCAGAACTGAAGTCAAAACACTTGTTGAACACCTCCCTTGGAAAATGTCCTCTGATGGGCATTAACACGATTCCCGACTATCTGCGCTTTTTTTGGCCCATTCCCACAGGTCCATACAAATCCCTTTTCTCTGATCATCCCATCTTACTCCTTTCAGGCCCTTGTCCAACTAGCCAAGTTACTCCCTACTATCCGGGAATCCACGTGTACCCTTATCCCTTTGTGCAAACTTAACAACCAAGTGCACTGGCTGCACTCAGTTCTCTCACTGCTGTCCTGCAGGGCTGTAATGCAGGAGCAGTCCCTTTGGGGCACACATCAATATAGAGAACCAACTCATCCACAAGGCAGACCTGGGGTTTTCCTCTTCCAGTAGCTGGCTGCAGGAGTCCCCTCCCCCATGAGGTCATAAGTGTGGATGAGAGGCACTGGCGAACAGGGGTGACAGACGAATCTGGGCTACCTGGTATATTCCTTGGTTGTGCCCACTGAACTGCTCAGGCCTAATCCTGAATGTACATTTTCATGTTGCATGGATTGTTGCTGCACCCACCCAAACTTATGACCTGGTGGGTCTGACAATAACCAGCATGATGGGTGGCTCAGGTCACTTGAGGTCCCAGGGTTGGGTATTCAGTCTCTAATTGGGCCCAGTGGCAAGCCAGAAACTTCTTTTCAAACTCACTCATTTGGAGGTGAATAGCTTTCCACCACATGGCCTTGCTCCAGAATCCTAGGGTCTGTGCTACAACGTTCCTGTTGGGCCTGCCAGAAACTACACAGCACCCTTACCTGCCCCAGATAGCACTAGCTCCGTTGGAATTTCTGGGTCACATGGAGCAGGAGGGATGCTTGTAATGCAGCTTAAACAGGCTTCAGAGTCCTGTCTTATTCTGGACTCCCATTCACAACTGGTAGGTTTGTGAATTACTCAATAAATGCATTGAGACAGCATTCTCAAGTACAGCATTCTTGTCTCCAAAATCCAGAGGCCCAACAAGTGCTGTACTTCTCAGTGAGGGTAGTGGGGATGAGGGTGGGTGCAAGGTTCAAAATCTACCACCTTAGAGGGGGTATCTCTCAGAATGCCCCACACCACTGGATACCTAAAAACATTATCAGTGTGGTGGTCTCCTTAATCTTCATGGGGTTTATTTCCCACCCTCTCAGGCATGTGTCTTTTACTAGGACTTCCAACGGCTTTCCACGTCCTATGTACTAGATCTAATAAACATGATTTTATCAACATAAATAGATCAGCGCGATGGCCCTGAAGATATCACTGTGACAAAAAGTAGGTGATTAACATAGACCGCTGACAAGACACTGAACACATTTTGCAGTCCTTCCACATAAGAGATCTGCTTTTGACCCTTCTTGTTAATGGGGATTAAGGAAGAATTTTCCTAACTTATAGCCACATACGAAGCATTGGAGGCTGTGCTGATTAATCTTAGTGAAGATACTTCATCCAACAAAGCAGTGGAAATTGGAGCTCTCTCGTGTGTTTGGTGGTCATCTACCATGATTCACCTGGCTTTTACAGGGGCCACAGAGATAAGATAAATGGCAATGAGGCGGGGACAACTACCCTTGCATCCTTAAAGTCTTTGATGTTGGTCCTAATCTCTGCAATTTCTCCCAAGATCCAATATTGTCTCTGATTTATTATCTTGGCCAGGGAAGGGAGGCAGTTTCCAACCTTGACCCTTCTTACCATTGTGGTTTTCATTCCATCCCATTTATGACATCTCAATTGTACCACATCCATCCCACCTACACATTTGGGGAAGGAAATTATCCCAGGACCTAATGACCATTGTGAGCCAGACTTACTTGTACCATCCATTTATTACCTAGCCTCCATCCCCCATCCCCTTTGACTGGAGAGCCTTGGTGGCATTTCAGGTCTCCTAATACAGGCATCAAGTCAAAACCCAGATTCAAAAGGCTTCAAATCACCTTTCCTCAATGCTGGTATTCCAGACTGGAGAACTATTATTGTAGGTGCTGATGGTGATATTACAGGATTCTTATTTAAAGACACCAACCTCCCTCCTGTCAATGGACTTTGATCTGTGAACTGGCTTACGGAAACTGGGTGAAGGACTGGAATTTCCCATTATAGTGGTTGACATAAGCTTTTTATGCTCCAATTATTATTATTTTTAATTTTGACAAGTTGAGTAAAATCCTGATTGGCTGCCCATGTCTTAACCCTCAGAACACATAATCTATTAGCTACGGTCTGACTGCCGTAGAGGCAGAGGCGAGGCTGAGGACAGAAGGTAATCCATCAGAGGCATCTAGCAATGCATGGAACATTGTTTCCCCACTAACTAGCAGTTACTTTATGGCCATTATTTGGGATGTATAAATAACACTGGGATAAACTCCTCTGTATTAATGTTTCCACTCCCCTTGTATCATAAATTATTTACTTTGATTACATGCCCAGAAGTAGAATTACTAGGTCAAAGGGCAAACATTTTTAAGGCTTTTTGTTGAGAAGGAGTCTCGCTCTGTAGCCAGGCTGGAGTGCAGTGGCGCGATCTTGGCTCACGGCAACCTCCACCTCCTGGGTTCAAGCAATTCTCCTGCCTCAGCCTCCCAAGTAGCTGGGATTACAGGCGTGTGCCACCATGCCAATTTTTGTATTTTTAATAGAGATGGGTTTCACCATGTTGGCCAGGATGGTCTCGATCTCTTGACCTCATGATCCGCCCACCTCAGCCTCCCAAAGTGCTGGGATTACAGGCGTGAGTCACCACACCCGGTCTTTTAAGGCTTTTAATGCACACTGCCAGATTGTTTTCCAAAAAGTCTGGAATAGCGAAGACTTATTCTCTACTGGCAGTTTGTATGTTAGACAACTGGCTTTACTGAGCAAACAAACTACTGTTAATATTCTAAACTCGGCCAGGTGCTGTGGCTCACGCTTGTAATCCCAGCACATTGGGAGGCCGAGGCAGGCGGATCACAAGGTCAGGAGATCAAGACCATCCTGGCCAACATGGTGAAACCCTGTCTCTAATAAAATAAAAAAAATTACCCAGGTGTGGTGGTGCACGCCTGTAGTCCCAGCTACTCAGTAGGGTGAGGCAGGGGAATCGCTTGAACCCGAGAGGCAGAGACTGCAGTGGGTGAGATCACGCCACTGCACTCCAGCCTGGCAAAAGAACGAGACTCCGTCTCAACAACGAGAAAAAAATCTAAACTCATGTCCCAGTGCAGTGGCTCATACCTGTAATCCCAGCACTTTAGGAGGCCAAGGCAGGAGGATTGCTTGAGGCCAGGAGCTCAAGACCAGCCTGGGCAACATAGTGAGACCCTCATTTTAAAAAAATAATTTGCTGGGCATGGTGGCATGCCTGCAGTCCCAGGAAGGTGGGAAGATCACATGAGCCCAGGAGTTTGAGGCTGCAATGAGCTATGATTGCACCATTGCATTCCAGCCTCGGTGACAGAGTGAGACCCTATCTCTAAGAACAAAGAAAAGAAAAAAAATTAACTCGTGATTTGGAAGACTAAAGAATCAGAGACAAAAACCCACTTGAATATTATTTAACATTGCATTTCTTATACTCCGCCCTTACTTTGACCAACTTCAATGTTCTTCTACCTAATGTTTATTTAAAGACCACTAAAGACAGCTGTGGCTCTGCTGGATCAAACAGGTCTGTCCCAGGATAATATTTTTCCAAGTCTTTGCCAGTCTCTGTCTTCAGTTTTCTCTTCTCTCACTCTGACAGTTGCAACAATCAGATCTTTCCAATAAATGCCTCTCCTGGAGAGTCCCTGCTCATATGGTGTTTTGTTTCATTTGCAATATACGTATATTACATGTAGGGGTGGCCTTCAGGGAAAGGTATGGGGTGGCTAGAAACAGATTCCACCATCTTTTTCTCTTCTTTCTCCATTTTTACTGGAAGTGCTTAGCCAGCCATCCAAGCTGGTAGCTGCTTGTCATACCACTGGCATGGCAAAGCCTCATCTGTCTGTCTGAAGGGAAGTGAAGCAGAGCTGAGTCTGACATATATGACAGTACCCATTCTAATTTATGCATCTCAAAATGATCCACTGGAATCAACCATCAAAAGCAAATGCTTCTAAACTTTATTCACACTCGAGTTGCATCTCTGCGCCACCACTGCCAATGTTTTGTCATGTCACGGGCAGTCAACCAGGAGCAGGGAAGGAGAGACCAGGCTGATTTCTGCCTTGTTGGGAACACTGTCATGGTGCCTGTAGATAGTCACTGAAGAAACATAAAAGATGAAAACCCAGGCTATGCTCTCAACAGGGCAGAAGCTCCCCCATTAAGCCCAAGTCTAGGCAGCTGCTTCTCTCCACAGGGATGGACCTGGCCTTGCTGGGAGGAACGCCCACACCAGGACCTCTGGAAGCAGTCCCAAGGGCTTCAGCTCACATTATGTTCTTTCCATTTGGTGATAAATTCCTAACGCCTTACCCCATTTGCTAACTGGAATGCAGAGAGCAAATGCCACGGTTGAAACGCTCTCCTTCGTGAATCAGCTCCTTCCCCAGGGTGTTTTAAGATTTAGGAGTTTCAGTTCCCCTAGAAAAAAAAACAAAGGCTGCTCTACACATGAAGAGACTTAATTTTAACACACTGCACAGTGAGACTACAGGCTTATAGGAAGAGCCTTCTGGGCCAGCAAGCATAGTCTTCCTTTCAATGCTGAGAGCATGAAGGCAGCTGAATTATCAAATGACAACATCTTGAAAGCTGCCTTCTTAATGCTGACAAAACAAAATCTTAGGAAACACCAGGGAGTGGTTATAAAACACAAAGCAATTTCAAAACAAGAGTGATAAGAAAGGATGGCTAAGGGCCAAAGTGGCTGCCACTAAAGCCCCTGAACCTAGGGAATTCCATTCGGATCTCTTGGAGGGCAGGAAGTCAGAGCTGGACTTTCCCAGGATTTGGGATGGCTAACCAGACAGACAGACGCCCTGGGTGTGTACCTGCAGCAGAGTGCCTCCTCTTTTTTCCTCTCCCAGAACCACCCAAATACACAAGGTGAATGAACTTTTCTTTGTGATTCTTATTTTTAAAGTTCTTCAAGGGGAAAAAAATTCACAAAATACATATCATAAGCATTTCCTGTAAACCAGTTTCTGTCAGGTCTTTACTCCAGCTTGTGGGGGTCTCCCTTGGTGGCAGAGCTCTGGATTTGTCTGCCACTCACTAGATAAGGGCCAGACCCAGATGGGTCACTGAATGGTGCCTTGGCTTCAACTGAAGAACTCTAGACATACCAAACCAGACCAGAAAATAGCCTTTAATTTTACATGTACAAATGCTGCTGTAAATTCGTAACAGCGAAGAAAAATATATACGAACCGGTTTAAAAGGAAAAGTAAAAAACAATCCACAGTTGAGCAGTTGATGTGCAAATCATCCCAGGAATCCAACTTTCTGTCTCTTGGGCCCCAGGCTTTCTTCCTTGTGCACAACACTCTGCAAGGAGGCATGCAGTACCTTGCCCACACGCTTGCCAGTCTGTGGAGAAGGGACGGGAGAGAGCACACACCCCCTTGTAAGGCACACACACTCTGACCAGAAAAGCATTCCTTTCTGCCAGCTAGTCTTTCTGACATTGTACACATTCCATCTGCCTTAGAGGACTTTTATTTAATTAAAGCAAATTAAAACAAAAACCACAGACCCCAACAACATAATAAATTTTGTAAAAATCGTCATATCAAAAAAATAAAAAAGAGAGACAAACACCAGCCCCCACCAGGCAACAAACAGAGAGCAGCAAAGCCTGCCCTGGCCATTAGCTCATGCTTCACTATCCTGCTGCCACTGCAACAAGCAACAAAGTTGTCAATCAAATCTGGGCTTGGGTACAGCCAGGTGACACTGTACTATAGGGAGACCACAGGGAATCCAGAGTCTGTCTGGAGAAGAAACAGATGATGCCAAGGACATTTTAGTAAGCAGCTTCTCATTCACCTCCCATGAAGCCTCTAAGCAGAACTGCTCAGGTGTGACCAAAGTCAGTACCTGGATGGGATCTTTGGTGTTTACTGCCATGCTGAGATGCTAAAGGCAGTGAAATGTTAGAATCGAAACACATCAAGAGGGACAACCCACAAAATTAATAATCAGTCCCTACAGAGCAGACACGAGAGGTAAAAAAAACAAAAACAAAAACAAAACAAAACAAAAAAACTCAATATGGCTGGGAGTAGTGGCTCATGCTTGTAATCCCAGCACTTTTGGAGGCCAAGGCAAGAGGATTTTGCTTGAGGCCAGGAGATCAAGACCAGACTGGGCAACAGAGTGAAACCCCATCTCTACAAAAAACTAAAAATTAGCTGTGCATGGTGGTATGCGCCTGTAGACCCAGCTACTCAGGGGGCTGAGATGGGAGGATTGTTTGAGCCCAGGAGTTCACGGCTGCAGTGAGCTGTGACTGTGCCACTGTACTCCAGCCTGGATAACAGAGCAAGACCCTGTCTCAAAAAACAACCACCACCCCAATATAAAAAAATATATTTTTCTTTATGAAACTGTTATTCTGTCTCTGGGCCCAAGAATCATTTTAAGAATACAAAGAACCAACCACAAATCTCTACCTTATCAGGTCTTTCACATTCCCATAGCAGTGTGGATTCAACTCTGCCACTGGTTCCATTCTCAACAATGTTGAGATAAAAACATCCATGCCTAAATCCCTGCCTCAATCTCTTCAGTTACAGGTGTATCCTCCCCAGAGTAATGACTTGTGTGTCTTCTCCCCTGGCCCCTAACTGTAACATGGGATGAGATCCCAAGTATGACTAAAACTCTTATGAAAAGATGATTTCGATCTAAAAGGCTGGGAAGTGATCACCTCTATGAAATGCAAAGTCAGGGTTAAAGGTCAAAAAGGCCTTCGGGGGCTGGATGTGGTGGCTGATGCCTGTAATCTCAACACTTTGGGAGGCTGAGGCAGGCAGATCACAAGGTCAGGAGTTCAAGACCAGCCTGGCAAACATACTGAAACCCCGTCTCTACTAAAAATACAAAAAAATTAACTGGGAGTGGTGGCGGGCACCTGCAATCCCAGCTACTCGGGAAGCTGAGGCAGAATCACTTGAACCAGGGAGGCGGAGGTTGCAGTGAGCTGAGATCGCACCACTGCACTCCAGCCTGGGCGATAGTGTGAGACTCCATCTCAAAAAAAAAAAGGGCCTTTGGAAAGATTTTCCCATAACATTAGAAAAAGAAAAAAAAGTCTGAATCTGTCAAACAGGGGTACTGATTATTCATATACATGAGGGTGGGGAGAGAGGACAACAAGAGGAGATGAGATGGACAGGATGCCAGGACTTGAGAGGGCCTTGACGCCTCTGAATCCAGATGCAGGAAAGCAACTGCAGAGGCTAGGGGTGGCAGCCTGCACAACTACCCCCAAGGCTCTCAGCTCCACCAAGTCATTTTCCAGATTGCTGCATCCCTGTGTGAGATAAACAGTAAGACAGGGCCACAGAGCTATAGTCCCCTGTCCAGAGTTAGCAGACCTCACTCCCCAAACCTGAGGGGAGGACAAAGCTCAGCTCACTGAACAGAGCTCTGGTTCTGCCATCTATGACAGCCAGGGCAGATCTGGTTTATAAGGCTGACATTGCACAGTGGCTGGGAGCAGGGGCTCTGGACGCACACAGTCTTGGCTTAAATCCTAGCTCCAGTATTTATGAGCAGGGAGGCCTGTAGGCAAGCTGCTTATCCTCTGTGTGCCTCAGTTTCCTCATCTGTAAAAATGAGGACAATAATAATAGTTACCTCACAGGTTGTTGAGGACTAAATGATATATTTAAAGCAGTGAAAACAGTATCTGGCACATAGTACGCACACAATAAACTCCAGCTATTTGTTTACTGTGCTTGTTGTTGCTGTTTAAAGAAATTCTCATAAACTCTCCTGGGAGGGGGAAGAGTACCTTCTAAAACAAGGTTTGACAGTCCCTTGCCTAGAGGACTTTGGTAGAATTTATGCAGCATTAAGTCTGGAGAAATTTGAACTCAGGGTGCTTCATGGAGCACAGAGAATAAGAGCTGCCATTAGCTGAGAACTGATGACATATCAGGCACTGTGACATGTGCTTCTCCTCTACACCTCACATCATCCTAATAACAACCTCAGCAGTGTCTGGGCAGATATTACTATTATCAGTCCCACTTTGCAGATGAGGGGGACTATGGCCCAGAGCCAGGTTTGCAGCCAGGGCAGTACACCCTCACAGCCCATGGTTGGGAACTCCATGCTATATACAGTGCTCATTTTGGCCTTTTAAATAACATGATAAAGAGAGAAAGTAGATGTCATGTTCTTGGATTCTTCAGTATGAAGTCATTGTTTCTAAACACAAAAGAAGAGTGCTTGCTATTAAGCAATGATCTCTGGGCATGTGTGGTGATATAGAGGTTGCAAGAAAGTATGAATAATCAGATCCTGCTAACTCTGTTCCTGGAAGTTCAGTCAGTCAATCAGTCAGAAAGGTGAGGTGGATATAGGGGAAAGAAGGTCTGGGAAACAGGTGAGCAGGACCCTGTCCCTGCCCTGCGGGGCTTCCAGGCCAGTGAGGTGACAGACATGTGGGGCAAACAGTACAGAGAACTGTAGAAGCGCCTTGATGGCTCTGCTAGGGATGAGGGCAACCCAACCCAACTCCAGTGGGTCAGATTTCTTACCATCCCTGCTTGTCTCCATTTAAACACTTCTAGAGCTGTAACGAATTTGGGAGACAGCCACAGTTCAGCCCGTGCTTCCACCTTTACTCACCCACTTCTAGGGACAGGAAGCAGTGAGCCAAGAATTCTATTCCCTCATCAAGTCACAAAGGCCTGCACTTTTGGAGTTACGAGTGGCTCTTTACATTATGAAAGTCCAACAGTCTTATTTAGACACATAGAAATGAGATGGGGGGTACTTACTGAGGACAATTAATGGTTACTGGTAGGCTCCTTACCTCCCAGTCCAGAGTATCCACCCCCACAACCCCCCTTGATTAGGTCAGCAGACCCCTGGCTCAAACCAGCTGTTCCCAAATCTCCAAGTTTGGGGTCAAGGCTGTGAATGGGGAGAATCCCCACGGTATGACCAAGGGAGCAGGAAGCAGCAGGCACCCCGGCCAGGTCCCTGCACCTTCCTCAGAACTAAGGCCTCACCTCCATCATCTCGAAGATGCTCTCTGGGTCCAGGCTGCCCTTCCCCACTTTCCTCATGCACGTCACAACTCCCTTGCTGGTCACCGACACCAGCAAGCTGGCCAGCGAGCAGGCCTCCTCCTGAAGAGTAGCATCCACCACATGCCGATAGCCAATCTGCAAAGGCAGGGTGCGTGGCACACGGTGGGTCACGCAGGCCCCAGAGTCCCACCCCTGATGGCCTCGTGGTGGGAATCTCTACACCAGGCAAAAGTATTTGCACTGGTCATTCCAGGTCTTATTTTAGATTCTGCTCACGAGGAAAACAGCTGAGGGATTGTTCAACAATTCTCACAGGCCACTGTGTGGGTGGTACAATAAAAACACGATATGGAAAAACAGGGCAAGGTGGTTTAAAACTAGAATTCAGAGACCAACCAAGACAAAGGCCACCAAGGCTTTCCAACAGAGGGGCACAAGGGAGAAATTCACACACAAGGCCACATGGACGTTTCACTGATGGCAAGGGGGAATCAAGAGGGTCCATGCTAAGGGACACACTCAAGAACAAGCCAAAGGCTGGGCGCAGCGGCTCATGCCTCCCAGCACTTTGGGAAGCTGAGGAAAATGGAATGCTTGAGCTCAGGAGTTTGAGACCAGCCCAGGCAACATGGCAAGACCCTGTCTCCACCAAAAATACAAAAAAATAGCCAGATATGGTGGTGTGAGCCTGTGGTACCAGCTACTTGGGAGGCTGAGGTGGAAGGGTTGCTTGAGGTTGAGCCGGGGCGGGTGGGGGGGTTGCAGCAGAGGTTGCAGTGAGCCTAGATTGTGCTACTGCACTCCAGCCTGGGCAACAGAGCAACACTGTCTCAAAACAAGGCCGGGCGCGGTGGCTCACGCCTGTAATCCCAGCACTTTGGGAGGCCGAGGCGGGCAGATCATGAGGTCAGGAGATCGAGACCATCCTGGCTAACAAGGTGAAACCCCGTCTCTACTAAAAATACAAAAAATTAGCCAGGCGCGGTGGCGGGCGCCTGTAGTCCCAGCTACTCGGGAGGCTGAGGCAGGAGAATGGCGTGAACCCAGGAAGCGGAGCTTACAGTGAGCCGAGATTGCACCACTGCAGTCCGCAGTCCGGCCTGGGCGACAGAGCGAGACTCTGTCTCAAAAAAAAAAAAAAAAAAAAAAACAAATAAACAACAAGAAAGAACAAGCCGGCTAGGTGCGGTGGCTTATGCCTGTAATCCCGGCACTTTGGGAGGCTGAGGTGGGCAGATCACCCGAGGTCAGGAGTTTGAGACCAGCCTGGCCAACATGGTGAAACACCGTCTCTACTAAAAATACAAAAATTAGCCAGGCATGATGGCACGTGCCTGTAATCCCAGCTATTTGGGAGGCTGAGGCAGAAGAATTGCTTGAACCTGGGAGGCGGAGGTTGCAGTGAGCTGAGATCGCGCCATTGCACTCCAGCCTGGGCGTTGCAGCAAGACTGTCTCAAAAAAAAAAAAAAAAAAAAAAAAAAAAAGCCAAGACCCAACATCCTGCCATCCTGTTGTCTGAACACTTCACCACATCCTGTTCATGAAGTGATTTCAGTGGAATTAAACCTGACCTGTTTAGCTTTATTTTGAGATAATGAATCCTGAGTGGAATTAGCTACAATCCCAGTCAATAGCCAATACAGGCCTCTTTGCACAGCCTGGGGCAGCATTAGTTATATATCACATCAGCCTGATGTTCAGCTCCACAGCCCTCTATGTGAAAACCACTCATGATACCCAAGACCTGCTCCAACCTCCCATTTCATAGGGGGGACAGTGTTCGCCACCCTGCCACTACTCAACCACCCTAGACCCCATAGAGTTGAGGTAATTAAAAGACATGGTGCTTTAGTGAAGCACATGGTATGTGGAAGGAGCTTAACAAACTCTGGCTACTATTACTACAAACACACTCATGGCTCCCAGGACCACATCATATCTTCCAATTAAAAAGAAAAGAAAGAGCTACTCGTGGTAGTGGTTTCTAGTATAACCAAATTATTGGATTTGGGTAAAAGCTACTTCTATATGGTGTGTGGTATTACAACTTCTTAACTTATTAAGTAACCTCAGCAGGTTGGGATTAGAGGAGACCCACACCCACAGGGAAGACAAAAACCATAAAATACAAGTTATACCTTGCACAGAGTGACAATGCAGGGGACATTCTCCACACTTAGTCGTATGCAGTCATAAGGGTCATCTGACAATTCAATGTCCTTCGACCCCTCTTCATCCTCCAAAACTCGAACCCTTGGTATCCTGGAAGCAGAAGCACTAGTAAAATTCCCACTTGGAGGAGGAAAAATAACTTCTTTTTAAGATTGAGAATAGGAGTTGGAATCCCTGTGTCTCACAAGAGAAAGACACGCTATGCCTATTCTTTATCATCCTCATCCCTGTCATCCCTGTCAAAAGCACACAGGAGGCGCCGCAGTGCAATGAGGAAAGGCATCTTTTAGAAAATGATGCTGGGTCAATCAGATATCCCAATGGAAAAAAAAGAATCTCAATCCCTACCTCACACCACACACACGAAGCCATACCAAATAGACCATAGATATAAAAAATAAAAGACAAGACAATAAAGCATTTAGAAAAAAACATCTGCATGACCTTGGAGTAGACAACTATTTCTTGAACAGGATACAGAAAGAGAAAAAAGTTACATATTCAATTATAACATCATGAACTTCTGTATATCAGAAGACATCATTTAAAAACTAAAAATATAATCTGGGGAGATAAAATACTACCTGACAGATTACATAAAGAATTCCTATTAAACAAAAAAAAGACAGCCCAACAGAAAAATGGACAAAAGACTCAAACGTAGAATATATTTGGATGTCTTCATAAAAGAGGCTGTCTGAGTAGCCAATAAACCAAGAAAAGGTGCTCAATTTAAATATCTATTAAAAATGCAAATTAAAACTACACTGTGATACCAAGGCACAACCAAAATAACTATTAAAAAAAAAAACAAAAAAAAAAAAACGCCAGGCATGGTGGCTCATGCCTGTAATCCCAGTACTTTCAGAGGCCAAGGCGGGAGGATCACCTGAGGTCAGGAGTTCGAGACCAGCCTGGCCAAGATGGTGAAACCCCATCTCTACTAAAAATACAAAAATTAGCTGGGTGTGGTGGTGCACACCTGTAATCCCAGCTACTTGGGAGGCTGAGGTAAGAGAATCGCTTGAACCTGGGAAGTGGAGGTTGCAGTGAACTGAGATCACGCCACTGCAGTCCAGCCTGGGAGACAGAGTGAGACTCCATCTCAAAAAAAAAAAGCAAGAGTTGACAAAAATGTGAAACAACCCGGAACTCTTACATACACTGCTGGTGGAAGTGTTAACTGGTAAAACACTTTGTGAAACTGGCAGCATCTACCGTAACTAAAGATAGCCATACCCTATAACCCAGAACACTCCTCCCTAACAGAAATAGAGAAATATGTGCACCAAAGACATGCACAAAATGTTCATGATGCCCATCCCTATTTGTAATAGCCTCAAACTGGAAATGAACCAGATGGCCATCAACAGTAGACTGATAAACAACAGCAGACTGGACAGTAGACTGGATAAACAGCAGACTGGACAAAGTCACACAATGGAACACCATACAGCAAAAAGCAAGCTATGACTAAGGCAGCAACACAGATCTCTCAAAACACAATGCTTAGTGAATGAGGCAGACACAAAACAGAACATAGTATATGATACCATTTATATCAAGTACAAAAGTAATCTATTCTTTTAAGATGCTGGTTATCATCAGTGAGTGTAATTGCATGGGGGTACAGAAGGTGTGGGATGCTTCTGGGGTGCTGGCAACATTCTGTTTCTTCAGCTGGGTACTGAAAAACACATTTAACCTATAAAGTCAATTCACTCCAGGCTGGGTTGGAGGAGCCAGGAAGGAAGAGGTGGTCCATCCAGCTACTGTAATGGAAACAGCATTAGTACTTTTCCCAGTTCCTCTAACAAAACCCCCCATGATTGAGCCCTGCTGGCCATCCATACACAAGGCAACATCTAGATCAGATCAGGGGAGCTTCAGCCAGAGAATGTTGACAAGGGCCAAGGAGTTCTGTAAGGGTCTTCCCCATTTGGAGCCTTCCCATCAGAGGAAGTTCTACTAAGTAATATCCTATTTGAACAAGTTGTCAACCATTTACACACACACATACACACACACACGCACGCACGCACGCACGCACGCACAGTATCTCCCAATTTCCCAACCCTTTGGCTACAACAAGCCTGGGCAGAAGGGCTAAAGAATACCCTCAGGTGGCCTTTACCCTTCTAAAGGACCCTGAATATGCCAATAGTCTCTCCACATACCAGGGGGACTTGATGCCTTAGAGTCCCCATTCCTTGCTGCCTGCAGGGCTGTTCTTGGTCTGAGGATGAGACTATGGCTGTGCCCATGACAGGTGTCCTCCCCTACCTGAGCAGCTGGGTTAACCTTTCTGGTATACAGTTTGGCCAGCAACTCCCCCACAGCTAAACAGCCTTGTCTGGTTCCCAATCTCTCTTTTTGCCTGGGTGCCTATAGGAACCAGCTGGCAGATGGGGAGTCATTTCTGAGGCTCAAGATAAATCAGATGACAGCTTCCTTTCCTTCCCCAACAGGGCCCGAGCACCAGCTACTGCTGTGGGATCTGGCACGCAAGCTCCCACGGTGGCCAAGAGTGCCAGGCTCACATTTCAAATAGTCTCAACAAGGAGCCTAGTGGCACAGCTAGGGGTGGGGGACTCTACAGCTTTCATTCTCAGCAAATATTCCAGCCTGCAATTTTTGTCTGCTCTAAATTACACAGGGAGTCTAAACTCATCATAGAAAAGCTCTAAAAAACAGGTAAATGTTATGTTGGCCAAAATATGAGCACTGAAAAATAATTACAGTGATTACTTGGGGGTACATATTTCCAGACACATTACATATAAGAACTACCAAAGTAAAATACAACAAACCAACAAACAAAAACCAGGATGAGGGGACTGCATTTAGTGAACTATTTTCCATATTAACATGCCTTTAAATAGGCTGCTGTGTGGACTTCAATCCCCTCCATTGTGAAACTCAGGTTGTTTCCAGTTTCTTACCATTACAAAGCAGTGTAATGTTTATTCTAGGATGTGATGAACATCCTAGAATAAACATCTTTGCTCATTTATTCAATTATGTCCTTAGGTTATATCCCTAGAAGTTTCTAATCCTCGTTTTTTAATAGGATCCTCTGTTACCTTAATGTAGGCTCTCTCATAGGATGAACACCCTATCCCACGTATTTACTCATAAATGCTGCAAATTTTCCTCAAAGTACTTGGAGCATAAAAGGGGGAAAGGTCAATCAGTCAGAATAAATGTCAACTCCAAAAAAGCATAGCAACTTGTCCCTTCTACACAACCTGTTTGGAAAGCTGAACCATGTGGAATAGCCATTTCCTCTTCTTAAACCAAAGGGAAGCCTGTTACCCTGCTTTTAGAACACACATGTGTACAATCAAGCAATATGCAAGCACTTACTATGTGTCAGGTACTGTTCATGGTGCTAGGAATATAGGCAAGTACAAAACAGGCAAAATCCTTGCCCCCATAGAGTTCACCCAGTAATAGTATTTGGATAGTTGGCCTGTAGGTGGTGTCTACTCTTCTTGGCTTCTCTGTAGTTTTCTAATATTTTTCTAAATGGTAGGTGTCTATTTATAAAAATAACAATACAAAAAATAAATACAGAATATACGTATATATGTAGTTTTAATTCACGAAATCTATCTTTTCTGGAGTTTAACGTTAGATGTCACCATTTTCAATGTTAAAACCCCCTGTTATCTTCACATATGAGCTACAATAGAAATTTCCTCAGTGTTCCATTACAAGTGTCTGCTCTGGTTCTCCACAGGTTCGCAGAGCTGTTTCTAGGAAGACTTACCTTGTATTGAAGAGAGCAGCCTTTACAGCAATGGAAATGGCATCAAACAAATTTCCACCACATTCCAGAAGCTAAGGGAGACAGGAATTGAAAAAGGAAAAAAAACCAAGCATCACTTATTACTTTAGGTATTACCCCAGTTAAAGGACACTGCTTTTTTTTTTTTGAGACAGAGTCTCGCTCTGTCACTCAGGCTGGAGTGCAGTGGTGCAATCTTGGCTAACTGCAACCTCTGCCTCCCAGGTTCAAGTAATTCTCCCACCTCAGCCTCCCGAATAGCTGGGATTACACGTGTGCGCCACCACCCCCAGCTAATTTTTGTATTTTAGGGTTTCACCATGTTGGCCAGGCTGGTCTTGAACTCCTGACCAAAAGTGATCCGCCTACCTCAGCCTCCCAAAGTGCTGGGGTATAGGCATGAGCCACCACGCCCGGCCAGGACACCGATTTTTTTTTTTCTTTCCCTAAATCTATTCTGTGGTCAAGGACACTGATTTCTAAGAAATGCTGACTGTGTGTTTATAAAATAAAGATAACATGTGGCTTCTCTCCTGGCTAGCCATGCAGTGACTGCAACTCACTGACACAGTCCTTCACCCTAATTACAGGCACTGCCTTGTCATAGCTGTGCTTACGTGGCCCATGCACACAAGGTCACAGTTGGCAGGGCTGTGGTACCAACACTCAGAGGCCATGGCTTGTGGGTGGGCTCCTCTCACAGGCACTTCAGGCAGTTGGGGCTGCCCTGAAGGTGGGACTGATCACCTTTATTTTGCCCCAGATAGCTCCCAATTGTACTCCAAGTGTTACTCTAATCTTTGCTAACATATGCCTGGCCTCCAAACAAGGAGAAAACGGTGGCTACTGATGTTGCGGCTGCTACTAGGTTCACATTTACTAGTGTAATTACTTCTCGTATGTAATGATCAATGTATATCTGATGCTCAGACATGAAATACTACATGTTTTACATTACTTATAATGAAGACTAAAGTCTCTCAGACAAGCTTCTGCCCATGAGCGAAAGTGTTGAGTGCACTTACGTATGCTCATCTAGCAGGGAAAATTAGAGCACATTTAACTGGAAGGTGGCATATCCTTCTGTCCTCATTTTAGAGAGGCCTTGGCCTGAGGTTATGGAATAAAGCCGACTGGGCTGCCCCAAATAAGAAAGGTGAGAAGTCACACATAGAAAGAAAAGTCATGTAGTTCTGTTTTTGTTTAGAGTCTATCTCCTCTGCAGTTGAACTGTGAACTCCTAAAGGCTGGGACTCTGTAGTTTTGTTCATCCTTTTATCCCCAGAGCCCAACAGAAGGGGTGCTATGAGGAAGAAGGTTAGTGATTATTTGTGAAAGAACCCATCAAAAGACAGGCTTGTGACCAATCACCCCACCAAAGGTCAGCTGTGTGTTGTTAGTGCAGCAAAGTTCTAACAGGTTTCCCTCTTGGAGTAAAAACTGATGCCATTAGAGAACTATAAAGAGCAAAGCAAAGTGAAATTTCCATGAAGTTAAATTTTCACTCTCATAAAATAACCGAACTGAGGGGAAAAAAACCAATACTGGAAACAGGTGGGTCATCTGACTGTAATAGGTTTGAAGTAAGTAAGTATGAAAACATGGCAGGGTGCCCAGCAAATATCTGTTTGAACATGGGCTCTGTCTGAGGACTAACCAGACCAGTTGGTAAAAAGAAATTAGGAGGTTTCTTTTCTACTATCTTGCTTCAAGGATTGCTTCACAGATTTCCACCACCTCGCTTCAAACATGGACTCAATCTATTCAGTATATCACCCATCCACTGATGAAAACTATGTGAATGCCAAAAAATGGATCGGCCTCATCAATAATACAATTTTCAAAAATGCTTTTCTAATTCATTAAAAACTTTTCTGAAGATGACAACTTTTTTTTTTTTTAAAGATGGATTCTCACTCTGTTGCCCAGGATGGAGTGCAGTGGCACCATCTCGGCTCACTGCAACCTCCACCTCCCAGGTTCAAGCAATTCTCTTGCCTCAGTCTCCCCAGTAGCTGGGATTACAGGTGGGCACCACCATGCCCAGCTAATTTTTGTATTTTTAGTAGAGACAGGGTTTCACCATGTTTTCCAGGCTGGTCTCGAACTCCTGACCTCAGGGAATTCATCTGCCTTGGCATCCCAAAGTGCTGGGATTACAGGTGTGAGCCACTGTGCCCGGTCAGAAAATGACAACATTTTAAAAGCTCATGTCTTCTTCCAAAATAAGCAAAACCCTTAAAACAAATATTTCAGAAGAAATCCAAATGCCAGGAGTCTTAAAAAGAAAGGTCTACAGATGACAGGGACACAATACACATTCCCCTGGATATTCCTGCGCACCATGTATCCATCCCCTGCTCACTGAAGAGGGCTGCTTCTGAGCTGAGATAATGTCCCAGTAGTCATCAGTTTTGTAAAAGCCTTCCCTAATAGAACAGGCTTCTGTTGCTTTGACTTTAACTGACTGAATCAAAAGCACATCAGTCCCCATCACTGGGCCATCCTACAAAACTACAAGTGTGCATGAATACTGAGGATGAACAAAGGATTACAAAAGGACAAATGCAGTGTGCCACACACTTGTGTCTTAACTTTCTCTAGTGGCGGAGGGGAGGGGACATAAACTTCTTCAGACACAGGATGGAACTGGAGAGTTCACGTCATGGGGCTGCACCTCCCTGGGCAACTATGAAGCCTGCCTCTACCATCCTCAGTAAGGACTACAGGCTGCCAGGTCCCACCTTCTCAAACCCAGGACCTGAAAAATTGCCAACTTAGTAGGAATCATACTACAAGGTACATCCCACTTATCAGAGATGGAAAAAAAGCAAACAGATTTGTAATTTCATTATTTTTACCTATTAGTGGTAGCATTGCAACAGTAACCTGCTAGATAATGGTTACCACTGCTACCTTTTGACTATGCTCCATCCAATATCAAATTAATTTTAAAATATCTAGAAAACTCCACCCTGTCTCAATAGAGCCAACATGCAGAGCCAGGCTGTTTCTTTTCATGAAGTTCACCATCAGTTCACAGATCTCCTTTATCTGCACATTCATTAAAGAATCTATTTGGCCAATAGCTTAGCTTTTTGTCCTTCATCTGAAGTGGAAGATGTAGTTGCTAATCTCATGGTTCAAAACAGACCCAACAAGAGCCTATATATAAACAAGCAACCAACTGCTACGTGATTATACAAAAGCAAAATTAAGGCCAGGCACGGTGGTTTGCACCTGTAATCCCCGTAAGGCCAGGCACGGTGGTTTGCACCTGTAATCCCCGCACTTTGGGAGGCCGAGGCAGGTGGATCACTTGAGGTCAGGAGTTCCAGACATGCCTGGCCAACATGATGAAACCCCATCTCTACTAATAATACAAAAATGAGCCAGGCATGGTGACATGTGCCTGTAGTCCCAGCTACTCAGGAGGCTGAGACATGAGAATCGATTGAACCTGGGAAGCAGAGGTTGCAGTGAGCCAAGATCACGCCATTGCACTCCAGCCTGGGTGACAGAGCAAGACTCCATCTCAAAAAAAAAAAAAACAAAAAAACAAAAAAAAATTAATTAGAGCTACACAGAGAAGTTACTGTCGAGTGCCAAAACCTGGGTAGAGGAGTATTTGGGAGGCAAAGTACAAGGGAAGAAATGACGGGCTGGACTCAAAAGACTCCCAGGGGAGTAGACTCTGTGTGGGAGGAGGCAGGGCCTCTGGGGCCTCACCCAGGAAACTAAAGGCAGGCACGTTCTGAGGTGTTTAAAAGAAACAATGGCACAGTGAAGTCAAACCAGGTGTTCACATCATACAGACCTGGCTTTGAGACTCAACAGCACTACTCACAAGCTGAGACCTCTTGGGCTAGTTGATTTACCTCTGTCTGTCTTAGTTTCCTCACTTATAAATGGGAAATATAACAGTGTCCATTTGTAACAGGTTTATAAGGTTTAAATGAAAATGCATGTAAAGAGCTAATCATCCTTCCACACAGAATGTACCAACCTGCTTAAATTCTGCCCATGAACTCTGTCTGGCACCATCCAGAGACCATCTCTTGTTTTACTCTTCCTGGACAATTTTTATGGGCAATTTTAGGTGCTATCATGATATGACTATAATTTTATCATAGAATGGCATTATATATATGCTGCTTACATCTATGTTGTATTTAATTTTTAAAAAAATTATTATAGGAGACCATCTTTTCCCAACTAATCCCACCCTATAAGTTGAAAGCATCCACCTGAAGAGGAAAAAAGCACTGGAAGGAAAATAGGCCAACTAGTCTTTCCAACAAAGGTAGAATGTGGCCAGTACAGCACGATGATACTCACCAGCACATCCACATAGAGAACCCAGCAGTGCTCCCGAGGACTAATGCAGAGGGTCTTTAAGTCGACACTGCTTTTATTGTTAAATATCCGATAGAGGGTGTTAGCGATCTCGGTGCCAAGGTCATCACCTCCTCTACCTTCAAATTCAGGGGTAGCACTGGCTGAACTATACAAAACAGAAACAAAAAAACTGGGTGAGTCTTTCCAAGTGCAAAAAGCAAAGAGGCAAAGCTTTATTCCAGTTTCCCTGTAGAATGCTGGAAGAGCCAGCTGCTCGACAGAAAGTCACTGAGATGAGGAAAGGATGGCATCTGCCACTTTTCCTGACTCCAGACACATGTAATGAACCAGACCAGCACTGTGACCTGGATTTGTCAGTGTGTGTGATGGGATTTCCCAATAGCATCTAACAGAAGCCATCTTTAGTCAAAGAGAAACAGGAGAGTGATGGTAATGTGAACCTCGGCCGATAATAATTAACTCTCTTATCTTCAGAGTATAATAAATACTCTTCTCTGGCAGGCCTAGGAAACTGAGAGGCCTAGGGAATGAAGCAGTCTGGGTTACAGAGGGGTTTTGTCATATACACCACCTCTAGTTTCACAGCTTTAGAACACACTACGATACTCTCAATATAAAAACCACAATGTAAGTACAATAACCTTTCTGGAATAACTTAAAAGACATGTATGATAGTATGTCAGAGCTTTGTCAGAAACTTTAGATATCACTGTACTGAAGAGAAGGAAAATGAAAGAAAGCAAGGGAAAGATTGTTGGCTTGTAAGTAGTAGGTTACCTCCTTCATTTGATATTTTTCAAGAGAAAAACTTTTTTTTTCCCTTTTTGGCTTCTTGATATTTATGCCCAATAACCTCAACAAAACTAACAGGATTCAACATTAGCCACCCTAAAAACACTGAAGTGTTTAACAGGACATTTCTGAGAGTTTTTGGCTTAATACAAACAAACCCTTAATATGTATATGAGGTAAGTAACATTCTAGTAATTATTTTACTGTAACAGTAAAGGACTAGAAAGGTAAGAAGCCAGTGGTTTCAGCATGGACTCTATAAAATCACATATTAAAGCCTTCTGACCCCTTGCCCATCT
Source organism: Homo sapiens (assembly GCF_000001405.40). Taxonomy (NCBI): domain Eukaryota; kingdom Metazoa; phylum Chordata; class Mammalia; order Primates; family Hominidae; genus Homo; species Homo sapiens. Next base: position 44,996,140 of record NC_000003.12, on the reverse strand, counting down.
GGAAGGCACCCAGCCCTGCACCAGCTACCAGAGACCTAGAGACTAAGTGAGGTGGATGCAGACCCAAAGCCAGCAGTTCCAGTGAGGTAGGGGAGTTTCACCATAGGGAGCAAACAGTGAGGTAGAAGCGGGAGTAGGGGCACAGGAGTGTCAATTAGCATTCAGGTTTAAAGGCGACCTCAAACCTGGGATGAGCAGAGCTGGTCAGGCCAGAGAGGCAGGAAGATTCCAGGCAAAGCAAAACCTGTGTGAACGCCCATGGCAGTGCCCACCCTATTTGTGTAACACTAAAAGAAATCTCACTTAGTAATATAGGTGGAAGAATGAATCCCAAATTAATCAGACTATGTTGTTACATAAAATTTTGCCTCTCTAATTATGTACTCCTCCTTTACCACTGTGAGCCAGCAGAATCCCCTTTAAAGTCCCCAAGAGAGACTTCATTACTGCCATAGCAACCTCGCTGTTCCCTGCCTTTGCTGGACTCAGGCACTGAGCCAAGAAAAGCAGCTCATTTATGGTGAAATAATCAAGTCAACAGGGACCAGGTTTTTACTTTGCACAGCCAGCAAAACACAACCTGTTTCTAATTTAAACACTAAGCAATCAATATTAAGTCCCAGGTCTTAAGTGCTTAAAAATACATCTACAGAGATTTCTGTGTACACAAATCCAGCCAGAGATGCTTACACTCAAAATGTTTACCTTTCCCTGAATGTAGTGGGCACATCCTCCTGGGTGTGACTAATTTCTTTGGGATTAATGCACTAACTCTTCTACAGCCTTGGGAGATGATTTATAGAGCTTCCCAGGTCCAACTGTCTAAATTAATCTACCTATAAAACCATGCATGCCCCTGGCCAGGCGTGGTGGCTCACGCCTGCAATCCCAGCACTTTCGGAGGCCAAGGCGGGTGGATCACCTGAGGTCGGGGGTTCGAGACCAGCCTGACCAACATGTAGAAACCCCGTCTCTACTAATAATACAAAAATTATCTGGGCGTGGTGGCACATGCCTGTAATCCCAGCTACTTAGGAGGCTGAGGCACAAGAATCACTTGAACCTGAGGCAGAGGTTGCAGTGAGCTGAGATCGCACCACTGCACTCCAGCCTGGTCAACAAGAGTGAAACTCCGTCTCAAAATAACAACAACAACAACAAACCCATGCCCCACTGGTTTTTTTTTGACACTGGGTTAAAGTGGAAATTTTTACCTATTTTTAAATGGCTTAAAACACACACACACACACACACACACACACACACACACACACACACACACACCCATTCTTCCACCATAGCCAGCAGTCAGACAGAGAGGAAGGTTTAGAGACTCATGAGCCCAAGGAACTCTCCTGTAACTGGATGGTGCCATAGCTGTGCAGTGACTCTGGGGAGGAGGCTAGGAAAACGGAAAGCAATTGTTCAGGGTGGGGGATGGGGTACAATGCTTTAAGCAACATAAGAAAGCCACAGACCCCATATTCTGCTGATGTGTGAAGACAAAGGCTGGAATAGAGAAATGAGGATTCCACTTCACTACTGGGCACTCACAGCCCAAGGACTCTTTCTGACAAATTTAGACAGAAATGTAGACCTGGAAAAGGCCTTAGAGACCATCTCCAGAGGATAAAAACCCAAATGGCTATAGGGGTCAGCAAGGTTACTACATGTATCTGAACAAAGGGCCACATATAACTAATAGAGAATGATGGAAGCTGTGGCAAACTTTCTAGCCCTGATTTAAGGTCCACCTTAAAAAAAAAAAAAATCCCTACATGAAACAAAAATCTCCCAGGTGGGATCTGACCTGTGGGATGACACTGTGAAACCCCAGATGGTCTAACTCTCTCATTTTACAAGAAGGGAGACCTTATCTTTTTTTTTTTTTTTTTAATGTTTAGCATGAGCTAGACACCACTCTTAGTACTTTAGGTGTATTAACTCATTTAATGTTCACAACAACCCTAGGAGGTATGGATTCCATTCTAGAAACAAGAAAACTGAGTCACAGAGAGGTTATGTAATTTGTCCAAGGCCACATGATGACTGTGCCTGGTAAGCTAAAATTCTAACCCAGGCAGCCTGGCCCTTATCTTCTATGCTTCCCTGTACTCTCCTTGAATCTGTAATTTGGCAAGCTTGGTTTATAGTCTAACATTAGTCAGGTTCACTTTCCTTGGTTTTACCTTTTGCCTCAGGGAAATGAATGTATGCTTTGGTCTTGGAACTTATCACTAGACAACAAATGTTGGAGTCAAGGAATGTTGACCAAGGAAGCCCTAAATAAAAAGCTGCTCTGCTCTGTTAGAGAGAGAAAGAAAACACAGGCTGGTAATTGTAGCTGCCTGCTCATATGCATCACAATCTACTCCTTCAGTGGGGGGTGTACACACTTGGTCTTTTGGGCATAAAACCAAATGCTTTCTGCATTTACCAAAACCAATTCTGACCCTTCATAAAGCATGACCAGTCCCTCTTCCAGAGTTGTGGGAAATTGTTTACTGAGCTGGATAAACTAATTAAGATCCTGGGAATGCTACCCCTCCCAGCTCTCCACCCCTTCTGACTCATCACCTCTACCCTCCTGCTTGGAACATCTCTGGTTTAACTGGGGTAGGCTGAGATCAAGGCCATGCCTACCTGGAAAGGGACTCTAGACACTGGGCCCACTGTTGCTTGCCTGGCAATCAATCTAGCCTACAAATCTATGAAGTCTTACGTCCAGGTCAGGCCAGGCCCACAGCAGAAAAAGTGATCTAGTGGGTACCTAGGCAGGGCTGACCTGGGCCTTACCCCTCCAGTAGTCATCTAGCCCCAACACAGGCCCTAAGGCTGATTCCTCTGAGTGTACATGTGCTCATGTCTGAGCCTGTAGAAGCCTCCCTGTAAATGGGTACCAGACCAATAGTAAGTATATTCTGAGGTTTTCATCACAAGCCTTTGTTTGAAGTGTCTGCGAGAGTTATCTCATCAGCTTGGGAGACTTTGATTACAATTAGCCTCAAAAGGCTTCTGCAGGTTGCCTCTCTGCTTTGTACCCACCCCCAGCCCCTCAGCCAGGAACAGTGTCCCCTTTAGCAGCACTAAGCAGGCAAGGAACCCAGATATAGTGACTCCAACCACCAATGCAGGCTTGAAGATTCTGGTTCAATTTTAGTGAAAAATACAAGTGTTCACATTGAAAAATAGTTAAGATCCCAAAGGGAAGTGACAAGTGCGGAGTATTCTGAAACATTTATGAATGAAAAATGTTCTCCTAAACTCCCCTAGTTAAAAACCCAAGCCTCTCTAAGAGGTTAAACCACAGTCCTAAACCCATCAACACAATGGTCGGAGAACTGAGAAGCAACTTGATGGCTCGCCGCCTAGTGGCAGCGCAGGGTGACACACCAGCTCACTAAAATCTTCCCTTCCTTTGGGCTTTAGATAGAAACCACCTTTTCCTAAAGTTTCCAAATTCTCATTTAAAATAGCCTACTCTCAGCTACAACCAGCAAACCAAAGACATGAAAAGGTCAGATTTTGCTCCCAGTTTAGTGACAGTGCTGCCAGGCATCTCTGGAACAGGGCTCAGGGTCAGTGCAGCAGTCTTTCCAAAGGGCTGTGAGGGCTATATCAAAGATTTTTCGTCATTCCCAAGAAACAGGGTAAATTATGGAGGTGGCGACAGTGTCTATCTTGGCTCCATGTATTATCATCCCAAGTAGACAAAACCAAGTGAAATGGGTTGGCAGAAAATCAATTAGTTTTCTGAGACCTCTCTACCCCTGGCAATTTAATTAAAACTGGAAGTTGCTAACAAGAAGTTAAATCAAACTAGACTCAGAGCAGCAGAAGAAACCCTCACCACCATCACCACCACCATCACCACCAATTTATTTCCTTCCACTGGGCAGCAACTATGTTTCAGCCTGTGGATAGGCAAATGCCTTGAGCTCTCCAGCAGAGGCCCTATGCCTGGAGTCCAGGTGGGAGTGGGTGTGTGGCACCCTTATTGCTGGGCACATCCACGGGTGTCCAGAAGCCATTCCTATTCACTGATTCAGAATAAAAGGACACACTTGTTTATGCAATTAAAATAATTATGCTCCTTGAAGACTCAATTGAGGTTCTGATACAGGTGGCAGCGATCAGTGCTTGGTAACCTCTCCCATCTCTGTAGGAAATGGGGTTTTGTGACTCTCTCATGGTGATTCTACTTGCCCGGCTGATTACATTAGCTGAGCCACTTAAAGAAGGTAAAGTGTGCCACTTTGAGACTGTCCATCTTGAGAAATCAATTCAGGAGAACTACCTAGATACTGGAGCTCTTGGGCCTGTGGGGATCCTTTTGAGACCCACAGAGGAGGAAAAGAGACCAGCAGGCAGCCACTCTAAGCCAGGAAAGATAGGCTACTTCTAGAAGCCAGATCTTGGGAAGAGGCAACTCAAAGAATCCTCTCACACTAGAGTCACTCATCCTTTACAGCTGGGACAAGAAAGGGATAAGAGCAGCAGGCTAACTTGGAGTCATATTTAGACACAGAGCCACAATGAAACGTATCCCCTATACCAAGCATCTGAGGGCAACACCCTCTCTTTGGTGTGGTTGGGCTGAATGTCTTTGGTCTGCCTAAAATGAATGAGGTAGAAGGTAATGAAGGAGATGAAAAAGAAAGCAAATTACAGTTCCTCACACATTGTCTGCTCCTCAGTGACTGCTTACTGCATTGAATTAGGCAGATCAAGGCCACCAGAGGCATTCTGCTTCCTCCAAGAACAAAGGAAAAGATAAGTTGGGGGCTTGAACAAGGTCACCATCATCCACAGTGACTTAAAGGATGGGCCAATTCCATGGGACAACTCAGGCTGGTGAGAGAAGATGAGCAGAACCAGGAGAGACGACTTGGGGGACCAGAGTAGGGGACAGGAATGGGCTGGAAAAAAAACTGACCAGAAAAATGAACATGGATAGTTCTTGGACTCCCCAAGAGCAGCCCTCCAAAGCTGGCTTCCATAGGCTGCATGAAGTAAAATGAGCAAAGATTCACAGGTTGGACAGACCTGAGCTGGCATTTTTAGCTTTGTAACCCTGGGGTAGTCACTTACTCTCTCTGAACTCATTTGTCATTTCTCTTATACGAGTACTATGAGAATCAGCTTCCGTGTATGGAAGTTCAGACTGGAAGACTGTAACTCACCCTACAAAAGTGGGTTAACATTTGTGCAAAAAAGGGCTGCCATTGCAGTCCAAAGGTGCTATTTTCAGAAGGGTCTGTTTGCAGGGTTGGCCCTTGGCTGGCATCCGGGAACCTGGCTCCCAGGCAATAGTAAACTGATGGGGGTAGTCCACTGTGCCTATATTGTGCAAATAATATGATTTATGCTGAACATTTGCTTTCCTTTAGAAAACTTCATTATGTATTAAGCATCGAGTGTCTATGTGACCAGCTCCCAGTAAAAATCTTGGGTGCTGAGTCTCTAATGGGCTTTCCTGGGCAGAAATGTCACAAATAAGTTACTGCATTTTCACTGCTGTAATAAACCTTAGCTGTGAGTATCACTATATGCTAAGTCTAGCAAATCTCTGAATGTGGAGGTGGTCTTGGGGATCTTGATACAGGGTCAACATTATATACCTACACCCAGCATGAGCCCACAGAGATCCTTACCCACTTCAAGAAGGCCTGGCTTCCAGAAGCAAAGTAATTGATAGAAGACGGGACCTGGCCAGCAACCAAATAAAAAGCCCCGACCCCTAGAATGTGGAGCTAATAATACTTATTGAACTTATTGACAAAATAAGGAGAAATAACACTTATTGAAAGCCCACTGGAAGTCAGTCACTGTGCTAGGTACTCACTCTATTCATTTCCTCTTCATCACCATGGTATTATTTATTATCCTCATTTTTTAGATGAAGAAATTTGGCCACAGTGAGACTGAGTAACCAGCCTGAGATCACAAAGCTGGCCAGAGAAGGAAGTGACATTCTGGCCCAAGGCTGGCTGCAGACACTGCAGAGCCCTCTCTCTTCTCAGCACCCATACTGCCTGCCTAGCTGCCACTTCCTCAGCCTGTCAGGCTGCTTGGCTGACCCTAGGCTTCATCTGTCAAGCAAATCATGAACAGTTTTCTGCAGAACTAGAGTAGGAAGAGAAACAGCACATTTTAGACCAAATGATCCTTACTGTGTATATTTTTCAAAGCACCATAACACAATCATTTCATTTGACCCTCATCACAATCATGTGCTAGGCTGCCTGGCAAATGTCCTCCTTTATCGGACAGGGAAAACAAGGCCAGCAATAGCCAGGTGGTTAAGACTAGGGCAGGACTCAAGCCAAGAGTCCTGACTATGTACCTGGCACATAGGAGGAGGTCAGCAAATGCCTGCTGGATGGCTGAATGATAAGTATAAAAGTGGGTTCAACAGCAAACCAGAGGTTCATTTTCTGAATCTTCATCTTTAAAATCATTTATCTTTAGAAATATCTGCATAGACAGTACTGACCAGTCAACAAAGAACTCCAAGTAGCCTTCATTTGGTTTCTCCAGCTTCGGCGTCCCCATTTCTGCTTTCACTCCCACCAAGATGTCTGTGTGACCCTGCAGACACATGCAAGAAGAGTCCTCACTCAGAGTATGCAGCCAGGTACTCCACCACCTCCCTCCTCTTCTGGACATACACCCCTGGGGGACTCTTTTAGGAGCAGTGCTAAGACTTGGAAAGTGGTCTTTGGAGGAGGTGAGCAGTCTTTTCAGATCTGGATAGACCCCCCCTCCCTGAGTTTGGCTCGGATCTTCGATTTCCCCAAGAGCAATTTGCATTCCAAAAGCCAGACAGCGTCAGCAGCTCATTCCTTAGGGCCTACTCATTTCTCCACCTGGGCTTGAACCATGGTCACAGTACTCACCAGCTTGACCCTGGCGGACCCACTAGTGTTGGACACCACATCAGTTTCCACTTCGACACATCGGTAGTCCTCACAGCCACGGCCATCCACACGGAGGTCTTCCTAGGTGTTAACAACCACAGTCCTATAGTCACCCCAGATCAACAATAACTCCTAAACGGACTCACCCATTTTCCCCCTAGAGAAGATATATGCAGAATATCTCTTTTCCTCTTAGTGGATCATCTAAAATTCTGTCCTTGTAGCTAACAACAACATTACTATTTTACATATGAGGAAATGGAGACTCAGAGAAGTTGAGCGACTTGTCCAAGGTCCTACAGCTAGTGAAAACAAAGCTAGTTTTCCATGCCAGTTGTGTCTGATTGCAAAATCTATACTACATACCACTATATAGAATATGCACACAAAAACAAGATCTGAACAAGAGACAAAATAAGCCACCTCTCTCTAAATCTGCAATTCTTAAATTGCACCAAGAAGTATATGTTGTCAGAGCTACAGAGTACAATCATCTCAACTGAAGCCCTCCTACCCCTAAAACTCAACAAGATCTACTGTGTAAATAGTGAAAGACACCTAATCTTCTAAAGAGGCAGTCTCTAGAACAGGGTCAACAAACTAAGGTCCCTTGTTTTTGTAAATAAGTTTTACTGGAACATAGCCATGCCCACTTGTTTAGGTAATGTCTATGATTGTTTCTGCACTACAAAAGCAGAGCTGAGTGGTTGGGCCAGAGATATGACCCATAAGGCCCCAAATCTTTACTATCCAGTCCTTTACAGGAAGTTTGCTGACTCTTTTGGCAGAAGATGGTTTTCAGGGTGGTCTACGCGCTGCCTGTTCCTTCTGCCCATTTATTTACTCCTTCAATTACTTGTATCAGTACAACTCATTGGTATCTTTTATGCTATGGTTATAATCCACTACTATCATTAGTTATTTTGCTGCTCAAAGTGTTCCAAATTTGGCCACTGGGGGCTTCTTTGGGTTAGTTTTTGTGCTCTTTCAACATGCCTCCAACTTTTTGAGTAATTATCTACTTTCTGCAACACAAGATATCTATCCTCTTGTGTCTTCTCTGCCCAGCCCTAGGGATCAAGCCTTTCTCCAAGGAGCCCTGGTTGCTTTTATTGGGGAATGGTACTTAAAACCAGGAACTAGGCTCTAAGTTCATTGCTGTTGGAGTATTATTTCTTCCAGAACTTCTCAGCAGACAGAGCTAGAAAATACAGTTATGTATACTAACCACCCCCACCACACACACACAAATCTGTTTAATTCTGTATCTATCTACATATCTATTAAAAAGCCAAGAGTTCATACTGATAGATCAATTCCAATCTAACATCACATGGTTCATTCTAACCTTCCTCTGTTTCTTATTTGTAACTTCTTTCTCAAAGAAGGAGAAAGCTGGCTCTTATTATCTAACATGTATTTCTGTATTTGTTCAATCTTAGTATACACAGTTTCTGAACTTCTAACCCATACCCCTGTGAGAAACAAATTTACTAATAGCACACAGTATTTGTGTAAAGTTCTGTCTTTAGCCTCAGAGTATCCAGGCAAAATACTGTTTTCCAGTTACTTCAGTTCTTTTCTTCTACGTGCCCTTCAGTGTGGTTACATTACTCACTTGTAACACAGGCTCATTTGTAACTTGTAACTTTTTTTTTAGACTATGGCTCTGTCGCCCAGGCTGGAGTGCAGTGTGGCACAGCTCACTGCAACCTCCGCCACCTGCGTTCAAGCGCTTCTCCCGCCTCAGCCTCTGAAGTAGCTGGAATTACAGGCACATCACCATGCCTGGCTAATTTTCATTTGTAAATTTTTGTTTTCCATTTTGGGTTCCCCCACATCATGGTTACTTTTAATTACTTATTTACTTTCTGAGTTTGTGAGCTATCACTATAGTTCTGAGAGAAAACTCAGAAAAGTATGCTCAGAGAAATGTCACTCTCCTCCGTATTATGCTATTTTCATGCCCCTTTCTTCCCATTCACCCTAGGTTTCTCTTCAGTTTCAGGTTTATCTTTCTTGTATTTTCTCTGCACAAATAAGCAAATACATGAATTTTTTAATATCTCCTTGTTTCTTATATGAAGGGTGGAATACTATAGATACTCTTACTTTTTTTTTTTTTTTTAACACTTAACTATATATATGCAGGAAATCATTCCACGTTGGCTCATGGAGCTCCTTCTCATTCTTTGTAAACATTTTTCAAAAGCAGTTTTTTTCAGAAAAAGAATCATTAGCTTAATCAGATTCTCCAAGGAGTTGATGCTTCCCAGAAACATAAAAAATAAAATAAAACACTGCTCTAAAGTATGTGACTGACAGTTTATCTTTAAACTGCCTGGCTAACTGCATATGTGACTGACTTTTTTGAGAAATTAAACAGAAAAAAGCAAAACACTGCAGCACCACACAGTACCAATGATCACCCTCTGCCATACTTGCTTCAGGTCTTTCACCCGTTTAACTTTTCAATGACAGAAAATAAACATCACAAATCAGGTGGAAGGTCCTGTGCAGCCCATCCTTCCCCCAGCACCTTTCCTCCCTGGAAGATATTGAGAGGTGACAGCGTGCTGGCAGCCCTCACAGCCCTCGCTTGCTCTCGGCACCTCCTCTGCCTGGGCTCCCACTTTGGCAGCACTTGAGGAGCCCTTCAGCCCGCCGCTGCACTGCGGGAGCCCCTTTCTGGGCTGGCCAAGGTGGGAGCCGGCTCCCTCAGCTTGCTGGGAGGTGTGGAGGGAGAGGCGTGGGTGGGAACCAGGGCTGCGGGCAGTGCTTGCGGGCCAGCGCGAGTTCTGGGTGGGCATGGGCTCAGCGGGTGGGTGTGGGCTAGGCGGGCCCCATACTCTGGAGCAGCCAGCTGGCCCCAGGCAGTGAGGGGCTTAGCACCTGGGCCAGCAGCTGCTGTGCTCAATTTCTTGCTGGGCCTTAGCTGCCTTCCCACGGGGCAGGGCTCCGGATCTGCAGCCTGCCATGCGGGAGCCTCCCCGCCCTCCCACCCCCACCCATGGGTGCTCCTGTGTGGCCCCAACCTCCCCAAGGAGCGCTGCCCCCTGCTCCACGGCGCCCAGTCCCATCGACCACCCAAGGGCTGAGGAATGCGGGTGCATGGCAGGGGACTGGCAGGCAGCTCCACCTGCGGCCCCAGTGCAGGATCCACTGGTTGAAGCCAGCCGGGCTCCTGAGTCTGATGGGGACTTGGAGAACCTCTATGTCTAGCTAAGAGATTGTAAATACACCAATCAGCACTCTGTATCTAGCTACTCTGGTGGGGACTTGGAGAACCTTTGTGTCTACACTCTGTATCTAGCTAATCTACTGGGGAGGTGGAGAACCTTTGTGTCTAGCTCAGGGATTGTAAACGCACCAATCAGCACCCTGTCTAACAGACCACTCGGCTCTCTGTAAAATGGACCAATCAGCAGAATGTGGGTGGGGCCAGATAAGAGAATAAAAGCAAGCTGCCAGAGCCAGCAGTGGCAACCCGCTTGGGTCCCCTTCCACACTGTGGAAGCTTTGTTCTTTCGCTCTTTGCAATAAATCTTGCTACTGCTCACTCTTTGGGTCCACACTGCCTTTATGAGCTGTAACACTCACCGCGAAGGTCTGCAGCTTCACTCCTGAAGCCAGCGAGACCACGAACCCACCTCGGGAGGAATGAACAACTCCAGGTGTGCCGCCTTAAGAGCTGTAACACTCACCATGAAGGTCTGCAGCTTCACTCCTGAGCCAGCGAGACCACGAACCCACCAGAAGGAAGAAACTCCGAGCACATCTGAACATCAGAAGGAACAACTCCGGACACGCCGCCTTTAAGAACTGTAACACTCACCGCGAGGGTCTGCAGCTTCATTCTTGAAATCAGTGAGACCAAGAACCCACCAATTCCAGACACAATATCCCTATCTTGAGTCTGGAGATGGATTCAAAAAGCAACAGAATTTCAAGTCTAAGAGAGTAAGCCTTTAGGATAGAACTCCAGAAGGTGATCCCTCTTCACTGGAAGACCCATAACTATGTAACTGTGTCTCTTCCCAACCTCACCCATAGAACCTGAAGGCTTTCTAGCTCAATCTCTAACACTCCAGCCCTCTCCACCTCCATGTGCCCCACTCCCCAGCTAGGAAAGTGAATACCCAGCCCAGAAAGGTTATTGACAAGAAGTTCTTTGTGGGGTGTAAATATGGTGTAAGTATGAACAATCATTAGGAACATGACTCATGGTTCCAGGCCAGCTCCTGGCACTAACTAGCCACTTGACTTAGGACAAGCCCCTTCCCTCTCTGGATTAGTTTCCTCATTTGTAAAAGATGGAGATTAAATTAGTCTCAAAGTGATTCTCTAATTCTACAGATCTATAAATTAAAATGGCTGTAATTATTTGCAATAAATAATAGCAGCTGCTATTTACTGTGCATTTACTATATACCAGATAATGTGCAAGGAATACTGCAGTTAATGCATTTAATCTTTTCAATAATCCTATACGATAGTGTTATTCATTCCATTTTACAAATGAGAAAACTGAGGTTAAAAGATGTCAAATGAATGGCCCAAGTTCAGACAGCCAGTAAGTAGCACTTAAGCCTCAAGTCAGAGCTCTTAACCGCTATGCTACACAGTCCACTGCATTCTAAAGGATGTCTTCACTTTACAAAAGGACTCAGCAGAGACCTCCTTCACAGGATGAACTGGCTGGCCACAAGGTCACAGGGTTTACTACTGCTGCTTCTTCCTTTTTTTTTTTTTTTGAGACAGGATCTCACTCTGTCACCCAGGCTGTAGTGCAGTGGTGATCACTGCAGCCTCAAACTCCTAGGCTCAAGCAATCCTTCTACCTCAGCCTCCTGAGTAGCTAGGACTACAGGCACATGTCAACATGCCCAGCTAATTTTTATTTTTTACTTTTTGTAGAGATGGGGTCTTGCTATGTTGCCCAAGTTGGTCTCAAACTCCTGGCCTCAAGTGACCCTCCTGCCTTAGCCTCCCAAAGTGCTGGGATTACAGGCATGCGCCACCACATCTGGTCCAACTACTGCTTCTAAAATATCACTTGCTCTGAAAGATTAGTCACACCTCTTTGTAGTGAAAATGTACTTGGTCCAGGAAGGGGCTGGTGGGCTGTCAGAAAACTGAGCCTCATCAGATACTGCTTTTCCAGCCTTTAATTCACTCTCTGCCTCCTGGAGAAAGGCTCAGGTGATAAGTAAAAGATAAATGAAAAGCTACAAATTTTCCTTTCCAAGCATGCATAATTTTTTTCCATATAAAAAAAGGATAGGAGGAAAACAAACCAAAAAAACCAACCTAACCAGTCCATGAATCACTGTACCCAGGGCAACTTTTTTTTTTAAACCCAGTTTTCCTTATAAAAGGCTTAGGAAATTGTCCAAACCTGCCTGGCCTAGCTCAGGGCCTGGTGCCCTACCACAGTTTTTATTTATCTGCAGCAGTCACGAGCAAAGGAATTAATCCATGTGTGAACACTTAAATAGGAGTTACCCTGAAGTAAAAGCTCCATTTTAAAACTCAAGAGATGTCAACAGCATGGAGTGGTGTCCCCTCCTTCTCAGCAGAGGAGACTGATGTGCCTCTAGATCAAGGGCTTCTGGATGCCAGGAAAGCTCTTGGTGACTTTCACAGCTGTTACCCATGTGATCACAACAACCCTACCAGTAGGGTGTGGTGTGGTGGAAACAGCCACCTTCCAAATTATACTTAAATCTCTGTTGTCACATGCCAGTTTTGTGACCTTGACCTAAATAGCTCTAAGCCTGTTTCTTCATCTAGAAAGCAGGGATAACCCCGACCTTACAGAGTTACAAGAGAACAGAAACGTCATAAAGCATTTAAAGGAGTCCTTCAGTGTAACACATAGGAGTCCCCCCAAAGCAGTTCCCTTCCCCTGCTTCTGGGGGCATGCATTAACTCACTGCATCCTCAAAAACAACCCTGAGAGAGGTTACAGATAAGAATGGAGGCACCTAAGTTTCAATCTCCTGTTTGTGACAGAGTGGAAGGACATTTAAGCACAGACCTACTTTCCCTCACACCCAGGAAGCCCAGTCCTATTACTTCTTAATAGAAACTGACAAGTTGGCGCTACCAATCTGACACATCTGGAAGGACTTTAGACTCAAAGTGGTCCTCTGAGGTTATGTTAACCCCTCATTAACTTGCTTTGACTTGTCTAATACTCCAGATTCCTAAAGGAGAAGTGAGACTAAATTCCTTCCCCTACTAGAAGGTGACTGCCCCCCGCCCTTAGGAAAGGGGCCACATTTGGTCCAGCTTTGCAGGCTCGGGCCCATCACACAGCAGGCAAAAGTAGGTGTTGATCCTTGTTTGACTTTCCAACCCTGTTGAGTAGCCAGGCATTCCTCTGAAAGGATATGGCTCCATAACTCTGCATCCTGCAGTGTCTGGGCATAAGGCTTTCTGTGCCATGGGTCTGTAAACAGAAAGGGCAGAGAGCTAAAAATCAAGAGTCCTGAGGGCTGGCTCCAATTCTGTCATGGCCAGACTGAGCAACCGAATACTGACTGCTCAATCTCATAGTTGAAAACCAGGCTGAGGCCCTGATCTCCCTCTTCCATGCTATACCCCTAAACAATGCTTATGATGAAAGCAAGATCCACAGAAAAGAAATGGAAGCCATCAGCTGGGCTACAACTCCCTTCAACAGCCAAGAACATACAATAAAATGGCTTTCACAGGGTTCCAAGAGCCCTGTGGTAGGGTTCGTCAATTGCCATGGCCAGGTCTGAACCTATGAGGGCCAGTTTAATGTCCAGGTCATAGCCATAGCACTCAGTAGGCTGAACCTGGGAAAGCTTTATTGTGCCTAAAGCCCTGTAAAGGCCACATAACAGTCACCATCCATCCCCAACAGCCAGGACCAGGGGTAGGTGCCTGAACCAAAGGCATATAATCCAAAGGGTGACCAACTCTTTTTGGCGTGAAATACTACCAGACCAAACTGATTCTCTCATTGCAATCTGGTCTCTGATCTGAGAAACACTTGAGAGAAGAAAGGAGTTAAAGAGGAGCTGACAGGTCATGATATGGAGGAGCCCAGAGAGGCCACACGAAAGTAAAGGTATTGGGCAGAGGCAGATTCTACAAAGAAGGGAAGCTGGACAGCAAGTGGCTGCAGAGAAGGGATAAATCTTGGCAGAGAAAAGCAGAGATGTCACTAGAGATAAAGACAGACAGCCACACAGGCCATGAGATAATCCACGGAGCCCATGAGAGGCGGTACCTCAGAGCTGTCTGGGGACTTTCCAGCTCTTGCCACAGATCCCCCTTCTCTTTTTTCTTTTTCTTTCTTTTAAGAGACAGAGTATCTCTCTGTCACCCAGGCTGGAGTGAAATCTCCAACTCCTGGGCTCAAGCGATCCTCTGGCCTCAGCCTCCCAAGCAGCTAGGCCTACAGGCACACACCACCACACACCTAATTTTTTTTAGAGATAGGGTGTTGCTATGTTGCCCAGACTGGATGCCAACTCCTGGCCTCTGGTGATCCTCCCACCTCAGCCTCCCAAAGGGCTGGGATTACAGGTGTGAGCCACTGCACCTGGCCTATCCCTTTTCTTGAGATAATTGAAAAATCCCGATTCCTTCAAATCAAAAGAGGTTTAATTCTCAGGAGCCACAGGCTGAATCTTTAATGAGGTCACTATGAAGGCTGGGGATCTAGTGTGGATGGTTTAAGACAAAGTCACACTTCTGATGGAAAAACAAACTTGAAAGGGAGCCAGCATTTTTTCTGTGTTAACCACAGCCCAAGTGCTTGACATCTCTTATCTCATCATTCCTCATAACCCCATTCTACTTCCAGGTGCATAAGTCCCCATTTTACACAAGGGAAGCAGGTTCAGTTATGCAAGTAAAACCACTTATTGTAAATGGTGAAGGTGCCTGCTCAGTCTGACTCCAAAGCCTCATTCAAAAAGAGGCAGGAAACCATATGACTTCAGCAGGAGAGAGCAGAGATTTCTTTATCTCTGGTCAGTGGCTTACCCATGGGCCAATGTCTGGTGGCTGCCCCCAAATTTCCCAACACTTTATGATAATGTCCATTCTCAGGCCCCAGCCCCAGAGAGTCTGATTCAGAATGTTGGGGTAAAGCCTCAGAATCTGTATTTTGTAGGTGAGTAAAATGCACTTCAAGGCTTCAGAATCCCTGGGCTAAGAGGGAGGTTAGCAATGGCTTCTCATGGATGAGGAAAACACACATCTAGCCCAGTAAGCCAGAAAAGAGGATAAATCCTAGATTCTAAAAATTCTGAAGTCTGCTCCAAGTTCTGCATGGTATGGGCAGAGTAAATCGTTTATGATACTAGTAAGACAAAAGCTATACAAAGAAATGCAATATAGGGTTCTAAAGGAACTTATACTCAATGTGGGAAAAATGCAACCAAAACAATACAGCAGTATATGCCATATACTATTTAAGCTCTAGAAAAACTGGGGAGTGGGAGGTGTCAATTAGAACTTTCTCTTTCCCTTCCAGTTTCCCCACAAGCTTTTAGAGAAAGGGGGAAAGAAAAGGAGGTAGAGGAAGCAAAGATTCTCTCCTGCCTTGATCTCTGGATCCCTACTGAGGAAATGGAAGAAATGACTTTCACTGCAGCAGGAAGGTGGCCTCAGAGTCAAGTATGGGCTTTGCAATCAGACAGGTCTGGATTTAAATCCCAGTGCCACCACTCAATTACTGTGTCACCTTGACAAGCGACTCAACCTGCCCGAGCTCAGTTCCTCATCTATAGAGATAACATTTACCTTCAGAACTGTTGTAAATATTCAATGAAATAAAAATTATAATATGTACCTAATAAGAATGGGATATAGCCTTCAAAGACTGAAAGAGAACCTAACAGAAACCAATCAAATTATTTATCAAAATACCGATTTAATCCACCTTTTTGATTCTCTGTTCTCCCCTGGGAGAGGGGATCTGTTCACCAGGTTGACTCAAATTGTATCACCTAGACTCCCTTTGCTGGCTTCTGGTTGGGTTTGTCCAGTGGAAGATACCAGATCAGAGGGTGCCCCTCACCCCCAATCTAGTGGCCACATTTCTGATAGTGCCTGCATCTATCGAAGACTATGACTTATGTTGGGCAGCCCTTCCTCCACAGTTCCAGCTATCACTGAAATGTGGTAATACTGTTTCCTCCCCTGGCCCCTTTGGAATAGGGGCAGTAGCCACTCCCAGTAGTTGTCTTGGGGCTCCTCAACATCTCTTATTGGTTCCCTGAAACCCCCCCCATACTGCTCTAGAGTCCCATCATAAAAGTCTCCTGAACTACCTGAAGAGGGTTCCATTTTCTGCCAATAACTAAAATGATCCACCCTCCCTTCTCACAAACTGACTTCTCCCAAGTGTGACACATCCTCTAGTGGCCATGTTTGAGCCTAATTATTCTGTCCATCCTTTCCCTCAACCCCCTAAAAGAACTAGAGTTTCTTTCTCTTGGAAACATGAGTTCAGAACTGAACGAGAAGGAATGGTCTCTTTTACAGAGGAACTGGGAAGGAACCACATTTTTTCTACCACTGGCCCAAGAAATAGAAAACCAATCTGTAGGGAGACAAAAACAAAGCAAAGAGGGGGAAAAAAAAAACCAGCAGAGATTAGGATTCCTGGAGAAACACTTGCAGCCTTGTAATCCATACTGTTTTGCTTGAGCCGATGTGTTGGTTACCATTACTAGCAACTGAATCCTCAACACATCGTGAGGTTAATTTCAACTGCTTCTAACTATCACCAAAACAAGATGAAATATTCCCTGAAATAGTAAAAGAACCAAAGGCTGAAGGGAAAGTGACATCAGAAGCTGAAATGGACGTTACTGGACCAAAGGTGAAAAGTAAAACACAAAATGACTAGGACTATACAAGCAACAGGAGTTCAGGCAGGCACTGCTTAAGGTGCACTGCCGGCACTCTATAACCAACGCAACAAAAGTTTAGGAGATTTCAGAACTGAATCAGTTGAGATTCCATGGTAGGCTCATTCACCTGCATCCTGACCTTTATTTGGATGGTGTAAATTGTGTTTTGCTCCTCTATACATATGGCATATTTTGGGCCAACATTAATAAGCCCTTATGAAGACGTTGATTTGAAGCCCATTACTCTGCATGGCTCTGTGATACACAGAGCTGAGCATTTACCAACAACTGTGCCCAAATATGTCCATGGTACTGGTGAGAGGGAGGTTTAATTTAAAAAATAAAAACACCATCCAACTCATTCCCCCTTTAAAGCTTACATCACCCATTCAATGCTACTAAGAACCTACCAAGTGCTAGACACTGGCTATGCCTTAAGGGTCCCCCATACAGACAAGTCAACAGGCTATTGCCTTCCAAGATCCATGATGAGCGAATGACTGAACCTCTAAGACCTCTAGGATCGTGCTTCTGGCCACCTCTGCAAGCTGATCTTCCACCATTTCCCCCAGCCCACCCCTTGGGCTCCACATGTCCTCCACCTGAGGATTTACAGACTCACCACCCCTTCCTTCTGGAACACTGGTGCCTACTTAATTCTCAGTCATGCTGAGAACTCAGTTCAAATGCTATTTCCTTAGGGAAGCCTCCTCTGACCTCCCAGTCTAGATCGTGTCCGTTTTTTCCTTCATAGCATTCAGTACAATTTTATATATAAACACTCAAGTACATTTATAGTTTCTGCATCTTCCTTCTAGCATGAGAGCTATATAAGGACAGGTTCCTTCCTAGCCCCTGAGTCTAGCTCAGTTCTGTGTTGAATGAATGAATACTGAGTCCTGAAGATACAGAGGAGGAATCCTTGACATGGATTTAGGGGAGCAATTCCACCTCCTTAGGGAAGCCTTCAGAGCATTACAAGTCCCTGGAATTCTTTTTATTTATTAAAAAAAAATTATTTCTTTAGAGATGGGCTCTCACTGTGTTGCCCAAGCTGGTCTCAAACTCCTAGGCTCAAGCAATCCTCCCATCTCAGCCTTTCAAAGTGCTGGGATTACAGGCGTGAGCCACAATGCCCGGCCCCTGGTATACTTTAACTTCAACCTCCACTAACTATACCACTTCCTTGGCATAGATCTTACATTACCTTTGTTTTTATTTTATTCACTTTTACTCTCTGTTTGTCTCCCTCCTATCTTTCATTTATTTCACAACCATGTTTTGGCATCCCTGCTGTTTCCCACATAACATGCCAGGAGCTAGATATATGTTGGTAAATAAAATTAACTAATGACCATGGTGGGACTCTGCTGCTGGATAGCTAATGAACTGCCGTGGGAATTAAGGGTGCTGGGGAGAAAGCTCTAACCTTGAGGTTACAGATATATCCATGCCTCAGTGCCACTTTCAGGGATGAAATGTTGAGAGAAAATAGGACACATGACAGAGTCACTACATCATGGTAAGCTCCGGTAACAAAGAAGACCAAAGGTTTTTAAATTTAGAGGAAAACGGTTATCCGTAATGTGTCCCTAAAAAAATACTTTGAGGATAAAAATCACCTGAACAAAGTGTATACAAAAATATAGCAGGGAAAGACATATCTAACTGCTTTTGGGCATTTTTATGCCCCCTCACACACAAATAACATACATGTTACCCTGTAATACACACATATGTCCCACTGTTGTTAATCCTGAATTATAACTAAAATATGCAACTGTGAGTTCTGACTTTATTATCCAGGCATAATATGCTAAATATTGGCATTTCTTCATATATAAAGGGCCCAGAAGATAACGGCAGGTCACGATTTTTAAATGGACATGTCCTTAACTCACGTTGTGGGACTTCAATGATAGCTGGCCGCTTCAATCCGATGGCTACATCACGGGACCACTGACTTTGCAGTTGGTACTGACAGAGGAAAGGCATGAGGAAAAGAGGTAGGAGCTGTCGCCAGAACTCTGCCAAGGATGGGATGAAGAACTCTGATAGGAGGACCACACCGTAGGTTAACAAGTGGAGACACAGCCGGAGGAGGATACAGGGTAGCTCGTTACCAGGTCCAACATTTTTCAACCCTCGTTCTGGAGTGGTCATAACCAGGGATTTAATATAGAACACAGAGGACATTAGGTTATAGCTGCCTAGGGATCTTAGTTCTTCATTGGCAAAATGGAAACAGCACTTAGGCTATCGGCTGCCTAGCCGCTTTTTTTTTGAGACTCGGCTCACTGCAACCTCCGCCTCCCGGGTTCAAGCGATTCTCCTGCCTCAGTCTCCCGAGTAGCTGGGACTACAGGCGTGCGCCACCACGCCCAGCTAAATTTTTTTGTATTTTTAGCAGAGACGGGGTTTCACCATGTTGGTCAGGACGGTCTCTTGACCTCGTGATCCGCCCGCCTCGGCCTCCCAAAGTGCTGGGATTACAGGCGTCCTAGCCGCTTTTTAAAAACCCTTCCCCCTTTATTTGTACGGCAATTTGTATTTTCAAAGTGCGTTCACCTCGCATGCGCCCTCCTAACCACGAGGTGAGGAAAAGCAGGCCAGAAGCCCACCTCCAAACTCCCATTTCCTCGAAGAGAAAACTGAGGCTCGGACAAGATCTGTGCGCGAACGCCGAATGGATGGCCCTGGGGCCGATGCTCTCTCACTAAGAAAAGGCCTCCGAGACTGCCCAAGCTTCCTGCCCGGGTTCGGAATCTTATAGACCCGCAAAACTGCAAATGCGCTAACAGTCCTAAAAACGTCCACGTTGCCAGCTCTGAATTGCAAACGCCGGCAGCAGAACCGTTTAATCACAAGGTAAACGGAGAGTCGCCGCAGCTCGGCTGCCTCCTCACTGGCAAACCCAGGGCAGGCCGCGACCCGCAGGGCCAGGCTGAACCCGGCGGCCGACCCAACGCCGCTGCTGTAGCTACCTGGACGCCATGCACGATGTACACCTTCTCCGCCTCGCTCAGCGTCACGGACGCCATGCTGCCGAGCTGCCCCACGAGCCGCACGTCATCTGCGCGCGTCCCCTCCTCTGGACCGCGCCCCCACGTCCCACCCCCCCCCGCCCCGCGTCAGCGCGTCATCAACCTGCGCGGCGGCCGCTCCTGCAGCCGCGGCCGCCGCCACTGCCGGGAGAGCTCGATGGGCTTCTCCTGCGCGCCGCCCGGTGTCTGGCCGAGTCCAGAGAGCCGCGGCGCCTCGTTCCGAGGAGCCATCGCCGAAGCCCGAGGCCGGGTCCCGGGTTGGGGACTGCAGGGGAAGGCAGCGGCGGCGGCGGCGGGAGCCCCACCGGGGTCTGGGACTGGGGAACTGCCTCCGGCTTCACGGTCAGTTGGGAAGGGAAACTGGGGTAGGGGTGAAGAAGCTGGGGTGAGGCGAGCCTCACGGGCCGGGGGACTCCCAGTGGGAGAGGCGTGCGGCGTAGTTGCTCAGAGCTGGAGTTGACTTAGGAGCGTGTGTGTGTGTGTGTGTGTGTGTGTGTGTGTGAGAGAGAGAGAGAGAGAGAGAGAGACCCCGACTAAGGAGGGGCGGACGTCGTGATTGGCCCGGGGGTGCTGTTTCCCTGCTCTTCTCCCCTCCATTTCTCTAGTCCCTAGGATGGCTGGAGAGGCGATGCAGCCCTCCCTAGGTAGTTCTTGGTGGGAAGGGTCCGGGAATGGGGGACACTAGTCCTAAGGCGTCCCCACCCCTCCACCCAGGAATATCTCTCGCTGGCTCGCTCACTCTCTGTGACCGAACGCTGTCCCATTACCTTGCTGGGACCTCTTGCCTCGGGTGCTTACCAGAGCGTTGTCCCACAGACGGGGGAGGAGGCGCTTGGTAACCGGCACTGGCGAGGTGCGCAGTGCCCGGACGTCCCCAACGCTTCCTAGCGGGAACTGGAAACCCCGGCTTGATGGAAGTGATTACTGGGAGCTGTGAGCAGTTGCCCGAAAAAAAGCCAACCCCAACCCCTTGCGATGGCCGAGTGGGAGTATGGGCATTGGATACCCGGAGAGGATATCTGCAAGGTGAAGCTGGGGTCACCAAAGGAACTCATTAAGGCGGGGCTGACAAAGTATGGTGCAAGTTTTAAAGGAGCCGTGTGGATAAATGGGAGAAAGTTAACCCAAATTAGTTGAAGCAAGGAGGGCAGGTTAAAGCAATTCTGATGACTTTCCTGATGTTCCATTTTTGAGGACCCTCAGCCAAAAAAAAAAAAAAATGGTATTTATCAGATAGTGGGTTCAAATACAGTTTCAGATAACTATTGGGAGCCTACTATAGATAGGCTTTGTGCTACCTTTAGAACACAAGACAAGTAAAACATACTATGCCCAGAGAAGTTCCCTGGGCAGATGAAGGCTCCAGGGCCAACATAACCACAGATCATGGTGGTTAGAGCTATGATGGTCGCATCAGTGGGCACAGTGGGATTGGGAGGTCGTCTGATAAGGTTATAGAGAGGAAGTGCTTGCTCACATTCTTAAGCATTAAACTGCTGAGCTCCAAAATTGATGATCAGTTCTTCGTAGACTGGACATTAGATGTTTCTTATGTCTCTACGTAATTCTCCACAGGGGCACCTAAAAGGAAGACAGCTTGCAGGGTTGGACTTTGCCTTCCAGGGAAACTGAAAGAGGTGAAGCCGGAAGGATTTCCTCCCTAATGAAGGCACAGGTGCCCCACCTGTTGTGGCACTTAGATGTGTTTGTGTGTGGTTGGACGGCTGGGTTTTATGTGAGGAGCTCTGTTGTGATAAGATAACATGAGATTGCTGATGTTATAAATGATATTTTCTAGATGTGCTAGAGATTGCTCAGAAAGGAGAGACCCTGGAAGTGGGATTTTAGAAGCTAGGATATCTGAGGAGACTGAGGATTTAAGAGGTGACAGCAAATGGACAGATCAGAAAGACACAGGAAGAAAAGCCTGAGTTCAGATACCATGGAGTTATCTTTATATAAAGATTTTCCAATGTCTTAAAATATAGAACATGTATTTGAACTGTCCCCCCCTCACAATTGACGGGAATTCCATACTGGACAAGGGTCTGCAGTATTTGCTAAATAATGTTATGAACGATGTCTTATATATTAGGCTAAGTAGGTAAGAGAGATGTAAACAGTAGAATGTTCCTTTTTAAATTGTCTACTAAAACAATGACAGTCTTCACTAATCATTCGGCTTAAATGCTGCCAGAACATTTTTATCACCTTTGCTGTAATAGTGCATTGGACGTCTTTAAAATCCATAAATTCTGAGTTCTTTTTTAGTGTATTGAAGTAATTCAAAGAACATATGATAACCAAAAAAATCAAGAAGTCAAGGATGGCACAGTATTAAACCGTCTTGTTTTTCCATCACTATTAGATTCATTTATTGAATGAATAAATGAATTGGGGCATACTATTCTGTAGGTTTGTGTATTCTAAAACCTTATACTCTAATTTTCAACACTAATTTACATAGTGCTTATTGTATGCCAAGCATTGTTCTAAGCACTTTATAAAGATTAACCAGGCTAGGTGCGGTGGCTGACATCTGTAATCCCAGCACTTTGGGAGGCCGAGGCCGGTGGATCACCTGAGGTTGGGAGTTTGAGACCAGCCTGACCAACATGGAGAAACCCCATCTTTACTAAAAATACAAAATCAGCCGGGCATGGTGGCGCATGCCTGCAATCCCAGCTACTCGGGAGGCTGAGGCAGGAGAATCGCTTGAACCCAGGAGGCGGAGGTTTTAGTGAGCTGAGATCACGCCATTGCACTCCAGCCTGGGCAACAAGAGCGAAACTCCATCTCAAAAAAAAATAAAAATAAAAAATAACTGATTCAATCCTTGCAACAGCCCTGTGATGCAAGTATTCTTATCCCTATTTTACAGATTGGGAAATGAGGCACAGAGAGGTTAAATGCCTTAACCAGGGTCACAGGTTACATCATTGGTAAATGGCAGAACCAGGACTTGAGACCAGGCAGTCTAGCTCTCCTGCCCATACTCCTAACCATCACCTTACACAGCCTCCCCCCAGGTTTTATTACATTCACCAGATTATTTGGTGAAGGAAATCCCAATTTTGTTATGGCGTTGGTAACTGTCCTATGAACTATATAGTTAATCTTAATTCCAAAAGCAAGAAGTCTGTTCAAGCATAAACTCATATCCCTTGAATCATTTTTCTAGAGGAACATGGAATGTGGTGCTGATGGGATGTTGCTGTGTCTGTTGCAACCCAATATTTTAAACAAGGTAAAAGGTTATATATGAGCAGAATAAGAGCTTAACTCCAAGTAGCTAAGGAGAGAGCCCTCAATGGCAAAGATGGCTGATAGATCTGGTACTAGGGTTGAGTAGCATGCATGGAGACCCAGATTCCAACCGTATGCCATACTCAGATATCTAGAAACTCCAGACAGTGTGTTTGCATGCCTGTGAGTCCCTGGTGTTCTTATGGGCATAAAGAGATAAACTCAAAACACAACACCTGCCTAAAAGTAGTTTAGAATTTATTATAGTGGGGGAGCCCAGGACCTCGAACTACTGCATGAACAAGACAATAAAATAAAGTGCTCAATTGAGACGTGGCAATTAGAAGAGAGGCCAGCCTATAATAAGGTGCTAATTGTGCAGGCCAGGTATCAAATACAAAAGGTAAAGAGCTGCTGCTAGCCACAAGCCGGCAACAATAACATGACAGAGATGGAGTAACTCTGTCCCACCCATCCTTGGTTAATTAAACCAATAAAAGCCAGTTACAAAAGAGCTTCAGGGCAATGCTGAGTCTGTGGTGCTGATGTTGCAGAGAGCTTTTTTGGAGACAGAGTCTTGCTCTGTTGTCTAGGCTGGAGTGCGGTGGCACAATCTCTGCTCACCGCAACCTCCGCCTCCTGGGTTCAAGCAATTCTTGTGCCTCAGCCTCCCGAGTAGCTGGGATTACAAGTGTGTGCCACCACTCCCGGCTAATTTTTGTATTTTTGGTAGAGACTGGGTTTGGCCATGTTGGTCAGGCTGGTCTCGAACTCCTGGCCTCAAGAGATCTGCCTGCCTTGGCCTCCCAAAGTGCTGTGATTATGGGCATGAGCCACCATGCCCAGCCATAGAGAGCTCTTAAAAGCCCAGCAGGAAACCTTCTGTTCCCAGTCCTAAGCAGACATGGCCATGTTTTAGGCCTTTTCCTTTGCATTTTCACCATTAGCCCAGCACCCTTGAAATGTACAAAGTCAGTTACCGTTTTGCCTGTAGATCTGTTTCCTTTAAACACTTTGCATTTGTCCCGCCTGTACCTTGTCTTAAAAGAATGAGGTGGGAGGATCCCTTAAGCCCCGGAGTT
The DNA here is from genome assembly GCF_000001405.40 of Homo sapiens. Lineage (NCBI taxonomy): Eukaryota > Metazoa > Chordata > Mammalia > Primates > Hominidae > Homo > Homo sapiens. The sequence goes on along the minus strand of NC_000003.12, from coordinate 44,971,946 downwards.
TGAGTCCAGCCTGGGCAACATAGACCCCATCGCTAAAAAATAATAAAATAAGTAATAAAATAATGATAGAAATGAAGAATATCTGTAAAGAATACTGTCATAGTCTGGCCAGCAGGTCTTCATCTGTCTTCTAGACATTGTAACTTGAGATTACAGTGATAGAAAAATTGCTAGTAATACATGGGTAAAGCTTACTCTTAATTAGAGGAAAAGTTATACAGTCTTCATGTGTGTTTCATTTTGGGAGAGTGACAGCATGTTTCCTATGTCTCATTAGGGCATATTTGAGAAAAGGGGGTAACAGATCCTGCTTACCAAATGTAGAAATATTTAAACACACACACCCTGATAGCCATGGAAAGTAACAAAGTCTCAAGTAGAAGTGGAGGGGTGATGTCTCAGTGTTGACCTGTTGGGGAAAAAATGAGGCTCATGCCATGCTGCCTTTAGTTCCTTCCTGTTTTGCATTTTAAAAAATCATTTGCTTTCCTCCTCGGAAGCAGATTTCCAGAGACAAATGGCCAGTTCATTCATGGCTGTCAACTGTGAAGGTGAGAAGGCTCCAGGTGCATGTCCCACTTAATTCAGTCATACATCCTAATACATTTGGAATGCATGGGAAATGTCATCATTTCATAGTCTCCTCCAAACCATAGACTTCGTAGTATGTATTGACTTGGCACTTGAACTCTTGGCAAGATATGAATATGTATTTCCTATTCAAGGTCAGTGGAGATGCAATGCCTTTGAGTGAGATCACTTTCTTACCTTAGCAAGGTAAGCCTAATGAGACAAGTACAGTTCTGGCCACAGTCCTGTTGCAGTAAAGTCTTCAGTATGTGAAGTGTATGTTTCTAAACCAAGAAATAGTAGCAGAGAATCTAGAAAGACAGGTTGTTTAGGAAGATAACAATCTATGGTAGAAAGACTTCCGGGCATCTTAGTCCAAAGATTTGGGCTTTGCTATTAACTTGCTTTATGACTTTGAACAAGTCAGTTAACCTAAGTCTCATTTTGCCCTCAAGTGAGTATCTTGCCAGGTTTTTAAACTCAGAATGGATCCTGGATATGCAAATATTTGAATATTGAAAAATGACCATGTTTAAATTGGGGTTTTTAAGACTTCTTTCATTTACCACTTCATTATACTTGATATATTTTGCTAGTGCTTTTTCCACTCTGAAAAAAATTAAATGAACAAAAGGAAGTCGTAATTTTATGCTGTACTTGATTGAAAAAACTAAACATGCTCAGGAAATTGCTAAGAGAGATAGTTACTAGTGGGCTTCTTTTTGAATATTAGCAAATCGGGAAAAGAGGTAAGTGAAGCTTTTGGTAAAAAAATGTAAAATCCAAGATATTAACAAAGAAAACGTTGAATTTGCTCCTGAGAACAGAGGACTCATAGAATCTCAGCCCTGCAAGGGGCCCTAGCAATCAGCGTGATCTTCCCCTTTGTTTTATCAAATGAGGAAACTGAGGCCCAGAATGGTAACTGTCTTGCCTGAGATCATGAGGTTAGCGAGTGGCAGGATTGGGAGTAAACTCTGGCCTCTTGATTCCAAGCTCAGTCTTCATTCCCTTTAGCACTAGCCTCCCATCTATTTCCAAAGCCCTCTGGTGAATGGCTGGAGAGCCCCTCACCAGGTAAGCAGGGGCTGTGTTCTCTTTCTCACAGCCCATTACAGCCTTCTTTCTGTGGTCCCAGGTTCCTCCCAGGGCTCTGCTCTTGCACTGCCACTTACAGTGCCTGGAATAAGTGATACCAGCAGATTCCTGAAAGTCAAATGGCTCCCCTTTTTAGGCCCTAGTACCTAGTACAGTTGCAATAACTGGTTCTCTCCCTTCCCTAGCTAGTCTTTCGGATTTCTCTAAGCACTTTTGCTTTTAGTCCCTAAAAACAACCAAGCTCTGGCCTAGCCTAAGTGATGTCACAGTGGCTGTGTGGCTGCACATGACACAATGTGGGCCCAGGTGTCATTCTCAACATCCTCAGGTGGGAACCTTTGCTGATAGGTCTCTGCCTAGCATGGGGGGAGGCGTTTTTTCTCACAAAAAGCAGCATTCTGTTACTTGGCACCACAGGAAGTATTTCCCAGCCAAAGCAGATTTTAGGGATTCAATCCTAGGTGACTCTTCTGGCTGAGGCTTCACGGCCTTCCTGCCTCCTAGGTTAGGGCAGGATCGGTATTCTAAATGTTGGCTGGTATTCAGCCAGGGCCCCACCTTAGAGCCCAAAATGCTTATGTTCAGGCCTGTGGCCTGTGAGCACCACTGCATGCAGCCCACTCGATAATGCCACCTCTGCATAACCATGTGTGGACAAGATAGCCAAACCGTAAGTAACCCAAGGTCACTGATGGAAACATCAATACTCCTCCCCCTTTTATTTTCTAGTTACTAGACAAAATTTAATTATTGTAGTAAGTAGTGAAAAGCAAGCCCTGGGGCAAGAGCAGACTTTGGGAGTATATCCTGTCTCCACCACTTCCTGGAAGTATGGTTGTAGGCATGCTTCAGTTTTCTCGTTTCTAAAAGCAGGATGGGGAAGTGGGCATTTATATGTGCAAAATAGAGTAGATGTGAGAATCAAACAGGAAGAGGCATGTGTAGCAAGCAGCCCAGTGCCCTGATGGAGGCAGTGGTGACACCTTAAGTGAGGGTCAGGAAAGAATCAGGGCCCCACCCTACATTCAGCATATCCCACACTTTGGCAACAATCAAGCAGAACTGGAGCCTACCCTCACAGAGGCCAGAAGGCAGTTCATTGTCAAATGAGATCATGCACTGGATTACAAGGGGTTCACAAACTATGAGAGTATCACCGTCATCGGCAAGTGTTCATTGGGTAGCTGGAGCAGTCATTTATTGTTGCCTTTATGAAGATGCTCCTGCTGGCTTACAAACTTCCTGCAAGGAGAAGTTAATGCAGGGAGATGGCAGCGTAGCAATTAAACAGATTGTAGTAGTTACCATCCATTAGACCTAGAAAACAAGTTAGCCACCTCCCTGTGAAGATCCACTGACTCCTTGAGCTTCACTTCCTTACTCATCTGTAAAACAGAGTGGACCACAATTTGGAAGCAGGGCGGGTAGTTCTCACAGTCTCTTTACAAGCAGCTATGTTTTTGAGGGCCCAAGTCTGATTGAGGTAACCCAATGAGTGTCATGCTCCATTAATGAGACAGGTGCCAGAAGGGGCTCATAGAAGAAGGAATGCTCAATTTTTATTTATTCATTAGTTAGTTTGTTTGACAGGGTCACACTCTGTCACCCAAGCTGGAGTGCAGTGGTGCAATCTTATCTCACTGCAGCCTCAACCTTCTGGGCTCAGGCGATCCTCCTATCTCAGCTTCCCAAGTAGCTGGGACTATAAGCACACACTACCATGCTCGGCTAATTGTTTAAGATTTTTGTAGAGATGAGGTCTCGCTATATTGCCCAGGCTAGTCTCGAACTCCTGGGCTCAAGCCATCTGTCTGCGTGGGTCTCCCAAAGTGTCCTTACAGGCGGGAGCCACCATGCCCAGACTTGTTTTTAAAGAATAGGTATTATGGGTGCCCAGAAGCCAGTGAAAGGAAAGTCTGCTTAGAGTGCCTTTTTTGAGTGTTTTTGTTTGTTTGTTTTGTTTTTTTTTAAAGAGTCAGAGATTAGAGATCCTAGTCCATCCCCCTCACTTTAGAGAGGAAGATGCTAAAGCTAAGTTGAAGTAACTTCTCCTCAGGTCCCTCAAATGTGTGTAAGGGAGCAGGAAGTACAACTCCTATTTCCTGCTTGTGCATTTGTCTCATTCCAACTTTGGGTGGAAAAAAAAAATCCATGTGCTGTGCTAAAAAGTGCAGTCTGTGACGGCAAGCAGAGCCGTTTTGAATCCTGGCTCCACCACCACCTCACTCAATGCGACCTTGGGAATATTCCCCAACCCCTCTGAGCCTTACTTTTTCCATCTCTGCAATGGCGAATAAAAGCTGCCATGCTGGGTTGCTGTAAGAATTAAAACGAGCTGCTTTGCGTAGTCCTGAAGCATAATAGGCATTCAGTTAATGTTGATGCCCATCTCCATTGCTGTAGCCAGTACTGCATGTTTTGCCTAAAACATAAGTTTTCAACAAAATGTCAAAAGGACTTAAATTTTCACATTTGTAAAACAGGAAAATTTGACTAAAATCTACCACATGGTCTTTAATATTTCTCCCAGCTCTAAAATTCTGATTTTTTTTAACCAGTTACTCTTACAAGTGGCTTGTTTTAAACTTGTCTCAATTTTTCTGTTCATTGCAATGTATAAATGATACCCATGAAAAGGGAAAGTAGACCGTGTTACCCAAATGAGTGGTGTCTTCTACGGATTTCCAATGTTTGTAACATTTATTATGTCACACTGTACATGAGTGTGTCTTTTTTTTCCCCCAATTAAAAAAAATTTATAGAAACAAGGTCTCACTATGTTGGCCAGGCTGGTCTCTAACTCCTGGGCTCCAGTGATCCTCTTGCCTCAGCCTCCCAAAGGGTTGGGATTGCAGATGTGAACCACTACACCTGGTTCGGGTGCATATTTTTTTTTAGTAGATTAGTAAAGCCAGGAGCTGGTAAAATAGCCAATTGTAATAAAATAGTTATAGTAAGTAGAGGAACTGTTAGCCTCCATGAGCTATCCAAATCCCAGACTGTTTTCTGAAATGAAGGACATTGGTAGGAGTCTGAGTGTGTGCATGAATGGGTTTTGTAAGAAGGTGGTCAGTTATGAGGCAAGAAGGAAATTTCGGTTTACCGACCACTTCCTGGTTTCCTCAATGAACTGTAATATGTGTAAGGTTTGGCTTGGAGGTACAATATTTTACTTTTTTTTTTTCCATTTGTTTTTTGTTGAAGGCTGAGTATGACAGAGACAAAAGGCAGTCAGAGGGAGACAGCCCCTGCTATAGAGAGAGAAACAGTGTAGACTTGTTGGTAGCAAAGATCTTATAAAACAGGCCAGCTCACTCTGCCTGTCTGGACACTTTCCTTGGCTAGCAGGGTGTGCCGCAGAAGATAAGGCACCTTTCTTCTGTTAGGCTTCATACCACACCCTTACCTTTTTGAAAAAGTTTAGTGACTCATCCTATTTTTTAATGAAATATTTCAAACACAGTGATTCATGATTCCCTCTTTGTTTTTCTGAGACTCATCTAAAAAGTGGGCATAAAATTTACAATCCTTTTGGATCCTTACACAAATAAAGGTAATTGTAGTGCAGGTGAATTAATTTTCTACTTGACCAATTTTGTTTCTAAAGCTTCTAAGGCAAAGATCATCTATTTGATCTTTGAGGTTGCAGGGCTGGCTTGTGAATACTTTAAGACTATCACTCTAAAATGTGAGAAGTTCTAAAAGAAACAAACACCACATTTTTAAGACTGTACGATTTAAACCATAGAAGGTTAATGTTATATTGATTAGAGTGAATTTCAGCTGAGAGTTATAGACATATCAGAAAAGATGCTACCCTCTTTCAGTGGACATTTTAAGTGATTGTTTAAGGGTAGACTGAACTATTTAACTGTGGTAAGAATTAGTTTAGGTGGGAATTCAGTGTTTAGGACAAGTTCAAGAGGATACCAGACCAGCCCTCAACAGCAGTCTAGCATAATAATAGATTTATTAAAATGTCACATATTCACTCGAAACAAATTTTGGCTTAAGCCAAAAGCATCCTATTTTAGAGTTTCTACTATTTTGCTGATGTTCATGACATCTGCTAAGAGGCTGATGAAATTGAGTTTCGATTTTATAGTTCCTACTTGTAGGGAGCCAGAAAGTTTAATCCCTCAATTTTTGTTTTAAGTATATAGATTATCCTTATCTCTAAGCCAAGGGGAGATCATTGCACCTGATTTCAAGTTTGTTAAACCAGTCTGTATACAGCTATTTCATACAGGCTCCAATGGTTGAATTAATTGCCCTTTGTTGATGCTACTTTGTACCGTCTCAAGATGTGTGCTGTTCACGAGTGCATGAATGTTCATGTGGATGTGAGAATGTGGGTGGATGCGGTGTTTTAGAAAAGTAATCCTCACAAAGTACTTTGAGGTGCTTCCAAAGATTTGGTTTTAGATCTGGCTGAACTACTCCATGACTTTAGTGTGGGATCTTGTCTTATAAAAGCAGGTGAATAGGACTTGTTGGCAATCTGAGAGGATGGGGGTCCTTGGTACACTTGCTGGACTGAGAACAGTGGCATTTTGGGACTCTAATACATTCAGTAGAGAACTTTATGTTTGATGTGACAATCATGCTTTGACCCTGTCCATAAAGCATGGACTGTGGGTCAGGGTTTTGTTTTGGGTTTTTTTGCCACATGATAAAGATTAGTAGGGATTTGCCCCTCACTCAACAAATGATGTAGCTGGATTCTGCCCATCACTAGCAGTCAACACTTGGCCAGGCCAGTTCATCCTGGCCAACCCGATGAAGTGCCACAGTGGGATGGGGCCTGAGAGCTTGGCATTAGCACCACGATGTTCAAACCCTTTGAGCTGCCTACCATGGAGAGACAGCATGGGGACTGAGGCATAAGTGGTATACCCCAAGGCTGACTCAGCAACCCAGTCCCTGGGGCTCATGGAGCCCCAGACTCCACTTCACTAAGTATATTTGTGTCTGTCAGTGTGGGTTAGTGGAAGAGCACACTTATGATAAGGTATAATGAAGCACGTGTGTTATGTATGGATCTGGAGGCAATTCTCTGGACCACAGGCAGTTTTTGTTGTTGCTTTTAGAATAGCACTAATTTCAGGCATTTCTTGGTTTTGGTTTCTAGAACTCTATGAAGGAATACTAGCTGATTTCCTTTGACTTCCCACACACTGCCCCTCACAGAGCTCAGATCATCATTTTGACACCACATCTTATCAGGATTGCTGGCACTAGGGAGCTCCAGAACACCTCTGGGCCTGTGGATCCGTTTCCCCTGTGACTTCCTTACCCCCGCCCCTCCCCAGGCTTAGTTCCTTTGCCTTTCTGGGCTTCAGTGAACTCTTCTATCAGGTGAAAATAATAATTACTTTGAACATGGAATACTAATATATGGAGGCGCTAACTCTTTTTAATGCTATAAAACCCTTAGCCAAAAAACTTCAATATAGATTACTATAATTCAAGTTACAAAATGATCATTGTTCTAGATCTTCCTTGGAAAACTATTAGCCACTTAGAGGAACAGAAAACCTAATACCACCAAAATGAGACTCAGGCCTGTTGCCCTTGTGCCTCCCTGGACTTGTCGGCCTCTGGACGCAGACCTCTCATCTGTCTTGCCTGTCACTTCTAGAGTGGTCTTGCCACAGCATGAGTACTATTCCTGCACAACTTTCCTCAGAAACTTTATGGCTCACCAGTACCTTTCAGGATGAAATCCCATCTCATTATGAAGTTTAGAGGCTTTCTAAAACACAACTTTCTCCTACCTATAAAGCCTCATCTCGAATCACCTCCTCTCTTTCCTACAAAGCCTGCATCTGTCCACAGACACGCACACAGCCCTGGTCATCCTGCCCCTCCTCTTCCCCACTAGTACCACCAATTTTCCTGCCAGGCCCACCCGGCCCCCCTTGCCTTTTTGTAAGCAGTATGCTTCACTTGGCTCCAGGTGCTGCTCAGAGCCCACCCCTTCAGAAGTCCTTGCCATGAAAAAGTCTATTTATTTCACTTATGGTTGTTGGGGTTTTGTTGCTTTTGGTGTTCGGGTTTTTCTGGTACTATTTGTCCCTTTTTTGTGCTATTCATTAGTCACCTATGTGTTAGCATTATTGTGGGTGTGTCTGCTTGATATATGTGACCAGTCACTCAGGAATTATTGATTTGAGCACATATACCAAACACTAGGCTACAGAGCTAAATAAAATGAGACTTGCAGGTTGGTGGAAAAAAAGCAAATAAGACTAGTGTTATTAGGTTGGGAGCTGGGGGAGGGAACTGGCAGGGCCTGAGCAGGGCAGCACACACACATTATTGTCCACATCATCCCTCGTGTGTGAGCCCCCTGCACAGCTCCTTGCATTTAGTGGCTGCTCCATGAATGTCTTTTTGAGTTGAACTGAATAAAGAGAGGAGTTTTTAGAGACCAAATAGGGCAAGGGGCCGGGGTGAAGGAGACAGGGAGGGGGAACTAGAGGAGGCTGCCCTTCTGAGAGCATGTGCTGGCAGATGTGGTTTGGGGCTTAGGGCCCATCTTCGGGGCCCTGTCCCAGAAGCCTGAGTAACCAGTTCTGCCCAGCTCCTTGGAAGTAAGGACACTTGTAGGGAGGTGGGTCCTTGGCAGAGGTCTACTGCTCAACCCTAAGGATTGGAGTTTCTCTAATTCAAAATAGAAAAGGAAAAGGGGGTCCATATTTGCCTTTTTTGTTTTTGTTAGGGGTAGGATAAAGGGAACATATACAGTTTGTTTCGTGGTGGGTTTTTTTTTTTTGCCATATTTCTCAGATTTTCAGTTGGCTAATTTAAGGAACAAATCTTTTCTTGAAAGCTACTTTTGTTGCTTTTGGGAGGTCTGGGGGTTAAGCAACCTTTTTATAGCAGTATGCCTTTCTTGGTTTTGATGGGGATATTTTGAAACTCTAAGTGTGGAATGTGCCCTTCAGGTCAGGACTTGGTGTCTGGCCCTGCCAGGTACACCTTTGGCTTGGTCCTTTCCTAGATCACAGGTTCTCGCTCACCAGTGAGGGTCATGGGAAAACAGAGCTCCTCTGTACACTCTTTGGTCCCACGTTGTTTGAAGATAGAACATTCCGGTTACTTGAGTAAGAGTCAGTCCACTTACCTCATGGTCCTACTTGACACACTCTCCACCATGCAGAATATGGTCACAGTCCTGAAACTAAGCAGACAGTGCCTCTAAGAAGTGGGCCTGGGATCACAAATCTCATGCATTCATTTAATCAACACATGTATTAAGTGGCTACTCTGTGCCAGCCACTGGGCTAATAAGTCCTCCTCTCAAGGACTATATGGTGAAGAGCTTAGCAGTTGTTCCCTGAAGGCCTATTACCCAAAATGACTACCCTTTTGCAAATAAATCTAACAAGACTTAGTTTATTTGCTTTTCTAGCCCACAGCCAATTAGCAGTAGTAAATAGAGGATATGTGGGTATGACTGGTGACCGTAGACACAGAAATGAGTAGGCAGGAATGGAGGAGGAAGACAAAGGATCATATACAGAGATGCCAGAACGGCAATTATAACAGTCTGAGCAAGCCAGTTGATGTGAAGCCGAGACCCAGTGAATTTCAGTAGCCCTGAGGACATCATTACCTAACACACTCCAGTAGGTGATGTTCCTGGTAATAACTCTAAATAAATCATTCCAGAAGAAATGGTTGATTATTGTGCTTAAGGGACAAACAGCTATAATACCCCTCCCCTCCCCTTCCTTCCTTCCTTCCTTCCTTCCTTCCTTCCTTCCTTCCTTCCTTCTCTCTCCCTTTCTGTTTTAAGATTTCCATCTTAACCATCCAAATGATTAAAGTGTGTTTCTACTTGGAAACAAGTCACATTTATCTGGGAAGTTACTTACGTGGAAGGGCTTATTCCTCAACAAAACCATGCACATGAAACATAACTCTTGTTTAGTCGAATCATTGTCATAAATACAATCAAGAATGAGGAATTGTCATTCTTGATTGTATGAATGCAACCACTCTGAATATTCTGTGAATATAATTTAATCACTGGAAGTCTCTAAGGAGAATTGCTCTAAAATTTATTTTCAGTGATTATCCATTTATGAAAACCATACCATTTATGATAAAAAAAACAGTTTGATAGAGTGTACAGGTTATGGGGAAGTGGTCCGCAGGCTGCAGATAACAAGAGGTTTTGCCGTCACAGATGTGGATGAGACAGTGAGTTGTAACTGACGATCTCCATCACACCAAGCTGTTCTGCCAGGGAAGCAGGATCTGTTATTTATTTGATAGCCAACAACTGCTTAGAACCAGGCATCAGCAAACTTTTCTATAAAGAGCCAGGGAGTAAATGTCTAGGGCTTGTGGGTTACAGCTATTCAACTCTTGCCATTGTAATACAAAAGCAGCCAGAGACAATTTATAATCAAATGACATGGCTGTGGTCCAACAAAACATTATTGTTTTTGAGCTTAAATAGTAATTGTGAGAACACAGGTGATATAAATATAAATCTGCATGGCAGTAGGAAAAACCAAAAGAATGCTTGCAACTGGAGGTTGTCAAAATGTAGAGCTTCAATCAGCTTTTGAATCATTGTGTGATGTCAGCTTTTCTTTTCTTTGGTTTTCCTTGAACAGAGTTTGTAATTTTAGAATTTGCTGGGCACAGGTCAGGTCCCAGACATTCCTGATCTCCGATCTTCTACTGTCCTGTTTGGTGCTTCAGAAGGTGGGCCTGCATCTTTTAATGCATTTAGGTTGTCTCTGGCAGGACTACATTGCCACTGTCCTCTGGATAGCACAGGATTGCTCTGTTAGAAAATTTTGGTTGATGGACCACCAGGAACCAAGACTTTTACTCTACTTGAAATGGTTATTTATTTATTTATTTTAAGACAGAGTCTCACACTGTCGCCCAGGCTGGAGTGCAGTGGCGTGATCTCGGCTCACTGCAAGCTCCGCCTCCTGGGTTCACGCCATTCTCCTGCCTCAGCCTCCCCAGTAGCTGGGACTACAGGCGACTGCCACCACACCCGGCTAATTTTTTGTATTTTCAGTAGAGATGGGGTTTCACCGTGTTAGCCAGGATGGTCTCAATCTCCTGACCTCGTGATCCACCCGCCTTGGCCTCCCAAAGTGCTGGGATTACTGGCGTGAGCCACTGCGCCCGGCCGAGATGGTTATTCTATCTCTATGTGTCATGACTTCTTGTTCCCTAACACAGTGATAGTGACTGCATTTGCTGAGTCGATATTCCTTTGGGCAAATACGTAATAGCACATTTAGCTGCCTTTCAGCCATTAGTTCTCTGCCACCTTGGGAGGAGTGGCCCTGTCCTTATTCTTCATTATTAGTCTGTGCAACTTTCGACTCTAGAATGTCTGTCATTTTGAATAGTAGTTACTGGTCTGCCCTCCTAGCTTTTTGGACATGTCCTTACTGTTCATAACAATACCGAAAGCCTGCCTTTGCCCTTCAGAGCCATAGTCTTCAGGAAGCACACATGGCCAGTGCTGCTTTTGAGTGATTTCTTCTGCTGTGTAGTTGAGTTCTCAAAAGACAGAGATATTTCTTGCCTGTGTTGTAGCCTGTGCTATGAGTGGCTTTTCCATGGCACCTACATCTGGTGGGGAGCTTGAGCCATCACAGTTTCTAACTGAGAAACCTGGTTGGTGATGCAACAGGCCAAAGAGGGTAAGAAAAAAGAAGAGAAGGGAAATCTATGCTTTCTGTGTCTTGCAGCACATGCTGTGGATAGATATTAGTCATTGATTCTTGGTTGTTTCATTGCTGTCTCCAGAGACTTGAATTGCAGCTTCTAGAGAGAAAGAGTGCTTTGCTCAGCACTTGTTTCAGAAGGAATGGATGTATTTCCTAGAGAAAATACATGTGCATAACCTGTGAGGTGTACAGAGTGTTATGATCTGTATCATTCGTCACAAGCTCCTCCACCAGTTCCCTCAACCTTCATACCAGCAATCCTGGGAGGAGGTGGCCAGGGCTGGAATGTAGGTGTTTTCACAGGTGAGGAAACAATGGCACATGAAGCACCCCTCAGCCAGGTGGTAGGAAAACATCTTTGAACTCTCTCCCCTTCTCTCTGCCTCTCCTTGCCTTTTAAGTCAAAATTTGAACATATCTATTGAGGTACTGTCTACCCAGTAGATCTCTAATAACTAAGGAGACCTAGGTTCTAGTGCCACCTCTAAATTGCCAGGCTGGCCTGGGTGCCGTGGCTCACGCCTATAATCCCAGCACCTTGGGAGGCCGAGGTGGGCAGATAACTTGAGCTCAGGAGTTTGAGATCAGCCTGGGCAACATGGCAAAACCCCATCTCTACAAAAAAATATAAAAATTAGCCAGGTGTGGTGGTGCGTGCCTGTAGTTCTAGGTACTTGGGAGGTTGAGGTGGGAGGATCCCTTGAGCCCGAGGTGGGAGGTCGAGGCTGCATTGACCTAAGACGGTGCCACTGCACTCCAGCCTGAATGACAGAGTGAGACCCCACCTGGTCTCAAAAAAAGAAAAAAACAAATTGGCAGGCTGTGTCACCTGCTTCTGCTCTGGCTGACCTTGGGCAAGGCATTTACCCTTTAGAGGCTCCCTTTTTATTATCTGTCATGTGAAGGCCCTGTTTCAAGAAGGCTAAATTGACTCTCAGAATCAGGGAAGAGAACTCATGTTTTAAATGAACAAGGTGATTAGGTGGCTTTGCACACAGGGGTTGCAGATAAGTAATCACAACTCACTATGGGAGCAATTTTGTCAAACCTCCTTGATGACAAGACAACACCAAGTTTCTGGATTCTTTCCTCTCTCTTTCAGATGCCAGTATGGACAGAATAGCTTATGATGCTTATCCCCACCCACCACTTCCGAAACATTGAGCGGAAACCAGAATACCTCCAGCCAGAGAAGTGTGTCCCACCCCCCTACCCTGGTCCTGTGGGAACCATGTGGTTTATCCGTGACGGCTGTGGCATCGCCTGTGCCATCGTTACCTGGTTTCTGGTCCTCTATGCGGAGTTCGTGGTCCTCTTTGTCATGCTGATTCCATCTCGAGACTACGTGTATAGCATCATCAACGGAATTGTGTTCAACCTGCTGGCCTTCTTGGCCCTGGCCTCCCACTGCCGGGCCATGCTGACGGACCCCGTGAGTATGTCTGGGCTTGTTTTGACCAGCCCACACTCTCCTCCTCTGGCTCTGGCATGGCCACAGCCTGCATGTTCCCCCTGGACCTTGGGAACTTGGAGGATAGGAGGGCCAGGGGAGGGTGAGGAAGTAGATCTCTGCCTTGTTCAGAGTTCTGTGGAATTCTGGCCAGGGAAGAGGGGTCAACACCTGTACCACAGCCTATCTGTCTTGGTTAAATGATACTATAAGTACATGGATATATACATTCATTGGGCCTGCTCTGGGAGGGGTTTGGTCTGGGGGAAACCTGGCCTCTGGTTAAAAAGACACAGATAACCTTGAAGACTGGGGCCAGATGATCAGAGCAGAAAGCATGCTGGAGGGTTGGGTCAGGATTGGGCTTCCCAGTGAAGACAGTGCTGGAGCTAGGTGGACTTGAAATTAAAGCCACATCCAATTCCAGGAACCTGCACGGAAATGGCCTTCACTTTGCTTGGGCGAGGTGCATCTTTTCCTGAAAAGCTGGACAAGCCTGTTTCAGGCCGCAGCAAGTGCCTCTTGGTGAATATCTGTGGGTAAAGCAGTAGTGTTCTGCTCAATGACTTAGCTAAATATGCCAAGCTGCGCACGTGGCTATTGAATGTTTGTGCACCCTGGTATTAAACCCTCTGTTCTGTTCCTTTTCTTGTATGGGAAAAGCAAGAGAATACATTATTTGATAAAGACCTCCTGTGGCTTGTTTCAGTACGTGGGACGTGTGTGTTTAAGAGAGGGAAAGCACTGCTACTAGCAGTGACACTGGCCATACAGATTTTGTTTCTGTGAGCCCCAGGGAAAGTGCAGTAGTGATGATGATAATGGGCCTGAGCTAGTTCTTGTCTCAAAGGGCTCCATTTCCTGCCGGTTCAGGTGGTAGATTATTATTAATCCATCCCAAAGGAAAGCAGCTTTCCCAACTCAATTACATATCAGCCACTGGTCCAGACAGCATCTCTGTTCCTGCGCATGCCTCAGGGAGACCAAACACACCAGCAGGCAGGGGCCTGTTTGCCTAGTATTTAGCACTGCATGCGGGACAGCCATCGCCTGAGGGAAGCCATGTATATGGGTATAATCCTAAGTGTCCCCAAACACAAGGATATGAAAGAGTTTTCCCAGCAGCATCTATATGGTCATGCTGAAAATAAGTTAAGGATTTATTCAGAAATGTTTATGATACCATTGCTATTGGGGATATAGAAGTAAAAAACATTGCTTTGCTCAGTTCATAGTTTACTGTCTACTAAGCCCCAGATACTGTTCTTACCCTCAAGATGCCCTCTGTCTAGAAAAGACAGGTGATGATAACCCTGTGTGATGAAGGTTTGGCAGAAAGAAATGTGGATTGCTGTGGGAGAACAAGGGTGGAGAGATTAATCAACATATAGAGGTGACTGCTTAGAGGAAGCGATGCCCAAGCCAGCTCTTCTCCGAGCAGTGGACATTGAGGACAGGAAGGAGGCAGAGGGAGCAGCTTGCACAGAGACGTAGGAATGCAGGAGCATGGCTCCTCTAGGCACCAGGAGTGGTGGGAACTTAGGAAGAGAATGGATTTAGGTTGGTGATGTGGGCGAGGTGCCTAAGGAGGAGGATGGGAGTTTGATGATGAGGGGCAGTTTAGGGCCCCTAAGGATTTTCAACACATCTTAAACAAAACTGTCATTTTACAAGTCTCTTTCTGGCAGTAGTGAGGAGGAGTGGCACTGGTGTGGGAATAAAATGAATAGCCATGTTTCCTGAGTGCCCATTCTGTGAGAGATTGCTTTCTGAGCAATGGCTACAGCTATGAGCAAGACAGATGCAAATTCCTGCCCTTGTGAAGCTCACTTTGTAGTGACGGGGTCAGGTAGGAAGGACATGATTGAACAGGGTATTTTGGAAAGTGGTAAGTGCTTTAAAGACAATAAGACAAAGTGACCAGGATGATGTGCTGTTGACTTTCTGGGGCAAAGGGGGACTACTTTAGATCAAGGTGGTCTAAGAAGTCATCTCTGAGGTGGTGCCTTTTGAGCTGACCTGAATGGCATGAAGCTACAAGCCAGGCAGACGAAGATCCAAGGGTAGAGAAAAGAGTAGATTCAAAGGCCCAGAGACAGAAACATGCTCAGCACATCTGAGAAACAGGACTAGGACCAGGGTGATCAAAACATGGTAGGTGGGGGTAAGAGTGGTTGGAAGAGGTGAAGAGGGCCTCAGAGGCCAGATTGTGCAGGGCCTGGTAGGCCTCATGAGAACTTTGGATTTTATTCTAAGTGCAGCCGGCAGCCTTCAGAGAGACAGGGTGTGATCTGATTTGCATTGTGCTTGCAATGGAGGTTCAAGGTGTTACAAGTAGAAGCAGGGGGACTAGAGGTATTGCAGTGGTCCGGGCAAGACATGGTGTGGCTCGGACCAAAGTGAGAGCAGTGAAACCAGAGAGAAGCTGTTGGATTTGGAGTCTGTTTTAAGCTATTAGTTTTCAATCCTGCCTGTACCATCTCTTGGAGAGCTGTTTAAAAGTACTGATGGCTGGGCCTCACCCCCAGAGACTACTATAATTGGTCTGGGGGCAGGGCCCTGGGTATTCGAATGCTTTAGAGCTCCCACGTTTCCCTCACATTTACCTCTCAGGCCAGGCCTGAGAATGCAGTTCAGAACTGACAGAATGGAGAGAGATTGGAGAGTATACCTTCCAGAGTCTTAGCTAGAGCAGCCTGGGGAGCACTGGTGCCCATTATTGATTTTGGAGGAGAAATCAAGGCTTATGTTCTAGTCAGACTGCCACTATATTATGTGCAAGGAGAGATGCTAGGTGGGCAGTAGATAGTCAGTCTGGAGCTGATGGAGGATCAGGGTTGGAGAGAGTGTGTGTGGAGGTCATTGGTTTCTGTAAGGCATGTGAAAACAGGGAACTGGATGTTGGGCAGTGAGAGGGGAGCCTTCTGCCCTGGCATTCCCACTGCCCTCACATACATGGGTTCTTTACCCACTGCATTGAAGCGTACAGCCTCTCCAGGGACCTTGGCCAGCTGGCCCTTGCAGTGGATGCAGAACAGCATGATTCTCACTGTGGTGTGTTGCCAGCTTCCAATCCCAAAGCAGTGAGAGGCACAGACTGTATCCTAAACAACAGTTAGCTTCCCAGAGGTGTATTTTGCTGGTAGCCCCAAAGATAACTGGCCCCAAAAATGAAGAATTTGTCAAATATCTACCATTAGTAAGGGAAGCAACTGAGAGCATGTTCTATAGATGTGCCCTATTTTAGGGTCTTCATGCTACCACCTGCCTCTGCCCATCCCCAGCACATGATATCTCATGCAAAACCCAGTATGCAAAACAGAGAGGTGGGGCTGCAGAAGCGGGAGCTCCTAAGGCACTGCTGGGGCACCCTGGGATTCCAAGGAGCAGAGTTGGAAGCCCAGGTGATAAGCAGGTAAGTTAGGGGTTCCTTATTAATATTGCAGTCGTCTTTTTTTAGAAAGTGGTCACTGCAGGGTTCTAAGGAGTTCCCTAATGGGATTATGTTTTATATCTCAAGAATTCATGTTGCACATACTTTTTCAGAACAGTTTATATCCAAAGGTTATAAGCAATGTATGCATTGTGTATCACTTTGGTTTGTTATCATTACTAGTTTAAAATATATATATATACATATATATATATATATATAAAAACCTTGTGGTCTCCCTCAAGCAGTTACTTTACCACTTTCAGCTTTGGAATAATTATTCCAAGTGTAATATCTGAACAATTGCAACCACTATAGCCTTCTGGACCATTTTTCAGTGATTTACTCCAATGTAGCAGTAGATAGGTCCACATAGAGCTTGAAAAGAAAAGGGAAGTGGGAAATGACTCACAGATTTGTAAACAGCCCCCTTGGAAGTGAGACAGCCGTTTGAGAAATAGGGCAAAAGGGACAGGTCTCTAAACAGAGGGAGGAGGACAAATGGACAGAGGAGCAGGGCAGGTGCCTCACTTGACAGGCAGGCTGGCCTGGAGGCAGCATGGGTGTGGGCAGGAGCACAAGTCAGGCTCATGTTTGGTCTCCTGACGCCTTCTCCTTGCCCACTCTGAGGTTGTGTAATGTCATTATAGGGGCTTTCTGTGTTCTGGAAACACTTTAGACGTTTATAAGTCTAGAATGGCTCCATGTGTCCTGAGGAGGCAGCCTCTTGAAGACAAACTGGACTCAGAAACCCTTATCTTACTACCCTTCTCTCTCTTTTCCTCATTTCTTGGTTTCACCACCTTTTCTTTTCCAAATTCCTCATTCTCTGAGCTCCCTCAGGAATCCTGAGGGGCTTCTTTATTTCTGAGACAATGTCTGTCTCCCAGAAGATGCTTAAACGTGACAGATGTAGATTGTTTCTTTTTGTCCTGGCTGCCAGGAAGCTCAAAGCCAAGTGTTACACAATGACAGTAATTGTATAAACCCTTATGATCAGTATATTTTTGCCCCTCCTTTTTTGGATCTTATCGTTTATTAACTTCATAAATTATTTCAAATCTGAGACTTGAGAAAAGGAGGAATATACAGTCATGTGTCACTTGATGGGGATAAGTTCTGAGAAATGTGTTGTTAGGCAATTTGACCATTGTGCAAACATCATAGACTGTACTTACACAAACCTAGATGGTACAGCCTACTGCACACCTACGCCGTATTGAATAGCCTCTTGTTCCTAGGCTACAAACCCATGCAACGTGTTACTGTACTGAATACTGACTGTGGGCAACTGTAACACGATAATATTTGTATATCTAAACATAGAAATGGTACAGTAAAAACATAGTATTATAATCTTGAGGGACTTGTCATTGACTGAAACATCATGATGTGCATGACTGGATTTATAGTCAATTTAACCACATTGTTAAGGAAAAGAAAATTCGTCTGTCTACCTGCTCCCCCACCCCGACCCCTCTTGAATCCCACTCTGTGAACACCTTGCTGTAAACAGACCTCCATGACTATCTCAGACCACTACCGGCCACTGATTTTCATTTCAGCTGCCAAAAGTCATTGAGTGGAAATATTGGGGCTCACTTCAAACATGCAATTGGTATTCCCTTCTGGAGTCTCTTTCAACAGCCTTACAGAGCATGTGCTGTGTTCAGAGCCCAGGTGGCAAGTATTTCCTGGAAGGGTAGCATGGCAGCATGATGTTGGACCTGTGGGAACATAGAAGAGGAACAGCAGGCCAGGTGCTGGATGCAGCCAGAGAAGCGCCTTGTGCATCTTGCCCAGAAGTATTGGCACATTCACTGCATCAGGTTAGGGGACTTGCCTGAGGGTCCATTGGAGTATCGTGCTGCATTCTCCCTCATGCCAGGCAACTTCTCACCCCTGCCCCCGAGCAACTTATAAATCCCAACAGGAAAAGCTTTCTGGCTTCAGAGGGAGGAAAGCAGCCCATTTGGGGACCAACTAGCTACCTTTTACTTTTCTGTGGAGGAGACACATGGCCAGTGATGCAGGCCTGGGGTTGGTTACCATGCTCCTGGGAGAGCTGTTGGAGTTTCTACCCAGACTGGTGGGTGTGCACGGGCTTTGATCCCATGGCCCTGAAACAATTTAAGCAGGTTTTCATTCTTGTTGCTTGAAATGGATGGAATGTTGAGTCCTTGAAATTATTGGCATTTCTTTAGAACCTGTCTCCACTACTTTCCATTGTTTCTTTTTATATTATCATATTATCCTAGATACTTATTGAAACAGCCTTAGTATCCTAGGCCTGTTTCAATCTTAATACTAGTGTGCTGAGGTAGTTGGTGGTGGTAGAATGATGTTGTGACATCAGGCAATTAAAATAAAGTTTTTTCCAAGTCACTTAACAGAAATACCTGGTAATGATATGTTTGTCTTCTGATAGTGACATAGGTTCTAGACTTGGATTGTCTGGGTCAGAACCCTACTTCTGCCACTTATTAGCTGTGTTACCTTGGGAAGATGCTTGACTTCCCTGCCTTTGTTACCTCATGTTTAAAATGGGGAATACCACAATCTCTACCTCATAGGTTTGTTGTCAGAAGTAACTAACACATACAGTTTTGTCACAAAGCATTTGGAACTATGCCTGGCCTGTAAGTGCTCAATAAATGTATCATTATTCAGCTTGAGTTATTGAATACATTCTTCGTGCCAGGCCCTAAGCAGTTTGCTGAGCTACAAGTTGACAGATGTTGTCTTGTCCTCCAGGAATGTCTTGTGATGTAGGAGAGATGGTGTGTAATTAAATGACGTGTTCCATACTATACATACAAGCTGTGGTAGCACAAAGGCTAAGTAATGGGTTCTGCCTTGGATGTGGCCTGGGGCCATGAGGAAGTAGCAGAGAAGGTGATCCCTGGGTGCATTTTAATTTGGGTGCTAGAAGCAAGGAGGTGCCTGGCAAGTTGGAGCGGGTGAGGGTTTGGTTGGTGCTTAAATGGAGCCCCTGAGGGTAGAAAGGAAAACTTAGAATGTTGCCTTTGGGAAACTCCAAATAGACCACAGGGAGGGACTGTTTACGGAGGGAGGTGGCACTGGATTGGTAGTCCAGAGCTGAGATATGGTGGCCTCAAGAGCCCTGCCCAGGAGCTTGGACTCTGGTCCATGGTCCCTAGGGAGCCAGTGAAGGTTTTAGGCCAGGGGAATAATGTGATCAGATTTCCATTTAAGAAAGTTTACTCTGGAAATTAGTTGGGAGAAAGGATAGAAGTGGGTTGCAGGATTTGAGGGAGAGACTAGAGGCAGGAAGACCTGGGAGATGCTCTAATAGTCTGGGGCAGATGATGATGGGCTGAACTAAGGCATGATGATGGCATGGAGGGGAGAGCATGGGATTCAAGGCACAGTCTGAGGCAGAATTAACCTGGTGGAGTGAATGGGATGTGGGGAAGAGGATTAGAGGAATTGGTGGTGGTTACTGGATTTCTACCCCAGGTGACAGGGTACATGGATATGCCATGGGCCAGGAAAGGGAGACTTGAGGGAACAGTTTGGGGAGAAAGCAGCAGGTTCCGTTTTAGCTGTGCACAGTGCCTTTGGGACAGCCAAATAGAGAGATCTGCAGATTCAAGAGGTCTGAGTTGGAGCTTGTGATTGGAGCATTATCACCGAGTGATGGTGGAAGTAGAGTTGAAGATTGTTCAGGAGAGAGTGCAGAATGAGCAGGGAAGGAAGGAGTCTTGGGGTGAAACCCTGAACCCTGAGGAACACCAGTAGCCTGGATGGGCGGGATTCCAAGAGGAGGGGAGAGGCACAGCCCCACAGACAGGGAGAAGGACAGTGAGGAGACCCCAAGGAAGACAAGGGCTAAGAATTGACTTTTGGATTTGGCCACAGTGAGTTGCTCAGTGACCTGGTGCGAACAGTTCCCTGGTATGGAGGGGACAGGTGCATGAACAGTAAGGGAGAGGTCAGCAGAGACATCAGGTGCACAAGGCTTCAAGCAGCTTAGCTATGAAAGGGCAGGGAGAGCTCAGAGCCTGCTAAGAACACAAGGAGAAAGCTTGGAGGTAATGGTATGGGGGCCCTGAGGGCCAGGATTGACTTGAGCCTCATCTTCCAAGACAGTGGGTACCCGTGAGTCCAGGGACAGTGAGGCAGTGAGATGAGGAATATGAGAAGGATTTAACCCTAGCAGCCTTAATTTGCTCCAAAATAGAAAAGGAAGTGGGCAGGGGTCAAGGAAGGTACTAGAAGTTTGGGCTACCTACTAAGGGGAATGGCTGATGGAGGCACATCACACCCTACCCCACCCCTAAATACACACAGGTGCACATACAAGTACCATTATGTTCCTTCTGCACTGAAAACTCAGAGCTCTGTGCAGAGAATGTGGAAGGAGTTCTGCCATGACTAGAGCAGAAAAGCTTTAACAGCTTCTACACACTTATTTTAAAACAGATTTAAATTGGTTCCACTGTGGGGCCAAATGTATATTTTGGAAGCTTTGTGATCTGCTTTTTATGAGCCTATAGATTTTTTAAAGTGTTTTTACTTTAGTACAAAGAGAAAAGACTTTAAGAATATGTTTCAGAATGTTGGTAGTACTTGTCTTGGGTGATCAAATCAGAGTGAATTTTTCCTTTTCCACTTTTTCATCTGTATTTTCTTTCTTAAAACCATGAACAAGTATTACTTTGGAAATGAGAGAGATAAAGTCAGTGCATTTTGACCTGCTAGGCTTGCAGCAGTGTGGAAGCTTCAAGACATCCCTGTGGAGTGTGTAAGAACGTGGGGTAGGGGGATAGGCATTTCTCAGTAATGCAAGCATGACAGCAGTGACAAAAATGTCTCAGGCCTTCAATCTCCTGCTGTCTGTCCAGGATTGTAAAGAACAAAGTTCCTTACCATGAACTAATAACAAAGAGCTCTGAAATCTGTGGAGATGAGCCCAAAAGAGCATAATATGCATTTTAAAAAAGAATGAAACAAAAAGTTGCCTGAGGCAGAGACTGGAAAGTGTATGCATCAGACTCCTCAGTCTTGGGGGCTGGCCCAGCTGCTCTCTGGCTCTGAGAGGTGGGCTCAGGTGGTTGGATGGGTGGGGCCCTGCCTGAATGGAGATGGGCCTTTTGGGAGATTTATGCAAATGGAGTCTCATTGTGGGGGCACATGTTTAGAAAGGCTGAGCTGCTGAATGATGTCTCTACTCAAGGTCTGGAATAAATAGGCCGTAATGAGAATACCAAACAAGAGCTCTGATTCCCTTTTATGGGTTAGAGGTTTCCTCTTGCAGTCTTTTATACAGGGTCCCCTGGGGCTTACAGTACATTCTGGTGGCTGGGACCTTCTTAAAAACTGGGACTAAACAAAAAAACCACCTGGGCCATAATTTAGGAAAACTCAAGCCTCGTTGCTTCATGTCCTTGGGGGAAAGGATGTCCCTTTGCACTTTTTCTCTTATACACATGACAATAGTAACTTCTAGTTGTGGTTTTCTGGTTTTAGGATCCACACAGTTGCCCAAACTCAATTACTTTTTACATGAAAGAGAACACAGCTGGGGACAATGGCTCACACCCCTGTAATCCCAGCACTTCAGAAGGCCAAGGCAGGAGGATCGCTTGAGTCCAGGAGTTCAAGACCAGCCTGGGCAACATAGTGAGACCCTGTCTCTAAAAAATTTTTGTAATTAGCTGGACATGGTGGCTTGTGCCGGTAGTTCCAGCTACTTGGGCGGCTGAGGTGGGAGGATCACCTAAGCCTGGAAGGTCAAAGCTGCAGTGAGCTGAGATCGTGCTACTGCACTCCAGCCTGGGCAACAGAGCAAGACCCTGTTTCAAAAAAAAAAGAAAAAATAATGAAAAATAAGGCCCTTTGGGCTTGAGACCCTGTCCTCTGCCTGGACCAGTGCCCTTCCCAGGCCCCCTTGGAAATCCACTTATGCCATGTGGTCTGGGCCCTGCCTCACCTTCATGAAACCTTCCAGACCCTGGCCCTTCACAGTGCCTCACTGGTGGCCCGTTGGATGTCTCAAGGTGAGACAATAATGACATTTTGGTTACAAGCCTCAGGAAAGTTGATCATATTCCTACTTTGGGTGGCTCCTCAAGTTTTTGTTTTTGTTTTTGTTTTGCTTGTTTTTAATGGATCATTTCCTCTTTGCAAAAGCCACTTGTTTCTAATAGAATATTTCATAAATATAGTCAAGAAAATTAAAAGTACCTGTGATCCTCCTACATAGGGTCTCACTATGTTGCCCAGGCTGCTCTCAAACTCTTGGCCTCAAGCTATCCTCCCACCTTGGCCTCCCAAGTAGCTAAGATTACAGACATGTACCACCACACATTTTTTTTCTTTTTTCTTATTTATATGTATGTGTATATGTATATAAAATCTGTTATAGATGTTTCCTGTGTCAATAATTGTGTATTTTTATAGCATATTTAATGTCCAAAACGGTATTCTAACTGGTATTGTAGATACCATGTGGTCCTTGCCCACCAAAATGTGTTTGCTTTTGAACTTTCTGTCATAGGCTTTTCTGACATCTGACTACATTTTGCAGACCAGATTTTTTTTCTACTGTTTTAACTTAAAAAAAAAAAGTAATGAAATGCTTTAGAGAGTTGAAAGAGTATAAAGGACCTCATTTCCACCCCACTCTCAGTCTGAGCCTGCAGCACTGAGGTGCGCTTGCATGTGGACAAGTGTTCCTTCAGACTTTCTCATTGCCTCCTTGTCTCCTGCTCCTTGTGAGCCTTTGGCTCCTCATCCTCAGTGGGGAAGCACGTCATTGCTCTGAATGACAGGTCAGCCAAGTGCTGCCCATCTCAGGAGTGAATAGGTCCTCACTGAGGCAGGAGAAGCAGAGGCTTAGCAGGGGAAGGGCTGGGGCCCAGCAAAGAGTCATGTGAAGAGCAGACGACAGGAGATCTGTAGGCCCACCTCTAGGACCGTGCTTGAACTGATTTTCCTCCCAGGTGCTCCTCTCCTGCTTAGTATCCACCAGGATCCTCCTGGCCTTCCTAGGATCCCCACTTTCAGTCCTCTTGCCTCCCTTTAGCTCCTGACGCACTGGTGGCCATGCCTTTCTCTAGGTGCTCTGCCTCAGCAGCCTCACTGCATCTGCACCTGTCCACCCACCAGCTGTATGAGGCCTGGGCTCCCATCGCTTCTTTGTACTTCCCACAGTGTTCGGCATGGTGTAGACCTTCAGGAGAGAGTTGTTGGTTGACTTGTCTCTGCAGTTTTCTTAGCTGGAATCTTAATCCACTGTGAGTCATTTTCACAGTGCAAGACAGAACCACAGCTCCCTTGCATTTCCAGCACTTAAAGATTTTTCTGTTTCTTCAGTGGCTCTTCCCTTCCCAGAATTCTTTTATAGGAAAGGTTCTGACACCCAGTCTTCATCCCTTCTGCCCTGGGAACCCCTCACTTGGCCTGTTATAATCCATCGGTCCAACTCTGGGGAGACCAGGGTGCTCTATCTGAAACTCCCAATTTGCCCACCCTAATAAACTGTACTTTCACTCTGGGCACATGCAGAATGTGGGGACAGTCTTAGTTTCTGTCCTTCTGATGTTACACTGACTTCCCTGATTGTGGTATCTCATGGGTGCCTACTGAGGAGTGGAGCTTGCTGTGAAGTAGACCTGACACAGGGGTCATGGAGGGAAGAGTGCCCCAGTCCAATGCCATAGCTGTGGCTTGACCTCGTGTCAGGTGTGGTTCTTGTTTGGGAGCTGGGCCAAGCAGGCAGAGTTCCCAGGATGGCACATCCTTGGCTCCCTGTTGTCACTACTTCTTTCACCCCTTTGCTGGAAGCTGCTGGATCTTTTACCTTTCACTTTGTGTCATACTGTGTACCAGGCCAGGGCATCTGGTGCTGATCAAGGTAGACCCAATCATGGAGTTTCTGGTCTGGCACAGTAGCTCTCAGCCCTGGCTATAGAGTAGAAGACTCTGCTAGGGAGTGTAAAAAATGCAGAAGTCAGGGCCATACTCCCTGGTAGTTTTTTTATAGTAGTGCTGCATAAGAGTCTAGGCA
The DNA here is from genome assembly GCF_000001405.40 of Homo sapiens. Classification (NCBI taxonomy): domain Eukaryota; kingdom Metazoa; phylum Chordata; class Mammalia; order Primates; family Hominidae; genus Homo; species Homo sapiens. The sequence goes on along the minus strand of NC_000003.12, from coordinate 44,947,644 downwards.
TCTGTAGTTTTTTGAAGCTGCAGCATTGGTGCCAACACCAGACCCAGAAAACAGACCACCATATTACTGAGCACTTTATCTGTGGCAGTACCATCTGAGCCCTTTCTGCAAGTTGTCTATGTCTAGTTTAACCTTCTCAGTAATGCTGGGAATTAGATAAGATGAGTCCTGCCTCACTGATTAGGAAACTAAGGCATAGATAGGCCCACCTGTCAGTGGGCACACCACTCGCAAATGTAGAGCTCAGATTTAAAGCAAGGCCAGGGGACTTCCAAGCCAGCTCTAACCCTTTGTGCTATGCCACTGACTGATCTTCTCTCTTACTTCTTGGACCTATATTCCCAGCTACCTTCCTGGGTGTCCCTCAGGCACTTCAGACTCAGCATACCCTAACTGAACTGATCAGCTCTTCTCAGAACTTCCTTCTGCTCTCTTAATGGTTTTGACGTGCCACCACTTACCAGCTGCTAAAAATGGAAACCCTACTGGGGCTCATCTCCTCCCTTTTTGTTACCCTCTCCACCACCCAATAACAAGTTGGTTCCCTACCATCATTTGTAGATTCAGATCTCAGAATTTCCTCTCCACTTCTCCCGCTCCATCCTCGTAATTCAGTTTTTCCTTACTGGACCATCAACAATAACCTCCTACGTGGTGTCTGGAATTTTCATCTCTCCCTCTTCTTATATGATCCACATAACACAGGCAACTGAGCTCTCTTCCTGAAGCACCAGTGTTACCTAATGGCTCTAGGCTACCTATAAAGAAAAATCCCATCCCAACCTGGTATTCAGCGCACCACATGGGCTGGCCCCGGCCCATCGGTCCGGCCTCCCCGCTGACACTGCATACGCACAGTTCAGCACACTGATATTCTCCCTGTCTCCCAGATATGCCATGCTCACCCTCACCTCTTTGTCATTACTCATGCCCTCCTCTGCTGGAATCCCTTTTCTCCCACAGGTCTACCTAGCCAGCCTCTATACATTCCTCGAGACAACCCTTGAACATCACTACTTAAAACTCCTCTGATTCCCCTGATTAATTGGCTGCTGGCTCCTCTGTGCTCCCTCAACACAAATACCTTCCACAGCATGTAACCTCTTTTACTAGAATCGTTTGTCAGCCTCCAAAACACTATAAGTCTTGGAAGCAGGGACCTCCTGTGATTCCTGAGTCCATAGCAGTGAGCATGAGAGCACAGGGCTCAGCACCAAGCAGGCTCTTGGTGAAGGTTGGTTATTAAGACCCTACTTAGGCCTGTGCACTGCCTGTTTTCCTTCTGTTTGGATGGGTGCACAGCCAGAGCAGAATCTTATGGCATTTTGGCTCTGCCATTGGCTCTAAAGAACGCTAAGTATTCACAAGCATACTCCACAGGTGGAAGAGCAAATCAGAGGGCAGCTCTGGCCAGACAGCAAGTCAAATACCTGAGGGCAGCAGCTCCCAGTTGCTTATGGATTCACTAAGAACCAAATATAGATTACAATTATTCATAACAATACCACTGGTAAAAGTAAAACTTAATCCCAGCAAACAACCCATTAAAATGTGGAGCTGCAAATTTTGATCTGGGGAAACTGTTAGACATGTTGCTCACCAGTGAAACTTAGAAAGGGAGAAGCTGTTATCAGGAAATTTAATATAGACCAAAAAATAGTCAGTGAGCCAAATCCTTGCTGTTATATAGGAGAGAATGGATTCAATTAAAATAATTCCAGTAAAATGAAAATACAAAGTAATCAGGAACAATGTCACTGTTTAGTGTAGAAAATTAATCAAAGAATTGGCCGGGTGTGGTGGCTTGCACCTGTAATCCCAGCACCTTGGGAGGCTGAGGCGGGCGGATCACAAGGTCAGGAGATTGAGACCATCCTGGCCAACATGGTGAAACCCCATCTCTACTAAAAATACAAAAAATTAGCTGGGCGTGGTGGCGAGCACCTATAATCCAAGCTACTCGGGAGGCTGAAGCAGGAAAATCGCTTGAACCCAGGAGGCAGAGGTTGCAGCAAGCCGAGATTACACCACACCACTGCACTCCAGCCTGGGCGACAGAGCAAGACTCTGTCTAAAAAAAACAAAAAACAAAACAAAACAAAAAAACAAAGAAAAGAAAAGAAATCAAAGAATTAATGTGGCCTAATGGCATCTCCTCAGAAAAATTTTTGGTCAATAAATATTCCTTAATGTTGGCATAATTCTGAACACAGAGTCCACATGTTGTTGGTATCAAAGTGTCCTGTCCATGTGTGTGTGTGGTTGCTGCTTTCAAATAACTATCCCCACTGTAGAATGTTAGAGCTGATAGAACCCCCAGCCCAACCCTGATACCTTTCATCTTTCCTACAGGGGGCAGTGCCCAAAGGAAATGCCACTAAAGAATTCATCGAGAGTTTACAGTTGAAGCCTGGGCAGGTGGTGTACAAGTGCCCCAAATGCTGCAGCATCAAGCCCGACCGAGCCCACCACTGCAGGTACACTCACTGGGGCTCGCCTCCTCTCTTCTCCCACTGTCCTGCCTCCCTCCATCCCCGCCAACACCTGCCTCCTGGAGTAGCACACACTTCCCCAACAGGGGCCAAGTCAGCATCGGGATTCCAAATGTCCCCTGCTCTGGGCAGAGAGTGATCACTGTGAGTCTCCTTCCTGGTCCCTGTGAGCCCTCTAGATTGCAAAGAGCATTTGGTTTGGCCTCAGGACACCTGTCCCGGGACTTGGCTCTGCCACACCTGACATAGGACCTGGGCAGGGCCTTTGTTTTTATATATGTAAAATGGAGGGGATTCCTGCTTTTCCTACCTCACAGCTTTATTACAAGGGTACCATGAGAAAAAGCTTTAGAAAATCATTCTGTGAATGTCTGGGACTTGAAATGAAGCGGTTGTCCTTGAATGAAGACTTTCTTTTAAAACTTCTAAAGGTTATGATAGTTGCAGAATTAAACCAAAAAAGAAAGCCATTTCCCCATCTTATCTGTGGTCAGTTTTCTGTTTTGTTTTCAGGTTTCTTTATTAAGTTTTTCTGATGAGAAGACATCTAGCTAAAAGTTGTACTTTATTGGCTGGGCACAGTGACTTACACCTGTAATCCCAGCACTTTGGGAAGCCAAGGCAGGAGGATCACTGGAGCCTAGGAGTTCAAGACCAGCCTGGGCAACAAAGCGAGACTCTATCTCTACAAAAAAATTTAAAAATTAGGCCGGGCGCAGTGGCTCACGCCTGTAATCCCAGCACTTTAGGAGGCTGAGGCGGGCGGATCACCTGAGGTCAGGAGTTCGAGACCAGCCTGACCAACATGGAGAAACTCTGTCTTTACTAAAGATACAAAATTAGCCGGGCGTGGTGGCACATGCCTGTAATCCCAGCTATTCGGGAGGCCGAAGCAGAATCGCTTGAACCCGGGAGGCAGAGGTTGCGGTGAGCCGAGATTGTGCCATTGCAGTCCAGCCTGGGCAACAAGAGTGAAACTCCATCTCAAAAAAAAAAAATTTTTTTTTAATTAGCTGGGTGTGGTGGCACACATCTGCAGCCCCAGCTGCTCAGGAGGCTGAGGGCAGAGCATCGCTTGATCCCAGGAGTCCGAGGCTGCAGTGAGCCAAGGTTGCACCACTGCACTCCAGCCTGTGCAACAAAGTGAGACCCTGTCTCTAAAAAAATTTTATTTATTTATTTTGAGACTGGGTCTCACTCTGTCATGCAAGCTCATAGCTCACTGCGGCTTCAGACTCCCAGGCTCAAGCAATCCTCCTGCCTCAGCCTCCAGAGCAGCTGGGACTACAGGCATGCACCACCACACACAAAGGGAGACACAGTCTCACTTTGTTGCCCAGGCTGGTCTCGAACTCCTGGGCTCAAGTGATCCTCCCACCTCAGCCTCCCAAAGTGTTGGGATTACAGGTGTGAGCCACCTCGACTGACATACAAGGAAACTTTACATGCTGAATTACAGAAATACAAAAATATCACTTGGTCCCCTTTTCAGAGGGTATGTGTTTGGGTGGGGAGGGGTTATAGAGGACTGAATCTGCTCCAGGTGTTGGACATCTTCCTTGTCAGGCTTAGCCTGCGGAGACATTTGGGTGTGTGAGAGATCTGAACGGCGATTTCTGCCTGGCCTTGCTGCCTGTCTTTCAGAGGAGAGTGGCCAGTCTCCAGCACTCAGATTCCGGAGTCAGCTCCCCAGTACCTGTGTGCTGTGCCCACGGCACCTCAGCCTGCCCTGCCTCAGCGTCAGTCATCTATTTTCATCTTCCTACTCACCCCTGGAAATCGGGATTGCTGCAGGGATGGCCTCCCTAGATAAAGAAATTAAGGTTCAAAGGGGTTGAGTGCTCCACGGTCACACAGCAGTGAGTACTAGAGACAGGTTTGGGTCCCGGCAGTTCTGGCTCCAGGTCCAGACAGGGCTCTTTCCACAGGAACTCCAGTTTGGGGATGACACATGTAACTTTATGTAGTTGTATGTATGTTTTTCTGTCTGAAAGAGAGAGATCTGCAGACCTCCTCAAAGCTTGAGGGTGAGGGCTGAGGAGCCTGGGTAGGGGCCAATGGTGATTGCTAGCTCCTCCGGGGTTTCTGTCTGTGGGTGAGCTTGCTTCTGAGATCTAATTCAAGGCTTGCCTCCTGTGCCTGAGATGGAGGCTTCAGTCTGGTCTTTTCTTGCCACTCTCGGGCTTAGGAGCCAGCTGTTTTCTAACCATCACTCAGATTTTTTTTAAAAAGCTCAGCTTGCTTATGTGGTTTCTCAGGATAGCCCGGTATGGTGGAGCAGACTCTGGCCTTGAAGTTGGAGTGGTTGGTGTTGGAAGTTCAGCTGTGTCGCTTGCTACACGGTGGACCTTCGGCCAGGTGCTGCATCTTTCTGAGCCTCAGCTTTCTCCTCTGTAAAAAGGGTTGTTTCTTTGTAGTTTGTTGTGAGGATTAAGTATGAGTAACTGTGAGTCACCTAGCTCAACAAGCGTAAGCTATTGCTAATAGAAGAATGTGTATGGAGTTAGGGATATGCTGGGTTTATAAAGGCTGGACCAGAACAGGGAGGTGTTAACTTTGTATTATAGAAAAGAACTTTTGGTGATTCTTTTCTCTTCTCTCCCTGAGCCCTCAGCTGCCTCCACCGCCTGGCATTTTCCTCACTGCCTCCTCCTTGCCTCTCTCCCCAGGATGATCCAAGGGAGGTATTCTTGTGTGCTAGTAAACAGATCAGCTTGGGCAAAGCAAGAGCTGCTGATTCAGATGAACTAAAGTGAGGATGCCTGTAGAGTTGCCTGTTCCTGCCTCAGAAATGCATGCTGACAACTGCTCCTTTGTGATGGTGCGTGGTGGCCCAGGCCATCTGGGGACCCACAATTTTGGATAAGCAGAATCTCCAGCATACCAGACAGACTGGGTTTGTTTATAGTCGTTGAGCCCAGAGGCTGCCTGCCTGGTTAAAGTTGATGTCGACCTTGCCCGCTCAGGCAAAGGTGCATGTGTGCACATACGTTTGCGCCCAGCATTTTAGAATTTGAGACTGTCTCCATTCCCTTGTCTCTGGTGGATACCACAGATACACCTAGACCTTGGGCCTGTAGGTGTTCCTTCCAGCCCTATGGTGTGTGGTTGGGTCTTTCCTTCCTGGGAGAAGCACTCTGAAACCCCACGCTCTTTCATCCTGGTGTCAAATCTCCTGTTCATAGGAACCATGGAAGCATGTGGAAACTCTGTGGGAGGAGCCATTTATGCTAATGTGGATGGCCATGGCATTTGGCTTATGCTTTCAAGCTTGTCCAACCCATGGCCTGTGTGCCACTTGCAGCCCAAGATGGCTTTGAATGTGGCCCAACACAAATTTGTAAACTTTCTTAAACATTAGGACATGTATGCATAGACTTTTTTTTTTTTTTTTTAGCTCATCAGCTGTTGTTAGTGTTAGTGTATTTTGTGTGGCCCAAGACAGTTCTTCTTCTACCAGTGTGGCCCAGAGAAGACAAAAGATTAGACACTCCTGCTAGGTTCTTCTGCATGAGGAGGGAGAGACCTCTGACTTTGGCAGCCCCCCGCCTCCACACCCCAGACACCCACACTGAGGCTAAGACAGTCCTGGGCTGCTTAGAGCCCCTGAGAGATTCTTGTTTTGTCTTTCTCATGGTTATGATTACTGAGAAAATCTATGTAGCACTAGTATTGTTTTTAAAGCATTTTGCATACATTTTTGGTGCTCACAATGACCCTAAGAGATCAGAGTAGTTCTGCTGAGGCTGATTGGAGAACCTAAGTTTCTCTGACCAGAGCCCAAAATGAGGACCTGCTCTCAGATCCCCTGTTCTTTCCACTCCACTGCACTGTCCTTCCCAAAATCGTTTCTGAGCTGGAGCCAGGATGTGGTATAGATGTCTTTTTTGCTTATAATTTTAGTCATAGCCAGTGAGGGGTAAAATGAAAACCTGTGTGTGACGCCATGGCTCACTTAGTACCTTCTTGCTGTTTTCTTACTATTTTCCTACATGAGCATCCCAGTCTGATGTAGTTGAACTCATTTTCCAGGCCTGCTCTTTCCTGTCTGTGGTGTCAGAGACTTCATTCAGCTGACCCTTGCTAAAGGGGGCCCTGGGCTTGGCTCTGAGCTCGACTCTGAGCTTATAGAGGTGGATTAGACCTGGCCCTGGCTCTAGGAGCCTGCCACCCAAGCAGGGCAGGCACACTTCTCCACCATGATATAGTTTGGTAAGTGCTGGTATAGGGAGAGACAGAACCCCATGGAATGTGGCTATGTTTCCATGTTGAGCCATCACCCAGGGTGAGCAAGAGAGCCTCGGCCAGCTCCTTTGGGGATGAGTACCAAGTAAGGGCCCTCATACCTCCTTGGAGAGGAAACACATAAGCCCCAGAGAAACTGAATACATATGAGCCAGTGAGCTTGGTGGATTCTACCAAGGTTTGAGGCCTGAAAAAATGGTAGGAAATCTGGAGGAAGGGGAGAAGGGAAGCATCTGCCTTCTTCTACAGTGACGACAAAGAAACATAGAAGGGGCCTGGGAAACCTGGAAGGCCAGGATGCAGATACCTCCATTTAGGGCATTTGGTCTTTTCTGTGATTGTTTTTGCACACTTGGTCCCTGTGCCATGGAGCTCACCAGCTTACAGCGTCTCATCCACGAGACTCTGGAATTAGTGCCAGAAAGGAATGCCAGGAGAGGACTGTGGACAAGAAGGACCCTTAGAGGATAGGGTGGATTTTGCCAAGTGGAAAGAATGAAGAAAGGGCCTCAGGTGTTGAGGCCATCCACAGCCAAAACGGGGAAGATGGCTGAGCAAGTGTGTGGAAGAGGCTCTTAGTCTGTGATCTGTGAGCCTTCCTTGGCCTTGTGTTTGGGCTGCCCTGCTATGCCTAGGGAGGGAACACTGCTGAGCCCCCTGCCCATGTGCATGCAGTGGGGGCTGGGAAAAGGGCTGGCTCTGAGGTGATTGATTCCCTTTGGGAGTCAGGAGTTGTGGGGGGAGGTCCACATTTTTTCTTCCTCATGGCAGATGGTGCCAGAGGTGAAACAGCAGGGCAGGGTGTGGTATGTCCTTCACTGCCCTTCAACATCTGCCTCTGGTCCCTGTCCTTGGTTGCTCCAGGCTCCAGCCCCAGCACCCTTCTGGCCTCTGTGAGCAGCTCAGCCTCTGAGCAGTGCCTCCAGCCACGTGGGATGGGCCTCACCCCACCCACTCTGCATACCACCTGGCCCAAGGAGAAGGGTAGTGTGGGTTTGGCATTTCATATCTTTGAAAACAGGAAACTCGGGGACCAGCATTTTAGACCAACACTTGTGGCCCTCAGCAGGCTGTACTCACTCTCCCTGCGGTGTTTATTTTTCTAATTTGGAAGCCCAGCGAGACTCAGCCCATTGGGAAACCCAGCTTCCTGGCATTCACGCCTTGTCTCCAGAGAGGCTGGGAGGAGAGGGAAGAATAGCTTTGCTGTAAGAGCTTGTTTAAACTCTTGGGCAGCTTTCAGAGGATGTCCAGCCACTTGGCACCTCTCTGCCGCTGAGCCAACACTGTCTCAAGAGCACCCACTTGAAAACCCTTTTAAAAATAAGTGCAGATGAAAGAGAAACTGCTCAGGAGCCAGGAGCAGGGAGGTGGTTACCCTCAGGAGTTTGTTCCCCAGATGGGAAGGGGATTAAGAAACCCAGAGGTGCTGGTCTCTGGAAGAACATGCCAGAAACAGGCTCTATGGTGGGAGCATGGCACCTGGTGCCTGAGGCCTAGGATGCAGGGAGTACTCACTCTGCACTGTCTGCTTATCTGCACTTTTAAAATTGTGTATTGGGAACAGGCATTACCAATTTAAAAATATATATTCTGCATGTATACTTATATGTATATTCATGTGTATTTTTAAAAGTGGTAACAGAGAGAGAGAAGCAGAGTGGCTAATGGACTTGCTGGTACTTCTCTTGCTCTTTGTTACCTCCATGTCCCTTTTGTGTCTCCTTTTCTTACCTTGCCCTCCTGGTCCCCAGGGAAATTCTGGAACCAGGCCAGCATGTCTGAGATATACCCATTCCCAACATGCCTGTGTTAGTAAGGCCCTTTGAAGTTGTGGAAAAGAGCAAGGGTGCAGACCAGTATGAATCCACACATCGTCTGAGCCAGGCACAATATCTGTCTCATGTATTCTTTATAATAAACTTATTTTGTACAGAAGGGAAACTAGAGGCTCCGAGTTAGCCAGTTTGACCAAGGTAGCTCAGCGGACTCAGGTCTGCATTGCCACCAAAGTTCATGCGAGGCTTTGAAAAGCACACATCTTCTCCTTGGGCTACAAGTGAGCACCGTGGTGGAGGACTGTTTCCGGGTAGTCTTTGCTTCCAGGTTCTGGAATCCAGGGGACAGCACACCTCCAGCCCAGCAGAGCTGCTCCTATGCTTTCCCTGTCCTTCCAGCTGGTCAGCAAGAGCTTAGCCAGCACTGTGGTGTGAGTGTGATCCAGCAAGGCCCCAACGCCCAGCCCTTCCTCCAGCATCCACCTGCCATTGCCCACTCTGCACTTTTTCAAGAACCCAAGGTAAAATTAGTTATAGAAGCTAGTGGAGAGGAAAGCTGGTGTGAACTAAGGAACTTTTTTTATTTTTATTTATTTTTATTTTTAGTTGTCAAATGATTCTTTATTGAAATATCGTCCTTTGTGCTTCTAAGTAGCTGGGCACTCCACCGCACCACTGTTGATGTCATCTGTGATGTCATGAGGGTGGCGGCCACCAACTTGGCAGCCCACAGACTGGGCAGTCCCCAGAATCCCTTTAATGGTTCCAGAGAGTTGTCTGGTTAAAGGTCGGTGCTGTATCTGTAGAGCAATGTTGACAATCTCATCAAAGGTGGTATTTCCGGCTGGGCACAGTGGCTCACGCCTGTGAGCCCACCCAGCACTTTGGGAGGCCGAGGCGGGGGGATCACTTGAGGTGAGGAGTTAAAGACTAGTCTGGCCAACATGGTGAAACCCCGTCTCCACTAAAAATACAAAAATTAGCCTGGCTTGGTGACACATGCCTGTAGTCCCATCTACTTGGGAGGCTGAGGCAGGAGAATTGCTTGAACCCAGGAGTTGGAGACTGCAGTGAGCCGAGATCACACCATTGCACTCCAGCCTGGGCAACAGAGCGAGACTCTGTCTCCAAAAAAAAAAGTGGTATTTCCGCTGTGTTTAACATTTTTCTGTTTCTTTCTGTCTCACGGCAGTTCCTTGAGGGCTTTGATGATCAGGGCAGAGGCAGAAGGTACCATGTCAATCTGGGCCTATCTTTTCTGAATAGTCACTTTCACTGTAAGCCTCAGACCCTTCCAGTCACCAATTGCTTTGGCAATGTCATCACCAACCTTTTTTGGGGACAGACCCATGCGGCGGGTGCAATCTTGGGGGCCCACACAGGATGGCACTGACTTCACTCCTGGTGTTCCTCAGCTATACAACTTTGATCTCATTGAGGTCGAACTTCAGCAGCATGGTAGAGGCAGCTGGTGTTGGATGAACCCAGATTTGGGACAACCGAAGAAGGTTGCACCTTAGCTGCCTCCGAGCTGAAAGCCAAGAGCTTTTTTTTTTAAAAAAAAAAAAAAAAAAAAAAAACTTATTTTTAGAGACAGGATCTCACTATGTTGCCCATGCTGGTCTCAAACTCCTGGGCTCAAGCAATCCTCCCACCTTGGCCTCCCTAAGTGCTGGGCTTATAGGCATGAGCCACCATGCCCAGCAGAACTAAGGAACTTTGGCACAATCACAGCTCACTGCCGTCTCCTCTCCCCACCCCAGGCTCAAGCGATTCTCCCGCCTCAGCCTCCCGAGTAGCTGGGACCACAGGTGCACACTACCACACCCGGCTAATTTTTTTATTTTTGTTGGAGACAGGGTCTCGCCATGCTGCCCAGGCTGTCTTGAACTCCTGAGCTCAAGTAATCTGCCTGCCTCGGCCTCCCAGAGTGCTGGGATTACAGGTGTGAGCCACCAAACCTGGCCTTGAACTAAGGAACTTTTAAAAGGAAATATAATTGTATTATTTCAAAGCTTTGTTTATAGCATTTCAACCTGTTTTGAACAAATAATGCCCCCAAAATAATAAAAAGGAGACTAGAATTCATTAAAATAATGAATTGAAAAAAAATTGTCAATGAGCACATCTATTGGCTGGTGACCTAAATAAAGAAGCAGGCAAAATTGAGAGAGTTTATTTGGGCCAACATTGAGGACTGCAGCCTGAAACACACTTCCAAGTTGCCTTCGTTCAAGCAGGTTTTGGGGGGGGGTTTTAACTTTTATTTTATGTTCGGGGGTACATGTGAAGGTTTGTTACATAGATAAACTCGTGTGTTGGGGGTTTGTTGTACATATTATTTCATCACCCAGGTATTAAGCCCAGTACCCAATAGTTATCTTTCTGGCCCTCTCCCTCCTACCCTCCACCTTCAGGTAGACCCCAGTGTCTGTGTTCCCATCTTTGTGGCCACATAGTATTCCATGGTGTATATGTACCACATCTCTAGTCAATCTGTCATCATTTAGGTTGATGGGCATTTAGGTTGATTCTGTGTCTTTGCTGTTGTGAATAGTGCTGCAATGAACATTTGCATGCATGTGTCTTTATGGTAGAAGGATTTCTATTCCCTTAGGTATGTATCCAGTAATGGGATTGCTGGGTTGAATGGTCGTTCTGCTTTTAGCTCTTTGAGGAATTGCCACACTGCTTTCCACAATGGTTGAACCAATTTACACTCCCACGACAGTGTGTAAGTGTTCCCTTGTATCTGCACTTTCGCCAGCATCTGTTGTTTTTTGACTTTTTAATGGTAGCCATTCTGACTGGTGTGAGATAGTATCTCATTGTGGTTTTGATTTGCACTTCTCTGATGATAGTGATATTGGGCTTTTTTTTCATATGCTTCTTGGCCACATGTATGTCTTCTTTTGAAGTGTCTGTTCATGTCCTTTGCCTACTTTTTAGTGGGATTGTTTTTCTCTTGTAAATTTGTTTAATTTCCTTATAGTTGCCAGATAATTAGACCTTTGTCAGATGCATAGTTGGCAAATATTTCCTCCCATTCTGTAGGTTGTCTGTTTACTCTGTTGATAGTTTCTGTTGCTATGCAGAAGCTTCTTAGTTTAAGTAGATCCCATTTGTCAATTTTTGCTTTTGTTGCGATTGCTTTTGGTATCTTTGTCATGAAATCTTTGCCCTATGTCCAGGATGGTATTGCCTACATTGTCTTCCAGGGTTTTTATAGTTTTGGGTTTTACATTTAGGTCTTTAATCCATTTTGGGTTGATTTTTGTATATGGTGTAAGGAAGGGGTCCAGCATCAACCTTCTGCATATGGCTGGCCAGTTATCTCCAGTACCATTTATTGAATAGGGAGTCTTTTCCCCATTTACAAGCAGGTTTTTAAAGGGAAAAAGGAGCGGGCTGATACAAAGCTGTTTGACAGGAACTCTCATTGGCTTACAGAAATAACATTGATTAGTGATTGGCTGTACATTGTTGAACTATAGGGTGTGTGTCATTCCATGGCTACTTGGCATCAGTCTAGAGCCCACATAGCTAGTGGCTTCAAGAGGTAATTATTTGCTGGGCACAATGGCTCCTGCCTGTCATCCCAGCACTTTGGGAGGCCAAAGCAGGTGGATTGCTCGAGCTCAGGAGTTTGAGACCCACCTGGGCAACCCCATCTCCATCAAAAATACAAAAAAATTAGCTGGGTGTGGTGGCGTGCACCTGTGGTCCCAGCTGTTCGGGAGGCTGAGGTGGAAGGATTGCTGGAACCCGGGAAGTTGCAGTGAGTCGTGATCGCACCACTGCACTCTAGCCTGGGTGACAGAGGAAGATCCTATCTAACACACACACAAAGAAAGGTAATTATTTATCTCGAAGGGGGGTGTGAGACATGACTGCTGTCACAGGCTGTCTTATTTCAGTGCCTCTCTAGGCCTAATAATTAAATGGGCTCACATTCCTCAGATTAAAAAGTTTTTTTTCTTTCTCATGGCAAATGAGTCTTTCTAAACTTGAGCTTTGGGAAGCAGTTGCTTTCAAGCCCCTAGTAGTCCGGGACGCTTGTTTCATATTATTACTTTGAATTGTCCAAAGGGGGAGCGGGTTTGTGCTTGCTATCAAATAAGCTTGAAACAGGCTCAGCCCAAAAATTATCCCAATAATGTTAGAAATGTGCAAATTAATGAACTGATCTGGTCGACAGTTAAGCTCAAATGACTTTTTTTTTTTTTTTTTTTTTTTGGAGACAGAGTTTTGCTCTTGTTGTCCAGGCTAGGGTGCAGTGGCACGATCTTAGCTTACTGCAACCTCTGCCTTCTGGGTTCAAGTGATTCTCCTGCCTCAGCCTCCCGAGTAGCTGGGATTACAGGCATGCACCACCACACCCAGCTAATTCTTGTATTTTTAGTAGAGATGGGGTTTCGCCATGTTCGTCAGGCTGGTCTTAAACTCCTGACCTCAGATGATCTGCCCATCTCAGCTTCGCAAAGTGCCGGGATTACAGGCCACTGCGCCTGGACTCAAATGACTTTTCTGCTTGCTTGCTTTTTTTTTTTTTTTTTTTGGCTAAATGGATGTCATCTTAGAGCCAAAAAGTTCTTGGAGCTGGGCCTCCTGCTGTCCTTGACCTTGCTCTGAAATAGCCCTCTCTTCTGTCCTTTGTCCTTCCATGGTGGAGGTACCTGGCCCTCCCTGGTAGCACCTCATAGTGCTTCTAGAACTTCCACCCATCCCTTGGTGGTTTGGTCTTTTGGGGAAATAGGTAGCAGCCATTCTCCAAATCTTAGCCCACTTGGTCAAGTTTTTGAAACTGCTTCATTCTTTTTCTCTCGGGAAACCAAATCGTAAGCCCCATTACTTCAGGAGAGCAGGTTCTATCTTAGCCATGTAACCATGTCAGTTCCGTCCTATGTATGTGTTAAGCTAAGGGGCTTTGGAGAATGACTCTGTACCCGTTTGGAATGACTGCCACCCCTGGGGTCCTGACCCTGCCTCCCAAGCCCCACGTGACACACACCCAGCAAAACCCCTGGCAGTGCCCAAGGAAGCCATTTCAGAGGAGTGGAGCAGGAGCCATGGGTTCTGCGTTCCCCCGGGGCCCTCCCAACACCATGGGGATGCCCTAAAGGTCTGACCTGTGGGCTGTTTCAGTGTTTGTAAGCGGTGCATTCGGAAGATGGACCACCACTGTCCCTGGGTCAACAACTGTGTAGGCGAGAACAACCAGAAGTACTTCGTCCTGTTTACAGTAAGTCAGCTTGCAAATTCTGCCCTGCCCCCCATGAAGCAATGGAGCACTTTGTTCCTTTGAAAATTCTCAGCATTCACGATGTTCTTTGCTCAGAATACTGCCTGGCCCTGTAGATCTCTGCCTTCCTGCCAAAGATCTCTCTGGCTCAACAAGTGCCTGTACCTAAGCCCTTCACTTGAGCGTTTAGAAAATTGATTTCAGTTGATTAGCTATGAGCAAGGGCTGTATTCTGGGCTCCCATTCCAAGTGTTGGACCTAAGTAGCTCAAGAAGGCAGTTTGGGTGATGACCTCAAATCCTGAGGTGCAGGTAGGTGGAGTCTACTTAGTGCAAGGACTAGAAGGGCCCTCAGCAGTCAGCACCCTGGCTTTTCAAGGGAGGAGGTACAGCAGGCTTGAACCCCCCGCCCAGGCAGCTCATACTGCCTGGAGCCCAGGTCATGCCTGGTGACGGGCTTGCTTCTGTTCTGGTTCCACGTACTCCCGGAGGTGGCTGCTCACTTGACCCAGGGCTGGTGGGTAGACGGATCTGTAGGGAATCGCTAGCTGGCCCTCTGGTCCCTCCTGGTCAGGCCTTGTCCTGACTAAGTGTTCCTGAGTGGCAAATTCTGAGTGCCCCTGTCCCGGGAGCCCGTGAGGTCAGAGGATTCTCACAACAATGGTGTCTGCACTGGTTTCCTGTTTCAGATGTACATAGCTCTCATTTCCTTGCACGCCCTCATCATGGTGGGATTCCACTTCCTGCATTGCTTTGAAGAAGATTGGACAAGTGAGTATGTGCTGAGGCTTTCCTCCCTGCTCCAGGGTGGGTGTGTGACCTGAGTGGGGGGCGGGGAGGCTCTTTGTTTCCTTCATGGTGCCAGGGGCCAACCTCATTTTATTAAATCTCCTGAAAGCCTATGGACTGAACAGGGAAGAAATGGCAGAGACTGGAATCTCTCTTCATGAAAAAATGCAGCCCCTTAACTTCAGTTCGACAGGTAAAGTCATGAGTTGGACAGACAGACCCTCTGGACTGAGCGTGCCCAGGGAGAATGCAGGCCCCAAGCAAGCACAGAGGCCGGTTCCAATGCGTGGGAGCCATGCTGGGAGAGAAGTTTTGTTTTCTGTCTTTCCATGAGGCACTTAAATCAAAGATCATTTTATTCCAGTCTTGCAGAGATTCATTTTTTACTTTCTGGCTAGGACATGGAGTTTCTTTATTAATTTCTTTGGTTTTTGTGATGGTGTTTTTTAACTGCTTACACTGATAATCGTGAATTTACATTAAGATTGTAGATAATTCTTCCTGCTTTAGAGGCTTCCCACTGAAATGTGCAAATACTGAGGGAGAAACTCCAGCCAGAAGATTGCACAGATCCTGAAGGAAAACAATAGATGCTGGAGGAAAAGAAATAAGAGGCCACCTGCTGGGCTGGCTCTTTCATACTCACAATCTGTGAGACAAACGTCTTGAGCAAGGAACATTGTATTTCCTAAGCTTTTCCCTCCATGGGCCTCCTTTTTTTTATTTCACTGTCTTTAGAACTTTTGCTCTTCCTATACATGCTGACTTCTTCCCACAATTCTGGCATAAGTCAAATGGCAGAGGTCAAGCCAGCAGACAATAGAGATAGGAGAGGAGGGTAGGGGTGAGTGGGTATGTGCAGAACTTGCCATTCTGCATATCTAGGTGAGTCGCCAGCAAGTTCCTGATCACTTGGTGAGCATTCTGAAGTACATGCCTTCTGCTAGGCCTGGGGAACCAGATCTACTCCAGATGTGGCCTTGGTTACTTGACAAGGGAGTCCAATTAGGATATTTTATCATCCCAAACACCTCCCACCTCTCGTCAAGTTAACAGACTTGGGCAGGTGATAGGGGTAGCACAGACTGTCAGTGAGGCAAAATGTCCCTGTTGTTGTAATGGTGCTGGAAGGCACCATTGCATTAATGCCTACTGGGAGCCAGGAATGGCCCAAAGGGCTTTTTGAGCAGTGCATTGTTTCGCCCTTATAACAAGCCTGCAAGGTAGGAGAGATGCTTCCCACTTTGCAGATGACAAAAGCTGTGGCTCACAGAGGATGAACAAGTTTCCAGGATCACTCAGCTAACAAGAGGGTCTGTAGTTCAAGCCTAGGTCTGGAGCAAGATTTTTAGCCCTGTCTGGTTGACTCCAGTGGTCAGGGTCCTCCCAGCCATGCTCTTGATTAACTGTGGTCAAAATTCCTGATGGAGTGAGCTTCAGGCACCCAGCTTCTATGGCAGCTAGGCTGGGAAGGCACAGGTCAGTACCCAAAGTTGAGGCCTGAGAGTTGACTGTATATGACCATTACTGCCCTCACTGCTCAGCCCTGGTGGAGCTGTTGGGCCATAGGAGCTGGTGTGAGTGGGGGCAGAGGGCTGTCCCCCAGGATTAGGGCACTTTGAGTTGATATTTAAAGAAGGGTAGGGAGGTGGTTCCACACTCCCTGATCTGATTCCTACCTCCCCAAACTCCATTGGTAATTCCTGGGGCCCAGCCTACAGAGGAATGATGCTTGCTGCTTTGCAAGGAGGGAGAATAGGCCATGGCCCTGGGCTCTTCCACCAGCTCCAGGGCAGCAGAGGTAGGTAAGAAGGAGGTGCTTTGTCCAGCAGGCACCCCCATGTGCTCCTGCCAGGCCAAGGCCGAACTGTGCAGATGTTCTTTCATGAATTCTTAAGTATTCCCCTGTACAGAAAGGAAAACAAAATCTCAGAAAGCCCAAACCTCTTGCCCAGATCCTTTTGTTGTCAGGCACTGTCCCAAGGCTGGTTGTACAGCAGTAAGCAAAACAAAGTCTCCCCGCTCCTGGAGTTTGAAGTGTAGTGGGAGAGGCACCTATCAAACCAGTACAGAAAGAAACAGGTAATTCCACAATGCAAAGGACAGGAAAGACACAGGGGCTGGAACAGAATATTAGTATGGGCCTTGTAGTTAGAGCTCATGATCAGGAATTGGTGCCAGGATTTGTACCTCGTGGTGTCTGCCAGATGTCAGAGCCTCTCATTCTCCCCAATACCCTGCCCAGCCCAAGGCCACCCATACTTGTAGCCACCCACGGCCAGGCCATCAGGCTGGTGGCCACCCCAACCAAGCCCTGCCCCACAAGGAGCCAAGAAGAGAAATCATTCTGAGGCATCGATAAGTTCCCAGGGAAACCTGAGGAGATATGCATTGTGGATGAGATGTTTCTTACCTGTCACCCACATGGTGCTTGGTATCTTTCCAAGCTCATTCCCACATTTGACCTCCCTTGCCCCTCCTGACATTCCCGTGGGGGAGCCAGCAGGACAGCTTGGATGGAGTGCTTACTCCCTTAATTCCCAGAATTAATGAAGCCCGACTCTGCCCTCCAGGATCTGATCTTTCCAGCCAGGGAAACAGGCACAAGTATGGAAGCAACGAGAAATAAACCACAGCCCAGGCTCAGCCAGCATGGGCCGCTGCACTGAGGCACAGAAGTCCTTAGGTGAAGAGTGCCAACCAAGGGGCCTAGCCTGTCTGTCAGCACCATCTTCCAGGCCTGGCATTTCCCAGGCCACCTTGCTTCAGGGCCTTCCCCTCCCTGCTCACCCCCACCATCTCCACAGCACCTTTGCCTTTCTCTTCCATGCGCTGGGTTTCTGACTTAGACTTTGTTCAGACAAAAGATTCTGCTTAAAAGCAAACCATACCTCTAGTCAAATCTCACTGCTTCACAGTGCAGTGGGTGGAGGCCTGAAGATGGCAGGACTGGCCTCAGGTCCCCGGGGCTGGAGGCCAGGACAGTGAAAGTGCCTACTCTGGGCCCATGCCTCTTTGGTCGACTCCCTGGCCTTTGGCACTGTTGGCCTCGGTGCTGCAAATGTCCCTGGGAGCGGGGGCAGTGCATTACCTCACACTGTGGTCAAGGCTGAGACCCAGTAGTTCAGCTGCCCCTGCCAAGCTTAAAATCCCAAAGCCACCAAGTGATCCTCCACAGCTGCCTGTGAGCTGATGGGGCACAGAGGGGCAGCACGTCATACAGGAATGCCCAGAAAACCTATGGCCATAGCAGGACTGGACAGGCCTCTCCACCTGTGTACCTGCATTGTGCTCTCTGAGGAGAGCAGGGTCCCCTGTGGTGTCGTCAGGCGTTCATGCCTCACTTCAGAGGCCTTCCTGGGCCCTTCCATGTGTCAGGCACTGTGCTTGGCACTGGGGGCAGTGAACAAGGAATGATTTGTGTTAGGGAAGGGAAGCCCTGGCTGGGGCCTGGCCTGTTGAGGAGGCCTCCCTGAGGGATTGAGAGATAGCCAGTGTGGGCCAGGATGATTCTCACCGTAGCCTGGAGGCCAGAGACCTATGGCACCCAGGAGGAATGAAGGCCTGCAAGCAGGAGGCAGAGTGGGCGCCTAGTGGGGCAGTGAGCCTGGGCAGCAGGCAGTGGGTGACAGTACCAATCCCTGTGTGCTGCTTCTCTTTCAGAGTGCAGCTCCTTCTCTCCACCCACCACAGTGATTCTCCTTATCCTGCTGTGCTTTGAGGGCCTGCTCTTCCTCATTTTCACATCAGTGATGTTTGGGACCCAGGTGCACTCCATCTGCACAGATGAGACGGTAAGCAGGTGGCTCTGCCCACCATTTCCACACCTGGGGATGGGGAGGACCCAGGGTCAGTGTTGCTGGGAGAGCTGCTCACAGTCAGACTGGAGCCCAGTGGTCAGGCCCCTGGTGTGCAGGGCACAGTTCTTTGTTTGCAGTTACACTTGGGTCATCTTCATCCACACACAAGTCCTCCAGCCTTGGGGCAGCCATAGCAGATCACACCAGGAGTGCGGCCCAGCAGCCGTGGCTGAAAGGCTGCCTTTACCACATTTCCTTCCATCCCCCCCATGGCAGGTCTTCCTTTATACTGTACTGCATTAGACACTCCACTAGGCACTGAGGGCACCCTTCCCATCTGGGGGCCACAGGCTTGAAATAGAGTGGTTGACAGGGTGCCCTAACCCAGCTGGGACAGGCAGGTCAGCTTGCCAGCCATGCCTGGGTCCTGAGGGCAGAGTCAGGAGACAGGTCTGCCTTGAGCCCCCAGGGCAGCAGGCTTTTACCTGGCCTCTGGGTCATCTCTGTCTGGCCCAGCCCTGGTCCTCATCCGCTGCCTTCTCCTCACCCCTACCATCACCTCCCATCTACCCACAGCATCTTCGCTGGAAGCTTTGAGGCTGCTGGCTGTGCCAGACTGGGGCCTACTCCCTTGGTGCCCCTACTGCTGTCTCCTGACCTTCCTAAGGTGTCTGAAAACCTCAAGGTGGTCAATCCCTGGCTGCAATATGGGCATTTCTCTGGGGATTTACATAGGAAGAAGGGGTGGCACTTAGCTCTGGGTGTGAGGAACAAGCAGAGCCATGAGGTTGAGAGCCATCCCGGTACGATTCCTGGTGTCCTGAGGCCACCTCAGGGTCAGCTTTCACCAGTGGTCTAGGGCTCTGGGTGAAGGTTTGGGCCTCAGGGTAGTCAGCATTAGAAGCGGGCTCATAGGATGACAACATCCTCCCACTGCTGCTGGGCGCCTTCCCCTGTGGGCTTAGAGGAGGACGTGCAAAGAAAAGAAGGGACAGTGCTGCCCACTGCCAGAGCACCATTATTCGGGTCTTCCGGCAACTTTTAGAAGGTTGCGGGGCTTTTGGCAACTTTTTTTCTTTTATAAGAAATGATGTCATTGCAAAAGAGTTTCTGTAAAACTAGTAGCCAATGGTATAGATCCAGCCCTGTATCCAAGCAGTAACCGTGACCAACTTCTCTACGTAAGATATACGGGGAACCCGATGGGGATTCTTTCAGGACCAGTCTGCCATTGGGATACTGCCGGGCCACGGTCTGGGGGAGCCAGAAGGCAAGCTCTCACGGCCCCAGTCCTAGCCGTTCTTCCCTGAGAAGACCATTCCTAAAGAGAATTGTGTTGGAAGGAAAGGAGAAAGCTGGAGGGCCCTGCCCCACCTGGGAAGGGGTGTCTTCCCTTTGGCCTGTGCCCTTCCCAGGTCCCTAGGCTGTGAAGAAAGACCCAGACTCAGCTGTCCTCCCAGCACCCCTTTACTAGAGACCACAGCAGACAGACCCCTGGCCAGGCTTCTGCCAGGCTGCTCCTGTCCTTTCCCTCTGGGCAGGGGCCCCGTTCTCAAGCCCTGCCCTTTGACCAGCTCCATCTGAAGAAGAGAGAGAGGGAGGAAGCAGCTCTTTCCCCAGCCCCAGTTTTTTCCTGAGACTTAGCAGGGGAAGCAGCGCTGGCTCCGTGACAGCTGCTGCATAGGTCTGCGCCATGCTTCTCCCCAAAGGAGCCACTAGGAGGACCTTTGCCATGCCATGCTGGCTGGCCTGGCCATGCCACCCTCTAACCTGTACTAATCCCTCCTCCTTCCTCCTCTGGTGACTTCTCCCCTCATTCGTGGTCTGTCACTCCTATTCAACCTTCTCAGTTTGTGTCTCACCAGGCCCACTAAGCGGGGTGCTGCTTGATCCCCCAGGCTGGTGAGACACACAACGCCAGAGCAGTCATTTGATTTGTTACTTTTTTTTTGTCTGCAAGGTGGTCATGGTAGCTTCAAACTTCCTAGGAACCTATCCCAAATTAATGGCCATCATTGGTTATGATGATTGCGAGCTCCCCAACAGCTCTGAGGCCTCTCACGCCAAAGCCTTCATAGTACTCCATCCACAGCCCAGCACAGAGTTTCTGAAGAGTGCCTCTGCAGAGCTCAACAAGGGGCCAGGGCTGGAGAGACGCGCTCCTTATCTTAGCGACACACCCCGGCCTGGCATACTTACAAGCAGCAGTTTCTGCGCTGCTGATAGTGCTTCTTTTTCCCTCCCTTCTTGGAGGGACTTGTGAATGAGTGCCCACCAAAAAAAGGAGAAATTTTTTTAGTAACACTTTTTATGAGAAAGATATATTAGGTAGATAGCTTTGTTGCTTTAAAAAGGAAACATTTACTCCATTCACCTGTCGCTGCGGACATCCCTCCCCAGAAACCACAGCAATGCAGTGCTTGACTGAAAGTATGATTGTTCTTGTTTTCAGGGAATAGAACAATTGAAAAAGGAAGAGAGAAGATGGGCTAAAAAAACAAAATGGATGAACATGAAAGCCGTTTTTGGCCACCCCTTCTCTCTAGGCTGGGCCAGCCCCTTTGCCACGCCAGACCAAGGGAAGGCAGACCCGTACCAGTATGTGGTCTGAAGGACCCCGACCGGCATGGCCACTCAGACACAAGTCCACACCACAGCACTACCGTCCCATCCGTTCTCATGAATGTTTAAATCGAAAAAGCAAAACAACTACTCTTAAAACTTTTTTTATGTCTCAAGTAAAATGGCTGAGCATTGCAGAGAAAAAAAAAAGTCCCCACATTTTATTTTTTAAAAACCATCCTTTCGATTTCTTTTGGTGACCGAAGCTGCTCTCTTTTCCTTTTAAAATCACTTCTCTGGCCTCTGGTTTCTCTCTGCTGTCTGTCTGGCATGACTAATGTAGAGGGCGCTGTCTCGCGCTGTGCCCATTCTACTAACTGAGTGAGACATGACGCTGTGCGTGGATGGAATAGTCTGGACACCTGGTGGGGGATGCATGGGAAAGCCAGGAGGGCCCTGACCTCCCACTGCCCAGGAGGCAGTGGCGGGCTCCCCGATGGGACATAAAACCTCACCGAAGATGGATGCTTACCCCTTGAGGCCTGAGAAGGGCAGGATCAGAAGGGACCTTGGCACAGCGACCTCATCCCCCAAGTGGACACGGTTTGCCTGCTAACTCGCAAAGCAATTGCCTGCCTTGTACTTTATGGGCTTGGGGTGTGTAGAATGATTTTGCGGGGGAGTGGGGAGAAAGATGAAAGAGGTCTTATTTGTATTCTGAATCAGCAATTATATTCCCTGTGATTATTTGGAAGAGTGTGTAGGAAAGACGTTTTTCCAGTTCAAAATGCCTTATACAATCAAGAGGAAAAAAAATTACACAATTTCAGGCAAGCTACGTTTTCCTTTGTTTCATCTGCTTCCTCTCTCACCACCCCATCTCCCTCTCTTCCCCAGCAAGATGTCAATTAAGCAGTGTGAATTCTGACTGCAATAGGCACCAGTGCCCAACACATACAGCCCCACCATCATCCCCTTCTCATTTTATAAACCTCAAAGTGGATTCACTTTCTGATAGTTAACCCCCATAAATGTGCACGTACCTGTGTCTTATCTATATTTTAACCTGGGAGACTGTTGTCCTGGCATGGAGATGACCATGATGCTGGGGTTACCTCACAGTCCCCACCCTTTCAAAGTTGACATATGGCCATCCCATTGGCCAGAATCCACAGACACACCTAAGCCTGTGGCACTGGGACAGAATAGATTTTCCATTTGAGAGGCACTTCCTGTGTCAGTCTTGTTTGAAGGAGGTGGTGATGGTGGATAGAGGTGAAGGAGGTAGGGAGTGCCCTCCAAGTGCAAAAATAACAAATATGATTATTGACCATCGGGGAATTCTCACACATTGATTTGTTTTTTAAGCAATTGCCAGAAACCCCCTTTTTTAGCTTTTGCTTGGGGTGGGGGTAGGAGTTAAGGTTTATTCAATCCTGTCCTGGGTAGGGCGAAAGTTAATCTAGCCATGTGATTTTTCAGAAAAGTAAGTGGAACATGCTGCCACTTTTCAATTCTGTCAGTGCTTCCACATGGAAACAAAATGCAATAAAATTTTTCCAAAACCTGTTCTGATTTAGCTCTCTCTTGAGGTGTTACCCTTAGTGGGAGGCCGACTATCCACAATCTACTTGAGTTTTCTCTGGTTGGGTGTTTGTTTCATTGCTCTGTCTCTTGAATGAGGATACTTTATTTTTTTTGTTTTAAAATGCATTTATGGTCCCTCTCTTGAACCAGCTTGCCCCACCAGGCCTCTTTCCTTTGCTTTCTGCAGCCTGAATCAATTCCTTTGTGCTGATGGGCTCTCCTAAGAGCTTTCCTGAGTCAGTTAACTTTACCTCGTGTCTACGGTGCTATTCATGCGATACGGGCGAGGCTGAGATGCTAAGATTAAAAAGAAAAGAATGCTGTTTTAGATCAAGTTGATAGCATTTGTTTTCCATATGCTTTTTTAAAATTTTTTCATAACATACAGCTCAGTTAGGTGTATGAAAGAAGTGTTATTGTATTAAATAACTAGAGCAGGGCTACAGCTCTGGCCCTCCCCTAGGGGGAAGAGATTGGTAATACTCCATCTTCCAGGGCATTTTTTAAAGTGAGCCAGGTTAGCTCTTTTCCCCTGGCATTTCTCAGGAATGCAGTAGATAGTGCTGAAGATGCACTGACTTTTTTTTAGTCCTAAAAATAGAAACTCCTCCTTTAAAGCTGTGCATACTATGCTTATCTTTCCAATAGAGTGGGGTTCCTTCAGATATCCTATAGGATTCTGCCTCTGGTTTTGTATAGGCCTTGGCTAGAAAGAGTCAATGTTTCTGAGCTCTCAAACCAGTTGCTCTCAGAAGATAGGAATACCCCAAGGTTCCTGGCATTTTTCCTATTTCATTTTTGTTCAGACTGATATTTTGCCAAGAGCACAATGACTGAGGAATGTAGCCATCATTTGCAGGGTAGTGATTGGTTCCCAGCCTGGCTTCCACACAGGACAGGAAGGGAAAGCATCCCTGAGCTCTCCTCAGTATTTCCGGATGTAATGAAAGAGGACATCTTTCTACACAAAGTCAGCCCCAACTTTTGGCTTGGTCACAGGAGTTCTGATAGTACTGTTTGGTGCACTCATGGGAAATTGAACCAGTCGTAGCCACAGTCTTTCAGAGCCTGGGCTCTGGGGAGTGGAAGTGAAAAATAAAGATGTGGCTTGTTGGATTGTGATCCCCAGCTTGCTTTCCTTCTGTCAACTCTGTCAGGTTTGTGTTCATAGCAACTAGACTGAATATGCAAAAGGCTTAGATCCAAGCAAATCTATAATCTATGCATATTTGCATGGGCTTGGTAATATCATGTACACAAAACACATTTGGGTAGAAGTGCATGTGCTAAATCTCCTTTTAGTCCCACCATTTTGTCTTCTTCATACTGTACTTCCTCTTTTTTGTTTGAGACAAGGTCTTGCTCTGTCACCCAGGCTGGAATGCAGTGGCACAATTAGAGCTCACTGCAGCCTTGAACTCCTGGGCTCAAGTGATTCTTGTGCCTTGGCCTCCTGAATATCCAGGGCTACAGGCACGTACTACCATGCCTGGCTAATTTTTTTGTTTTTTAATAGAGTCAGGGTCTCACTGTGTTGCCCTAGCTAGTCTCAAATGCCCGGCCTCCAGCAATTTTCCTGCCTTAGCCTCCCAAAGTCCTGGGATTACAGGCGTGAGCCACTGGGCCCAGCCCTGTACTTCTTGAAAAAGCCCCAAGTATTAGCTTTTGCTCATCTGGCTAGGCCACTT
The DNA here is from genome assembly GCF_000001405.40 of Homo sapiens. Lineage (NCBI taxonomy): Eukaryota > Metazoa > Chordata > Mammalia > Primates > Hominidae > Homo > Homo sapiens. The sequence continues at coordinate 44,923,462 of NC_000003.12, read as the reverse complement.
AAATAGTTAGAATCCACCGTCCCCTAATGCAGAAACCGTTTAGGTGAGGTAAATTAACAAACATTTTAAGCCGGGCGCGGACACTTCTCACTGTGGACATCCCTCACGCCTGTAATCCCAGCACTTTGGGAGGCCGAGGCGGGCAGATCACGAGGTCAAGAGATCGAGATCATCCTGGCTAACACGGTGAAACCCTGTCTCTACTAAAAATATAAAAAAATTAGCTGGGCGTGGTGGCAGGCGTCTGTAGTCCCAGCTACTTGGGAGGCTGAGGCAGGAGAATGGCGTGAACCCGGGAAGTGGAGCTTGCAGTGAGCCAAGATCGCACCACTGCACTCCAGCCTGGGCGACAGAGTGAGACTCCGTCTCAAAAAAAAAAAACAAACATTTTAAACATGTATGTGAGGTTGGCATTACACAGAAACTCCTCTCCGGGTGGGCTGGGATGGGCTTTCTCAGCCAGGCTAATGGGTTTTAAATTTCTCTCTTTTCAAGACTTGCAGTGCATCAGCTTAAAGGGTGAGCCAGCCAGTAGAGGGGAAGGCGCCCCACCTAGAAGGTGCCCTTAGATATCAAAGAAATGTGAAAAGAGAAAGATTTTGCTAGAATCCTCCTCAAAGGTGTTCTTGAGGTTGCCAGACCAGCAACGTCAACATCAGCATCACCTGAGAACTTGTTAGAAATGCACATTCTCGGTCCCCACCCCAGGCTACCGAACCAGAAACCGAGCGGGGCCCAGCAGCCCGTGTCTTAACAGCCCTCCAGGTGATTCTGACTATCAAGTTTGAGAATCCAGTTGGGGCTAGCAGGAGTCCCCCCTCAGGTGGTCCCTGATGCCTGCTGGTGATATGGGTCTTGTGTGCTGCTGGGCTCAGCATAGTGCAGTTGGGGTGTGCTGATTGTGAGACAGGCACGTGTTCCCTCCGCGGAGAAGCCACTGAGACTGCCTTCCCTCATAAGCTGCGGCCTCCCCAACAAACAACTGCCAAGACATCAAAGAAAGTCTGTATGAAGCAGATCCAAATTATTAGCCTGCCCACCACTCCTTGTGCATCTCATCAGTGGAACCCATCTCTAGACCAAGGGCCCTTTGGGTGAAGAAGCAGCCCGGAAGGGAAAGAGAAAAGAGTAGAACCAAGGGACCTCCAGATGGGAGCGGCGGCCGGTGAGTAGTCTAGAGCCAGGGGCATTGTAGCAGCCTGGATACATGACCTGAACACGTCTTGACCTTTGCTTTCTACGTGTGGGTTTCAACACCCATGTGGCTTTTTCTTGTATTCTTTAAATATGTATCTGGCTTAGGATCACCTCATAGAAGAGAAAGAATTCACAGTGAAGCAGAAACAAGCCACTGACCAGCGTACTCCCAACCTGAACCTTCTTTTTCTCACCCTCTCCCTCAAGTAAACATCTTGCTGACTTGAGCAGTGTGATTGCCGTAGCAAAGCAGAGTGGCCCCCAGGGATCCCGCTCTGTTGGGCCCACAGGAGGAGCCGATGAAGCTGATCCAAGGAGTGAGGACAAGCGCTGCAGAGGGACGTTCGCTAAAAGCCTTCTAGGGGCCGCACATGCTCTAACACGGACATAAGGATGCCCTGAATTTCTGCAGCTGAGGCCATATAGTCTGGTGACCAAGTATTTGGGTCCTGGCTTCAGTCTTTGGTTGAAATGTCTGCTTGGCTACTTATTACCGCACCTACTACCAAAATATGACCTTGAGCAGTAACTTCTTTAAGCCTCAGTTTTTTCATCTGAAAACGGGAATGATAATCTAAATCACAAAGTTAATGGAAGGATTAAATGAGGGTGATGAATAGGAATGTATAGCGTCTGGCCCTGGTATGGCTTTATAAATGTTAGCTGTGTTGGAGCTGTGCTTTTCAAACCATTGGTCACAGCCATTCATGGTTTGCAACCAGCATGTTTTTCAAGAAAAATGTTTAATGCATTACATATTGCAGGATAAGTATTGTTTTATGAAGCTTAGGGAGTTGTGTGTATATGTGTTCTGGAATGCAACAGAAAAATGTTTCCTCTTGTGGGTTACAATATAGAGGTATGAAATCTCTGATGAGGAGAGACAGTGTTATCTGGCCCGCTATGAAGAGACACATTTGCATAGGCTGCTCCCTGAGGCTCTGGCTTTCTACATCTGATGATACAGGGAGCAGGGAACAGCCTGTTCTCGTTCTGTGGGGCTCAGCTGAGTCTGTTCTGCACAGACTCTTCCTTCCTCGGGAGCCTTAGTCCTAATACATTCATTTTGGAGTGTTGGTGAGTTTGTTCACAGATCACAGCTCATGTGTCACCCAGACTGACCTGGGCCAAAAGGCCCATCACACACCCTGCAAGAGCTTCTGGTGTCGACTATGACCCCCTTACCAGGCATCAACCATTTTTGTTCGTTCTCTTGAGCCTGAAGCTACTATTACTGCTCCTCTGCAAACCTCAAGCTTAAGAACTTTGCCTGCAGGATCCCTTTAAATCCACACAAAACTCAAAATTGAGTCCTACCAGGAAAAAGCAGCCCTCAGCCCATTTTTATACATCGGATTTGTTTGCAATATTTTCTTTCTAGACTCAAAAGTCAACACTCCCTGAAAGTTTGTCGACTTTACTGCTGAAGACCTCTGGTAGACAGGCCAGGCTCTGTCTGGAATACTTTATGAGGTTGGTGAGGAGGTTGAGTATAATCCAAGAGTGCCTATCTGGGAGCATGCCACATGAATGGCAAATAATCATCCTGTGGGCTCTTGGCTTCATTCCCCTTCTCTCTGACTGAGCTCAGCCTGGGCACAGTGGTGATTTGCAGTAGAACTGGAAACCTGTTGGGCAGAAAAAAAGACACTAGTTCTGGTTCCAGTTCTGATACATAACAAGCTAGATGAGCCTTGGCCACCGTCATGGCCTCTTGGAACTTCTGTTTCTTCCCCATCTGCCAATCATCAATACTCATACCCACCTCCTCACAAGGAGGCCATAAAAACCTATGGTCATGGCTTTGAGTCCAAGTCAGTGTGGATGCAGCCAGTCTGTCATTTTTGGGTGTTTCCTCTGTAGCCGGGTCTGCCATATGGTGATGTCCCAGCTCTCGTGCTATGAAGTTAAAGCCTCTTTCTCAACAGGCTGCAGATGATCACCCAGGAAGAGAATGCAGAATGCCCAAAGCAAACCATCTCAGCTGGTCACTGCTTCTGTGCCAAGAAGGGAGGCCTGGCGAGGGGCCAGTCAGGAAGCAGCATGGCATCACATGCTCATGACCCACATGAAGGTCCCTTTAGACTTGTGTCAACAAGATCCATTTTCTGAAACAACTATTTTTGTTCTGATTATAAAAGTAACATTGGCTCATTGGTAAAACTTGGATTGTGTGAGAAGTCTACAGAAATAAATACAAATCCTCTAGAATTCCATCCCCAAAAGTAACCACTCAGACAAATGTTCTAATGTCATGTAAAACCATATTAAACCATCTTTTCTAGCTGCATAGTGTTATAGAATCATTTGCTTAACCATCATTATTGGGCATTTCTCATTTCCAGCTTTGCATTATTATAATTCAGTGTTCAAGTTTGTATTGCATAAATCTTTGTCTCAGATTATTGATTATTTTTAAACTTTTTGTGAAATCAGACTTACAAAAATGTGACAAAAACAGTACAAAGAGTTCCCATGTACCTTTCAGTCAGTCTCACCAAAGGTAAACATTTTATACAACCATAATACAAATATAAAACCCTGGACATTGGCAACACCATACCCTTAACTAATGTATGTACCTTATTCACATTTCTCCAGTTGTCCCATTAACACCCTTTTCTGTTCCAGGATCCCACACTGCATCATTTGCGATGTCTCCTTAGTCTCCTCCAGTTTGTGACAGTTCCTCAGTCTTCCTTTGTCTTTCATGACCTTGACCCTTTTTAAAAATCGAGGTGAAATTCCTGTAACACAAAATTAGCCATTTTAAAGTGTACATTTAATGCATTCACAATGTTTTGTAACCACCAGGTCTGTCTGGTTCCAAAATCTTTTCATCAATCTTTGACCCTTTTGAAGATTGTAGGGCAGGTATTCTGTAGGCTGTCCTTCAGATTGTGTTTTTGATGTTTTTCTCATGATTAGATTGAGGTTAGGCATTTGGGGCAGGAGCACTGCTGAAGCAATGTGTCCTCGTTGCACCGTATCAGGAGGCATATGGTGTTGATACGTTTCATTATTGTGATGTTAACTTTGATCATTGGGTGAAGGTGGTACGTGCAATGTTTCTTCCCTGCTATTAAGGTACTGTTTTTCCCTTTGTAATTGATAAGTATCTTATGAGGATATACTTTTGAGATCCAATTTTTTTAACTTAGAATTTATTCAAAAGTCAAGAATCTTAAATCTCTGAAATGGCGTGGGAAGAAAAAGTGCTAGATACACAGAGATCTTTCTTGAGTCATGTGAAGGAGCAGTGCCCAAGCCCAGCAAACCCACAGCAAATTCCCTTGGCTTCCAGAAGAGATGGAGAAAGCAGTGCCCCCAGTGGAGGGTCAAAGGCCTCTGTGCAGGGTGTTGTGGGCCTGGAGAGCTGGCCTGGCCATGTCTTTACCTCCTCTGGGCATCTCCCCACCCCAACACCCTTTCTGTGGCCTGGTGGCTGAGTTGCAGCCGACACCCAGAGGCAGGTGAGTTGACAGCTTGGAAGAGGCTGCAGGGTGGATCTGCTGCATGAGCAGGCCTGAGCCCAGCCTTACCTCCCCACAGTGGTCCTGTGTGCCCTCCGGCTGCCTAATGCATGTTGGCACTTGCTGTACGAGCACCCGCTTCTTCACCTCGCATGCTGTTTGTGTCCTGCACTCCTTCCTTAACCCCATCGTCCTTCTGCTGTGTTTGCAGCCCCTATCTACCCTGGTGGGAGTGGCCAAAAATATTTAGGAGGGGATCACCAGTTTGTAGTGGCCTCAGAGGATGTGTGGTCCCCCTTATGCCTCAGCCACTCATCAGCCTAGCCCCTGCCCATCATCTGGCATTGCACTTGTGGAAGGAAAGAAGGGGAGGGCTGGGTGGTGGGTGGAGAACACGTCAGTCCACCAGGCGGGCCCTGCTTGCTGTGTTCCTCCACGCTGCTGTCCACCCACACCCCAGCAGTCCTCTGAGGGACCTCCCGGGGGTGACCTGGGCCACAACAGACTGCCCACTCAGACCCCATCTTACCCATGCCGTGGACACCCCGCCCCCCCCCCCGCCACTGCTATGCTATAGCTGGGGGTGTCTATGTGAGCTGTACAGCCCAGCACCACGCTGACGATGTTCTTCATCCCCTTCTCCCTGCAGGGCATCGAGCGCCTCAAACGAAAGAACCAGCCCAGGGAGCACATGGGGAGCTGGCAGTCAGTAAAGGAGACCTTTGGTGGGGACTTCTCCCTGAACTGGTTCAACCCCTTCTCCAGACCGTGTCAGCCAGAGATCCCCAGTGACAAAGACATGGTGCGGCAGGTGACATCGCTGTCAGACACCGAAACAATGGAGGATCCATCAGAGGAGACAAAGGACGAGGACTCTGTGGAGGTGACAGATGAATAGATGCTGCTGTGGGGAGAGAAGCAAACACTAAAAAGTGCTGTCAACCTTCATCCTGGGGTTTTGGCTAAAGGGGCTTATGGGCATGGTGCGCTCCCAGCACCCCCAGTGCTTCCCTTAGCCACTCGCTTGGCCTTGCCATTTCCCCTCCTTCTTCTCTCCATGTTGGGCCAGGTCTGGGGGTCGGGAGTAGGCTGGGGACATCAGAGGAGGATGGGGGCTTTCTCAGAGTTCATCTAAGAAGAGTCTGCACTGAGACGGCTCATCAAGAACCGTTCTCCAAGACTGGGTGGCTTTCACATTCTCCGCCCAGCAAAGGGAGCTTTTGAACAGGGCATCCCAGGGGCAGAAAAGAGCTTGCCTTTGGCTTTCCCCAGGATTTCTGTCTTCTCTTGGGAAGGCTGGGCCCCTGGCTCCTGGCTTTGAGAAGTAAGGTTGTGACAGAAGGACCGGGCAGGGCTTGCCTTGGGGACCTGGGTTGGGACACTGACATCAGGGGAGACTAGCCTGGAAAGACTGCAGAGCTGCCAGCTACTCCCTGGAAAGGGCTTCCCCATGCTGCCTGCCGAAATTAGGAGGTAGAGGTGGCTGCCACATCTACCTGCAAGGGCCAGGCATGGTTCAAAGAGGACCCTGCATTAAGCTCTACACACACATGTGCAGGACATGTCCAGCATGGACAGAGCCAGAGTTAAGACAGTAGCACCGAAAATGAGCCCCCATTCCACAGACACTGGAGTCTTCACTGAGCGAGACAGCTGGGAGCTGTCCTGCCTGTGGCTACATATCTAGCCATTCACAGATGTGGATATGGGAAGGACCTCTTTGGAGCTACTGGGGACTCCCTAACCACTCGCATGAGAACTTAATTGAATGTTACCTCTTGGAGGGAGTCTAATAACACATGTAGGTAGAACTGACCATAAACCCTGCCTGTGTGTTTGAAAAGGCCAGTTCTCCCAAATTGGTGCCCATCTTGTCTCTGAAAAGATGGGTGATGGCCAGGGTCTGCTGATTGATGAATCAGATGAATCAGGAAGATAGACAAACACACACACACACACACACACCCCACCAGGATGAGTCTGCCCTCTATTCACCCCATTTGAAGCCTGTGGTGTCTGTGACCACTGCTGAAGGTCTGAGCAGCGTTCTGGTGCTCCTAAACCCCATTCCAGTGGTTGCTGAAGCAGCATCTTCTGCACAAAGCCCAACAGAAGGGTTCTTATCCCCGTTTGGTATAAGAAGTGGATTCACCACCCACTCCCTCCACGTGCCTTTGTTCCTCTCTTTGGCCCATTTCCCCAGCGTCTACTGGCGTCAGGATTGGCAGGAGCACAGGCACTCAGCAGAGCATGCCCCTGCAAGACCTCAGTGTTAGGGCCCCCCTTCCAGCTCCAGGCAAAAGGGCATGAGTCCTGGCCCCAAGGGGCCTGTGGCTGCAGTTCAGAGGAGAAGAAGGTCAGTGTTTGGAGGTGCAGCCTCAGGATGCTGAGAAAGGAAACTGGCGACCGTGAGAAAGAAAAGAGCCAAGCAGCATCCTGGTTCTTGGACAGCATCTTTGGACACTCTGTGAAGGGCAACGATCCTGCCAGAGACCGTCTCTCTACAACTGATGACCCACTAGGGCCTGGGGTTAATTGCTCAAAGGGCCCAGTGTTCACAAAGCCACCTCTGCCCTAACCCTTGCCAGAGCTCTCCAACTATGACCCACGAGAGGGGTGATGGTGGGATTCTAACATCAACAGAGCAACCAGAAAGACATTGGGCCTCCCACACTCAGGCTGCAGGCCCACTTTCTTGGTCCTTATCAGCTTTAATATTTATTAATGACGACATAGGAGCCCGAGTCAGCTGTAAAGGCCATTAACTTGCAATCTGGACAGGAAGTTGACGCTCACCACTTTGGGTAAGAGCTGCTCTGACTGTAGGGCCCCCTATTTGTTGTCCTAACCCAGAAGCAGCTCTGGGCTGCCAGGATGGTGGATGGAATACCAGAGAGTTCACACTAGGGAGGAAGCAATGCCTGCCCCCTGGAGTCTCCTAGGGGGCAGCAGTTAGAATAAGGGAAGAGGATTTGCTGGTCACTGTTTGCTGACATGGGTTTCCATGGTGAGTTCAGGCCTGAGGACAGCAGTGTCTGCAAAACCACATGGCCCTTGAGAAATGTCCTTGCACATTGGGCTTCAAACTCCTCTTCTAGGGAATCCATCTTGGCCTGAAAGCAGAGGTACAACACCAGCCCCAAAGGCAATTCTGTTTTCAGATTGGTTGCTCTGGAAAGGAAGGCTGGGGTGAGGGGGCATTTTACTTGCACAGAGGCTGACCCTGCCTCCCCTCTTCACTGACCCCATCTCCAAGGTAGACCTCAGCCATGTCAGTCCCTGTTCTGGGAGGTGCTGGGCTGGGCCACAGCCAGGGTTATGTAGGTAATTAACCTGTCCAACCCTGAGCCTCGCCTCCCCACACCAGCAACACAGTGGTCTCTCTGTGGTGACCATTCACAGCATAACATTCTGCTTAGCCTCAGACTGAAAGCATTGCAACTGATGTCAAAACCAGATGAGATCTTACAGGGAGAGAGATTGGGTGCAATTTGCCTCTTTCTTTGAATAAAAAGCTCTTTGCTCACCCTCAGTGACTGGAGTCTCCTGTTTTAATTAAGAGATCCCAGCTCAAACCCTTGGGCAGTGTCCTTCCTTATGGGCCACCCTAAAGGCACCTCTAGGAAAGCTACTTTTCTTCCATTCCCAGTGTGGGAGACAAGTGAGTGTCATACGGCACCACACAGTGGCCGTGCCGGGCTATATCACCTCTTGGGATCGGACACTGTGCTGTGGAGTGACTGACCAAACTCTTGTTTGTGTCACCACCCTTGTGGTATTTCCAGCAGAAGGAACAGTCACCTTTCCTTCAATAAACATTTATTGAACACCTACTGTATGCCAGGGATGTGGGCAACTTGGGCAAGGGTGACCAGGATTGAGGTTTTTTTCACTTGGACAGCTGGAAAGGCAGAGGATGACAGGTATCCCACCCATGACTCTCCTGTGAATTAGACACAAAATAACCCTCATTCAAGCTACGTGCCTTTGCCAGGGTGTGTATCCAGTTGGGGTGACAGCCTTTGAGAGAGGGGTTGGATGTACTGAACAGACAATAAAGAAGCCAACTCCTCAGAGCACCTTGCCTGGGGAGATCAAAGGATTCCATGGCTCCCCAAGTGACTGCATAAACCGCCAGCACATTTAAGAAGCTTATTGGCATAAAGAAAAAAGGACTCAGGGACCACAGAGTTTTCTTGAAGTAGAGTTTAATTTAAAGCTTATTGATCATTTGAGCAAATCTCTGGAGGGCAGAACAAGAAGGAGCAGGCTTCAGTTAACAGAAGCAGCCTTGAGTTGCCAGGATAGTGGATGGAATACCAAAGAAAGAGTTCACACCAGGGAGGAAGCAATGCCTTCTCCCTGGAGTCTCCCAAGGGGCAGCTTTAGAATAAGGGAAGAGGATTTGCTGGTCACCGTTTGCTGACATGGGTCTCTATGGTGAGTTCAGGCCTGAGGACAGGGTTGTCTGCAAAACCACATGGCCCTTGAGAAATGTCCTTGCAGATTGGGCTTCAAACTGCTTGGAGCACCAGGAGAGGGACTTCCTGGATTTCAGGGATAGAGAGAGGAGAATGGAGGCAATAGGAGGAGAATGCACTTCTATCAGGCCCATCCCAGTGCTGAGAGAGCACTCCAGTTGACAGGTGCCTTCAGGGCTGGTGAACCCATGGCCTGAAGATATGGCAGCTTCTCAAGGGTCGTCAGCAGGTGGCAGCACTGGGCTGCCCATAGTCTGCTGCTCCAGGGAGAGACTCTGTGGCTTCGAAATCTATGGATTTGAATTGAGACAATGGTGGCCCTGATTTTTGAGGCCATGACTCAGGAAAGGGATGGGATTCTGTGGCCTCGGCTGGTGTTTCTAACTGTAAAAGAGGTGACCCTGTGATAGCACAGGACCTGGCCTTGTGGGTCTGGCTGCTTATGGTTGTGTTGGCCTTTTTGACCTGCTGGCTCTTGAATCTGCCCTCATATAAGTCATCAAATTTAATCATCCATAATCTGAAAGCTAAGCACAAGGTAGGAAATGCTGAAATCTCAACTAAGGCTCCACAGCATCAGACAAGGCTACTTGGTGATGAGAACAATCTTCTGAGCATTAATCTCTTTCACTTGTTTGGAACTTAACTTGACGATAAATTTCTTGGGTCCAGTTTTTATTGGGGTGCATTTTATTTGGGATTGGATGGTCTCACCAGGCTGCACCGTCCTGGAAAATTCAAAGACATACGGACATACAATCAGCCAAGGATGTTATGGGAAGAGGGAGAAGATGAGTTGGGTGAGAAGCCAGGAAACTGAGCCTTAGCTCAGCCTCTTTGAAAAGTCCTGGCCATTCCAGGGCATGGCACAGTGTACCTGCACCCTGGGTGCTGCTATCAGTTTTCTCAGATGTAAAGCAAGACGGGTGAACCAGCTGGTTTCCAGAAGCTCTTCCAACTCTGACATTTCACAAATCTTCCCTGGAGTCTTGCCTGACTTTACTACAGATGTTCTTGTTTCATGAGTATTAGCAACAGTCATCTATTACATAAAATCTAAGAGGAACATGTATTTTATGTTGAATCCACATGCAAGGAATTGGCTAGCCCCTCACTACTCAAAGTGTGTTCTGGGGCTTCGCAATACTAGCTGAGCTTGTAGGAAACACAGAATCTGAGGCTCCACCCTAAACCTGCTGAATCAGAATCTACACTGTAACAATACTCCCCAGGTAATTTGTGTGCACATTAAAATGTGATAAATCGTGGTCTAAGGAAAATAGGAGTCTACTCATTTTTACTTGGAAGATTCAGACATCCTGTAAGAAACAGACCATCAGAAACCTCTCAGAAACAAAACATTAGAGTTCAGTAAAGTTTTTTGCTGGATATATCAGCATGCCAAAAATCAATTTCCATATAGTCCAGCAAACAATTAGAAAATACAATGAAAAATATTCCATTCATAAAAGCTATAATATTGATGCATCTTGGAATTAACCCAACTAATAACGTGCAAGTGGTATATAAAGAAAACAATATAGCTTTTCTAAAGGTGATAAAAAAGACTGGAAAAAAATGGGAAAATCTCATATTCCTAGATGGCAAGACACAATATTGTCATTTGGCATAATTCTCCCCCAAATAAATAGGTAAATTCAATGCAGTATCAATCTAAATCCCAGCTGTTTTAAAATTATATGACAAGATGATTCTAAAAGTGCTATAGACAAAAATGGGGGTGGGGTGGGGATTTGCCTAATACATATCAATATGTAGATATGATAATCATATAAAATTATTATAGGACTACAATAATTTAAGTGGTATGATGTTATATTAGAAGAAGACAAATGAAATAGCAAATTAAAGAGTCCAGAGACCCAGATATATATGGGAATTGACAGCATAATAAAGGCAGTGCTACAAAGTACTAGGAAAACCACAGACAAAGTTGGAGCTCCACATCACTCCACACCCAAAAAAAATTCCAGATAAATACCTAATTGTGTAAATAAAGCTGGAAATTCTAGAAAAAGCATAAGAGAATATTTCTATGCACCTAGGATGACATGAAATTCAGTATCCGTAAAGGAAAAGATTGAAAAATTTGACTACATTAAAATTTAAAAGTTCTACTGGTGAAAGACATCTTAGTGTTTAAAAAAATACAAACTGTTCGGCCGGGCATGATGGCCCATGCCTGTAATCCCAGCACTTTGGGAGGCCAAGGCGGGCAGATCACCTGAGGTCAGGAGTTCAAGACCAGGCTGGCCAATATGGGGAAACCCCGTTTCTACTAAAAATACAAAAATTAGCCGGGTGTGGTGGCATATGCCTGTAATCCCAGCTACTCAGGAGGCCAAGGCAGGAGAATCACTTGAACCTGGGGACGGATGGAGATTGCAGTGAGCCAAGATCGTGTCACTGCACTCCAGCCTGGGCAACAAAGTGAGACTCCACCTCAAAATAAATAAGAATCAAATTTAAAAAATTGAATACAAAACTGCTATAAAAAAATTCACAGCACATAACACTCTACTGTGTAAAGACACCATACCAATATGAAAAAATAAATGACTCAGTAGAAAAATGGACAAAAGTTAGGAACAGGCAATTCACAGGAGAGAGTCAATTAATGTAAGAAATATTCAACCTCACAAATAATCAGATGCAAAGTAAAGCAATGAGATTACTTAACCACTAGATTGGCAAGAATCAAAAAGATCTGTCGGTAGAGCATAAATTGATGCAATCTTTTCTCAAAGTAATTTGGCACTAGCAAAATGTATCTACATTTTGACCCTGTGACCCCATACTGGGAATTCACTTCTCAGGAATATGCACACATGTGCAAGATATATGTCCAGAAGCATATTTCTAAGAATACCTCAGGCAGACTCACCCATGGTCAGAGGTCTGTAGTGAGGAGATGCCCAGGCTTTCCAAAGAGAACTTGACGTCAGTCAAAGGGATGGCCAGGGTATTCTTGAAGATACAATTGCAGACAAGTAGCTGGCCAATTCTGCCTGTGTTAGGCAACTGTAGTAGGGTGGGGAGGAGAGATGGGGAGAGAAGATATGCATGAGCCAACCAAGGACCCTCAGGGTTCTTAGGGGCCCCGTCACACTCCATGGCCAACTTCCAGGCAGAAGGAGCCCTTTATGGCCTGCAGGAAGCTCACCTCTATAGAGAACTCAGGGTACTGGAAAGACGTGAATACTTCAGAGGCCATGATTTCCTTAGACTCCACAATTTCCGCAATGATGAAACCTCTGATAACTGGCTCATCATCTAATATAGCCAGGCTGTTGATGTAGGTCTTGGAGTCCAAGGTCAGAGTCACTTCTGATACTGCCAAAGAGTCAGGGTGGAGGGGAGAGGTCATTCATCATACCCCCCCAGTATGAGTTCTCCTCATCAAGCACAGAATTAGATTAACTTTGTGTGAATTGAACTGGATAACTTTGGACATGTCCCATACTCTCTTTAGAAAACAAGACGTTGGGCTCAAGATGGAATAATAATTGGCCAAGTTCTCCAAGCTTACATCCTGAGTCCATGACAGACATTACCCGTTGTCATCAGGACATCCCACTTGTTCCCAACACTGTGCCTTGGGTACTCATAATCATTGATCTGACTGGGCATCTGAGATTAAAATTTCTGCCACCATAGAAGACTTCTCATGACACTTTCAGCACCCCTAATTTATAACTCTACGATAGACCCAGGCTCCTAGTCCAGTGGTCTCTTTGGCTCACTTTTCTTCTGTGGCTGGCTTTCTTGTGACTACCAAGGGGTAGGTGCTCAATAAATGTTTGTGTTAACTCACACACAAAAATTTATCAATGTATGGAAGTTGTCCACAGAGGAGAAGAGGGATTTCAGATTGTGGGACCCTGAGCCCACTTGAGGCCTCTCCTCCCTCTGGTTCTGGTACCTTGACCTTGGATCTGCGAGGTCTTATTGAGGTCACACAGTTTTGCCATCTTCTTGCCAGTGTACAACTGTAGTTCAAAGGAGCCCAAGATGTTGACATTCTGTAGGGCAGCGGTCTTCCTTTTAAGAATCACGGTGAAATTAACAGAGTTTCCCAGCAGCACATCATCTGATTGTACCGACATGTGAAGAAAGTTCTCTTTTACAGGTCGTCTGTGCTCCCTCTCAGAACTGAGAAGGAGGAAGGCATGATCCATGACCTGCCTCTCCTCAGAGGAGCCTGAAAGAGACACAAAGGCAGCTTCCTTCAGGTGCTCCTTCAAGGACCAAATGTCCCAACCACCCGTGTGGCAGAAGGAGACCATCTGCCTGGCCAGGACTCCAGAGACATCCCTGGAGCCCATGAGCTATAGATTCACACAGAGGATCATTCAAATCCCCATTCCTAAGCAATAGCACATTCTGACATCAGTGGGAATGGCAGAATAAAGACCTCCAAAAATCTGCTTCTCCATAAAAGCAATGAGAACATTGGCAAAAATTATCAAATCAACTTTTTCAGAATTCTTGAAATTAACTAAAGGCTTATAATAATCTAAGGAGCATTTATTCAAGAAAAACAGCACAATCTCAGTAAGAATAGTTTTGTGGCATTCTGATTCCCATCTCCCCTTCTTTCCAGCTCCAGAGTAGACTCAAAAACCACAGCACCAAATCACAGTGAAAACCAGCAGCCTAGCCACCTCTGGAGGGGACAGAATGGTTTTGGAGTTCCGCTAAAAGCTCCACTACCAGAGAATTGTTGTTAATTGACCTAAGGGCGATTCCCTGGAAACCCTCATTCACAGAGTTTGTCTTCATTGACCTGACTCAGAGCTCCCTCATTACCAACAGCCTTTTCCCTGGAGCATTTGTTAAGACAAACAACCTGCAGCAATTGTTTACAACTGCAGTTTCCTAAGGCAATAAGGAAAAGAAGGGAGTTGAGGGGAAAAGAAGCCGACCAAAAAGCTTAAAAGGAAAAGCTGAGGGACAAAATGTCCACGGGGGCTTTGAAAAGCTCAGACAGATTCCTGGAAATCTAGAAGGTCTGAGAAAGATCTGATAAGGCTCTCACCTCTAACTGACCTTGAGGCTCAAGCAAGAAGTGAAGGCAGAATTGTAAATTGCCTGCCAGAGCATTGAAATGTACCCTAACTTGTACACAGAGCCCCTTGCCAAAGGCTAGGAGTCTTAATGATTCAAGGAATTTAAAGCAATATCCATCTAATCATTAGCTGACCATTCAGCAAACTGAGCAGAGAATTCAGTGGTCATGGACAAGAAAGATTATAGAATTTCTGGAATTATATCAGAGAAGTTGTTAAACAAATAGCAACCACAAAAGCAACCCTGGGATGGGGGACAGGATCTGATTTCCAGAGTTGCCATATTATGTTCTTTAAAATGTCCAATTTTTAACAAAAAATTACAAGACATGCAAACAAACTATAGGCCATACATGGTGGTGTGGGGGTGGCAGGGTAGGAACATGGAAACAGTCAATAAAAACTGTCCCTAAGGAAGCCCTGACATTGAACCTACTAGACAAAGACTTTAAATTAGCTATTTTGAATATATTCAAAAAACTAAAAAAAAAGTGTGAGAACAAATGGCTTGCCAAATAGAGAATATCGAGAGAGATTAAAATTATTTTTAAAAAAGAACCAAATATAAATTCTGGAGTTGAAAAGTACAATAATAGCAGATTAGAGCTTGCAGGAAAATCAGCAAACTTGAAGACAGGTCATAAGATTATCTAGTCTGAGAGACAGAAAGGAAAAACAATGAGGAAGAGTGAACAGAGCCTCAGAGACCTGAGGGACACCATCAAGTGTAGCAGTTGACAGACACCACTGGTCTCCCTCTCTATCCTTTCCCTCCCTCCCTGATACTTCTGTCACCCTGCAAAAAAAACAAAAAACAAAAAACAAAAAAAACAAAAACAAAAAAAAACACTCCTGACCTAATTGCTTTTAATCAAGTTTGCTCATTTTCAACACAACCCTGAGGATAAGATTCTATTTCAGAGATAGCAGCTGTAAGACAGGAATTTCTGAGCTTGGTTACAAAGCTCTCCATCCACGTCCATTCTGAACACAAAGAGACTTCAAAGTGGAGAGCTCCAGTTTGTCCTGAGCTGCCTTGGTAGCCATCAATCACTTGCCTCATTTATATGGAAGAAATATTTACTGCAGGCCTACCTTGTACAAGGTTTTACACAAGCTCACAATCAACCCAGGGGTCCAAACTGACCTGCTTGTAACTATACTGCAATGGAGGGTGGGAAAAGCCCCAGCTGCATGGGTACCATCTGCCATCCCATAGCATAGCAAATTGCTCCCTCGTCTATGAGTCCTTACGATTTCCTGCCTTCCTCTTAATCACATCCCATCTTCAGTTTGCCCCTGTCTGGACTCTTGCACCCTTTGAGGATGCTATATGGAGTTGTCTTCCTTTCCTTACCACGTGGTACAGGAACCACAGCCAATGGGCCACAGGGGAAATACAAATCTGTCAGATTGAGGAACATCAAGAACAGAGGCAGCGTATGAGCCTGTGGATAGTAGAGATTGCAAAGGAGACAGTTCAGTTAGGGAAAGCATAAGCAGAGGTTTGGCCAGGGGTGAAAGTAGCCAGCATTTTCAGGTAACAGCAGGCAGCATGGCTAGGGGATGAACTTAAGCTCAGGAAGGGAGCCAGAGGCCAGCTCTGCAGGGGCCAGAAAGCCAGGCTGAGAAGATGTCTAATTTACTGGGCACTGGGGAGAACGGACAGTCTTAGCAAGGTGAATGAGCTGGTCAAACAATGCAAAGGCCTCAATTAGGATTTGTCTTTTTGTTTGTATGAGACAGGGTCTTGCTCTGTCACCCAGGCTGGAGTGCAGTGGCATGGTCATAGCTCACAGCAACCTCAACCTCCCTGGCTCAAGCAGTCCTCCCACCTTAGCCTCCTGAGTAGCTGGGACCACAGGCACATGCCACCACACCCAGCTAATTTTTTTTTTTTTTTTTTTTTTTGGTAGGGATGGGGTTTCACCATGTTGCCCAGGCCCACCCCCAATCTTGACTATTTTCATGTTCTGGGTGACTCAGGGGCTGAGTCAGAAGGAGCCCTGTGATGCTAGCACCTTCTGGATACTTGTACTCATAGGTGATATCTCTCCGCCTGTCTTGGCCCACTGCCTTGGTGCTGATGTTTTTCCCGATGCTTGTGGTCTCCATTGAAATTACGTGTAACTCCTCCTGCCCATTCACCATCTTCACCAACCAGATGAGCCTGTCACCATTCACTTCTGAGAAGACGAATCTGGTGTCATAGACAATAAAGATGTCACCTTTGCGGATGGCGGTCAGTGGTGATGGCCCACAGCAGAAGACACCTGAGGGGAAGCCAGGGGTGGTCACTCTCAGTGGGGTTCCCCAGCCCACCCAGCCTGGACCCAGTGGCAGCAATGATTCCCAAACTCAAACAGGACTGGCAAGCAAATTTTGCCCAAGAAGCATCTGGGTACTCATTTCCTAGGCCATCCTTAACTATTCTGAAAAGAGGGGCACATCTCAGCTTTGACTTGAAGAGTGTCAGGAATCCTCTGTCCCAGTAATAGGAAGTCATGCTGCCTATTAAACTCATCCCAGCACATCAGTCCCCAGTAGAGCACAGAGACACACAATCTGGGTCTGATTCCTGGCATCACACCTTGGAGCTATGTGACCTTGTGCAAGGCATTTCAGCTCTCTGTGGCTCCATTTCCTAGAAAACTGGGAATAAAAACAGCACTTACCTTCTAAGGCTATTGCGAAGATTAAATTAAATAATCCAGGCAAAGTACTTAGCCCTGTGCCTAAAACAAATGCAAGCTGTTGCTATGGATCTGGGCTAATAAGAACATTTCCATTCTAAGAGCTGTCTATTTATTTATTTATTTATTTTTCATTTTTGTTAAGAGCTGTCTTTTTATTTCTAGCATGGGGATAGAGAGTTCCCTTATTAGTCATTGACAACTTAATGAGAATTAGTCTCTTGACTGATAGTTCCTCAGTAGTAGCTTTGGTTTTTACATACCCTTGTATTCTGGGCATTGGGCTTTCTGCTTCCACTATTTTTATTTAATCCTCAACACACAGGCTCCTCTCCCTTGCCTCTTTAAGGCAGCCAAACCTGTGAATTCAGTGTATTGGAGGACTAGGACTCAGGAGAACTGGTCTCCTAATCTAATACTGGTTCTTCTCCTAACTTGTTGACTGAACCTGGGCATCCCCACCCTCCCTCTCTGGCCTTATCTATAAGGTGAGCAGGTTAGGTGGGCTTTTAAGGCCCCTTTTCTGGCCAGGGAACAGGGCTTCCTCTGCCTCTCAGGCAGATAGTGGCACTGCGCTACTCACTGCCTGGTTGCTATGGCTACTGTCCCACCTCAGCAAATGCTACTTAGACTCCCTGGATGGAAAGAGCCCTCAATACTGCCCTGCTGAGAATCTTCCTGCAGAGTATGCGGGGGTGTGGGCATATCACCTGCTCCTCCCACCTCTGGGGGCCACCTCCCACCACCCTCACCCCCTATTATAAGGGCAATGCCTTATCTTTGGAGAAATGTGGAGGCTGTTTTCACTTTTAACAGCATTTTTTTGCCTTCAGGGCCATGTGGGCTCACATTGCAGCTGGAGGAATCAGGAGTCTCACACTGATGGGTGGAGCCCGCAAAGTATGTTTAAATTGTAACCTGAATGCCTTTGGGGATCTGCATGCTCATGTCTCTAGGTCCCCATCTTCCCAAGTAGACAGCCCTGTTCACTCTCTGGCCCTGTGGGCAGATGAATTTGCTATCCTTGGGATGAGGCTCACAGCCAAACTAAGACTTATTCCTAGAAGAACCTTGAGAGACATCTACTTCAGGGGCTGCAGGAGTGAGGCAGAGATGTCAGGGAGGGGCCGGCTGGTCCCTGGGCACACTTCAGCTGGAGTAGTTCTGCTTTACATTATGAGGTGGCACACGAAGTTTCCTTCTGAGCAGTTGGACTGCTTTTTTCAAAAAAAAAAAAGTTTGAGGCTGGGTGCGGTGGTTCACACCTGTAATCCCGGCACTTTGGGAGGCCGAGACAAGCAGATCACCTGAGGTCAGGTGGTTGAGACAAGCCTGGCCAGCAGGGTGAAACCCTGTCTCTACTAAAAATACAAAAAATTAGTCAGGCATGGTGGCAGGCGCCTGTAATCCCAGCTACTCGGGAGGCTGAGGCAGGAGAATCACTTTAACCTGGGAGGCAGAGGTTGCAGTGAGCCAAGATTGCACCATTGCACTCCAGCCTGGGTAACAAGAGTGAAACTCCATCTCTAAATAAATAAATAAATAAAGGCCAGGCACAGTGGCTCATGCCTGTAATCCCAACACTTTGGGAGGCCAAGGGAGGTGGAGCACGTGAGGTCAGGAGTTTGAGACCAGCCTGACCAATATGGCAAAGTCCTGTCTCTACTAAAAATGTAAAAATTAGCCAGGCATGGTGGTGTGCACCTGTAGTCCCAGCTACTCAGGAGACTGAGACAGGAAAATTGCTTGAACCTGGGAGGCAGAGGTTGCAGTGAACCGAGATTACACCACTGCACTCCAGCCTGGGCAACAGTGAGATTCTGTCTCAAAATAAATAAACAAATAATTTTTTAAAATTTGAGAATTATTGAGCTAATCTATTTTCCCTTTACTGGGCTGACTTTGTCTTTAGTACTAGGACTCACTATTTAAAATAAAGATAACTTGATTCCACAGATTTTCCAAGTAACCTCAGACCAACCCCATGCCTCTGCTTCCCCAGCTGTACAAAGACACCCTTGTCCCCCGGCAAGGTCCTTCCAGCTACAAGGGGCCACTGTCTTACCCAGAAGTTGGTAACCCATAACCAGCTGAGATAAGCATCCCCATTATGTCTGACTTGGGCTGAATCCTGGTCCAGCCTTGTGGATCTGTGTGACCTCAGGCAACTCACTTCACCTCCCTGAGCCTCAGTTTCCTCATTTGTAAAATGACGATAATGACAACCTACTTTGAAAGGTTAGTTGTGAGTAAAATGGATCATGTAGGTACTGCGCATGGTATGCAGTAGGGAACCCTTAAGTGCCACCATCTCATTGCTCTTAACAGTACTGTCATTGGCATTATCTTCATAAAAATAGCCAGCAAACTGAAGCCCCTGCTCAGTGGGAATAGCAGGAAGGACTGAGCATGCTTTTTGTTTTGGGAAATTTTTATGAAAACTTTCCCCACCTGCTTGGCTGCATACCCAAGACCCACAGAACCCTGGGCCATGTAAGGAGAGCAGCATGGATGCCCAGCGCCTTCCTGCCACCCACTCACCCTGGCTTCGCTCCTGCGGCGTTGCGTCCACAGCCTGCCAGCCGTCGTAGCCCTTGGGCAGATCCGGTCGCTTCATCCAGGCATCCGTCCACACATGGAAATTCCTGCCGCAAATTGGGAACGGGCCCCACCCCGGACCACCCCCAAACCTAGTTAGAGATAAATACGCCAAAATTGCCAGAGACATCTTCATCACCGGGGACCCACTGAGGTTGTTCTCAGGGGTTTGGGAACCTTTGTCAACACTGGCAAGGAAGGGGCCACCGGTGAGTCCCACCTGCCTCTCAGAAAGCCTCCCAGGGCACAGAGTTGTGTGCAGGGGGCAGGGCTGGGGGAACCTCATGAGACCGTCACCCTGCCTATGGATTTCAAAGAGCCTGGGAGTCTTCACCACTAGAGATGGTGAACTCGAAGCAGAACTAAATCTTATCTGTCTTGACATCTGCAGTGTTTGAAGCATAACAGACACCTAATAAATTTTTCCTGGATGAATGGGTGAAATGCACTAGGCTGTGCAGTCACAGCCTAGTAAAAGATTACAACTGTTATTTCATTCATTCAATGAATGTATTCAATTCACTGGGATTCTGATTTGGTTGATCAGCAACTTTGTAACTGGCCAGTCTCTGAATTCTCATATTAAATCTTGCTATTTTTAAGTTGGTGCTCTTGGTTTTCTAGGTAGACAATTAACAGTCATTCCTCGGTATCCACAGGGTATTGGTTCCAGGACCCCTGAGTATACCCAAATCCATACACACTCAAGTCCTACAGTTGGCCCTGTGGAATGTGTATATAGGAAAAGCCAGATCTCAGTATAGGCAGGTTTCACCTCCCACAAATACACCTGTACTCAGTTGAAAAAATCTGCCTATGAGTGGACCTGCACAGTTCAAACCGATGCTGTTCAAGGGTCAACTGTATATCATCTACAAATAATACTGGTTAGTGCCTCCTTTCCAAAAGTTTCAAGTCTTTCTGTTTTTTCTCATCTTGGTACGTGAACTAGAACGTCTCAGCAGTATTTAAATAAAAGCTGTAAGGCTCCAACTTCAACTGAAATGCCTCGGGAATTTGTAATCATGCCCTGACCTTCCCACCTCGTCTACTCCCTCTGCAACTTCTCATTCTCCCTTTTCTATCTTGTGGTCAATTTTAGCTTGCAAGGGGCCCATGTGCTCTGGATCAGAGAACAAAGGAAATAAGCTTCATGCTGGCCAGTGGGTACTAGTTACATCAAAAGTTCTCAAACAGTGGTATATATCAGATCTCCTGGGCCAAGTGCTAACATGAACTTCAGACTCCTGGCCCTTCCCCTGTAGAGGCAAAAGCTCCAGTACAGGAATCTGCATTTTTTTTGTTTGTTTTTTGTTTTTGTTTTTGTTTTTTGAGAGGGAGTCTAGCTCTGTCACCAGGCTGGAGTGCAGTGGTGCGATCTCGGCTCACTGCAACCTCTGCCTCCCGGGTTCAAGTGATTCTCCTGCCTCAGCCTACCAAGTAGCTGGGATTACAGGCACGTGCCACTATGCCCAGCTAATTTTTGTATTTTTAGTAGAGATGGGGTTTCACCATGGCCAGGATGGTCACAATCTCCTGACCTCGTGATCCACCCACCTCAGCCTCCCAAAGTGCTGGGATTACAGGCATGTGCCACCATGCCTGGCCAAGAATCTGCATTTTTTAACAATCACCCCCAGGTGATTCCAGCACAGATTGTCCAAGGCCAAATGTTGAAAAATATTGAATTTCAGGAACAGTGAGCACTGGCCTACAACTTGAATCAGTCTCTGAGGGAGGCTGAAGGGGCCCCACAGCTCAGCAGAATCTCTGGGTTGGGAGGGCCTGGAGACTGGGCTTGGGCTAAAAAACTCCTGGGATGCCACGCATGGTGGCTTGCACCTGGAATCACAGCTACCTGGGAGGCTAAGGCAGGAGGACTGCTTGACACCAGTTCAAGACCAGCCTGGGCAAACTAGCGAGAGACCCTGTTTCTAAAAAGAAAAAAGAAAATTCCTGGGAGAAGGAGACAGGGCAGGTTGAGAAGGAGGAACCCTACCAGACAGAGTCGTGGGTCATACTGGTGATTTTCTCGCCATTCTCATTCACATAGGTGTCCACCGTGAGGTTCCTTTCTGTGTCGTGAGCTGAATCGAAGCCTGTCACACTGCGTGCTGGGATGCCCAACGCTCTCAGCACTGAAATGATCCAGGGTGGGGTGGTTGGCAACTGTGGGGGCTGGGAGTCCCTCCCTTGGGACCTCTCCCCTCAGCCCCTGGATCTGCCACTTACCTGTAGTCAGGATCCCAGCAAACACCCAGCACTGGCCAAAGCACACAGCCTGCTTCGTGTTGTAGTACTGCTGCAGGATCGGGGCACTGCCTGTCCACTTGTATGGGGCTGTGCCACCTTCGTAGTCCCCAGTCCAATTCCCAATGAGCACGCCCTGGCCTTTCTCAAAGCTCATCTGCCACACACGTAGGGGTGGGGTCAGTGTCCGCCCCTCAGAAGAACAAGGTGCTGCCAGCCCAGCTTGGCCACCCAGCCCCCAAAGTGGACACCTCATAATGTCTCAGAGTACTTGGAGGACGTGGGCTTTCCAGAACAGGTGGGGTGCCCAGAAGGGCCAAGGAGCATGCCAGCTGTTTGAGTGACCGGGGAGGATGCTCACTGCTGTATGCCTCAGTTTCCTCCCTTGTAAAATGATGATCATTACAACACCTACCTTTAGGTTGGTTTTGTTTGTTTTTTGAGAGAGGATCTTGCTCTGTAGCCCAGGCTGGAGTACAGTGGTGTGAGCTCGGCTCACTGCAGCCTCAACTTCCTGGGCTCAGGTGATCCTCCCACCTCAGCCACCCAGGTAATTGGGACTACAGGCGCACGCCACCACACTTGGTTAATTTTTGTAGTTTTTTGTAGAGGCAGGGTTTCACCATGTTGGCCAGGTTGGTTTCAAACTCCTGAGCTCAAGTAATCCAACTGTCTCAACCTCCCAAAGTGCTGGGATTACAGGTGTGAATCACTATGCCCGGTCCCTTTAGGTTGTTTTGAGGATGACCTGGGTTAAGCCTATGCCTGTTTTGGCATCTTCCGTTTTTAAATTGTCAGTGGCCTGCACCTCTCTTAACCCCTGAGGAGCCCTGGCCAGACGATCCTTTCCACCTTATTAAAACCAGAGAGAGGACAAAGCCTTGTGAGTTCACCTTTGAAAGCACTTAATGGAATCTCTAAAGAAGGTTGTACAGGCAGGTGCAGAGGAACCCTCCGAAAACATGAAAGGTGACACAGTCACAAATCTTTGATCTGGTGGTGGCCTGGCTTTGACCACATCCACCCATCCCCTCCTGGCCTGCACACTAACGTCCTTTGCAAACCTCATCATGCCTTGTGAAAAGCACAGTTACAGTGCCTCATGTTTCCCAGGATGTTAAAGATGTCCGTTTGTTTAACTAAAACCCTTATAGTATGCTACAATTTCTGAATCCTGTTTGGGAGTTTGTTCAGTTTTAATTTACAAGAAGTCTCAAACAATGGTGTGGCCTGGGCCTCCCGTGACCTCTCAGGTCCTGTGGCTGGACAAGCCTCTTCATTCATCAAAATCAGAGAGAGAGCAGAGGCCACCGCCAGACTCAAGAGTGGTCAGACGGAATGAAAACAGATGAAAGAGAGACAGGCAAAGGGTCCTAGGCAAAGCAGGAAATACCTCCCATCTTAACTGTCACCCAGCCACTGCCCTGGTCCGGCTGCTGCGTCCTCCTGCGAAATTAAGCGGCCCCAGCCTGTCAGCGCCTGCTAGACACAAGCCGTCTATAGAGCAATGTAGGGGAGGGCGGAGATAGGGAAAGAAGGGGAGTGACGCTGAGCCCAAAGGACATCAGGACTTTCAAAACTCCTGATGCACGAGGCTCTATCCCCCTGCGGAACAAAGCACATTTCTGTGCCCAGGCATGGTAGGCAGTCACCGAGATGGTCCCCAGTAATCCCCTCTCCTAGACCCAGTGACTCACTTCTAACCAACAGAATGCAGCAAAAGTGATGGCTGTCACTTCTGAAATGAGGTGACAAAGGCTGTGGCTTCCAGCCTGGGCACCCCCTCTCTTATTTGCTCACTCTGATGGAAGCTGGCTGCCATGCTATGAGCTGCCCTGACCTGAGGCTGCTCGCAGCTAGGTGAGTGAGCCTGGAAGTAGGTCCTCCCCCAGAGATCTTCAGCCAGAACATTCAGCTAAACCACACCTGGATTCCTGACCCACAGACATGGGAGATAATGGATGTTTGTTGTTTCAGCCACAGTGTCTTGGGGTAACTTATTACTTAGCAATGGATAATGAACGCACTCACTGCTGCGCCGAGGTTCCCTGCCTGGTGTGGGAGTCGTCTTTAGGCGACCCTGCCAGAAGCTCTGCCTGCTAGTCAGAAATTCACAGATCCAGGAGGCCCATGGATAGCCACGAATTTCTAAGGGTGAAGGGGCAACCTTTATAGGGAACCTGGAAAAGGGGAGGGCCTCTGAAGTGGGCTGGGGTTCTCAGACTCCCGAGCGTGGAAGCTAATCTGCAGTAACCTAATTTTGGAAGTGACTCCTGGAACACCTTGGAGTTCTGAATTGCCCATGCTTGCCTCACAGCCTGAGGAGGTGGCTGGCAGGGCACTAGGAAGGAGCACTGCACCAGGAGTCAGCACAGCTGGCTCAACCACCACTTCACTGTGCAGCCTTTGGCGAACTGCCCCTTCTCCCCCGGCTGGTTTCCTCATCACTGAAACAAGCAGCGGCTTAGCCCATTGCTTCCCAAACCCCACCACGCATAAGAATGACCTGGGAATAGGCTACTCGTGGGCCCAAAGCGTGTCAGACCCTGGGCTGGGCACTTGTTGTGTGTTATTGAGACCTCATAATCACCCAAAAGATGAGATAACAGAGGCCCAAAGAGGTTTAGAATCTTGTCCAGAGTCATGGAGCTTGAAAGGAGAAGCAGCCAGGTACGTGCCAGTCCACCTGCACCACTGAGAACTAGAGCCCCTCATGGCAAGTTCTGCCTGCTAATGACTTGGTCTCCTTTACTTGTTCTTTCTCAGCATCCAGCCTGGCCACCTGCTGGCCCCTGGGCTAGAGAATGAACATACCAGCATGGGGGTGAAGGGGAAAGAGCAGGCATGGTGGACTCCTGGGCCCCAGAGAGTCAGCGTGAGGGCCCCCGGTAATCCCATCAGCCCCTAAGGTGCAGGGGAACAGGAGCCCCAGCATTTATGAGGCATACCACGTGCAACAGACACAGGCTCACAGCCACTCTGCAAGGAGGGCATTTCAAGAGCCCCTACTTAAGATCCGTCTGTCGCAGCAGTTCAGCTCACAGACTCACCTGGAGATGAACATACGTCTGCCTGCCACCCACAGATGGCAAGAGCAGCCAGTTGGCTGAACTCAGTGGACCTTTGGAGAGTGGTCCTCACTGGCATTGGGAGATCCCTGGGAGTTCCAAGTTCTGTGATCAAAACTACTTGCATAATAATCCCAAGGTAATATTTGCCTTCTTCACTCTCATTCTCTCATAAGTGTACAAAGGATGAAAAATCGTGGTTTCAGATTCCACATTGCAACCAACTTTAAGAAACTGCCACTTACAGAGCTTCAGTATAGTATCTTCCATTATCTGAAAAGGCTATGGGAATATTCCTGCCCCCGCCCCGCTTCTTTTTTTTTTTTTTTTTTGAGACAGAGTCTCGCTCTGTCACCCAGGCTGGAGTACAGTGGTGCGATCTTGGCTCACTGCAACCTCTGCCTCTCGGGTTCAAGTGATTCTCCTGCCTCAGCCTCCCCAGTAGCTGGGACTACAGGTGTGTGCCACCACACCCAGCTAATTTTTTGTATTTTTAGTAGAGATGGGGTTTCACCATGTTAGCCAGGATGGTCTCGATCTCCTGACCTCGTGATCTGCCTGCCTCGGCCTCCCAAAGTGCTGGGATTACAGGCCTGAGCCACCACGCCCGGCCGTCCTCTGCCTTTTTAAATCTACGTATCCGTGTGAGGCCAGATGTTCATATATTCCAACTAAAACAATGAATGCAGAAGCAGATATGAAATTCCAGCTGACTTCTAGCAAGCCAGACATTAAAGAGATTTGCAAAAATGGAAAACAATGCCACTCTTCTCACTACATATTTTATGCTTCGAAAAACATAGGTTTTTAAAAATAAAAATACGTTATTTATGTTAACATGTAATGGAATTATTCTTTTAGAATAAATAGTTTTAACCTTTTCAGTTTTAATTTCTAATACAGTAAATATTGGTAAATATAAACCATATAAATACAACTTATTTGGGGTCCTTAATAATTTTTAAAAGTGCAAAGAGGTCTTGAAACCAAAATATTTGAGAACTGCCACTCTGAACAAACTGACTTCCAAGTGGCCAGGCAGAATAGAGTGACCAACCATCCTGTTTGCCCAAGACTGAGGGGTTTCCTGGAACACAGTATTCTTAGTGCTAAAACCAGAAAAGTCCCAAGTGAACTGCAACAGTTTGCTCACCCAACTGGAGCCCAGCTTGCAGGTAGAAAGAGGACCTTCTGTATTAATATCATTTTGCAGATGGGGGAAACTGAGGCTCAGACAGTTGAAGCCATTTACACCTAACGTCAGCCCATAAGTGGCAGGGCTGGAGTTCAGACTCAGGTCTGACTTGAAAGCCGGGCGCGGTGGCCCACGCCTGTAATCCCAGCACTTTGGGAGTCCGAGGCGGGTGGATCACGAGGTCAGGAGTTCAAGACCAGCCTGGCCAAGATGGTGAAACCCCGTCTCTACTAAAAATACAAAAAATTAGCCGGGCGTGGTGGCATGTGCCTGTAATCCCAGCTACTCCGGAGGCTGAGGCAGAGAATTGCTTAAAACCTGGATGGGTGGAGGTTGCAGTGAGCCAAGATCGTGCCACTGCACTCCAGCCAGGGTGACAGAATGAGACTCTGTCTCAAAAAAAAAAAAAAAAAAAAAGAAAAGAAAACCTGCGCTCAGAACAGATTTCAGCAATGTCTATTTCTTAATAGTTTTGAACAATTGATTGGCCATAGCACAGTGGTGTACTTCAAAGAGCTTACAGTTTAGATGAGGAAAAACAGAAAAAGGCTGAGCAATTGGCAAGTACAAGACAGCATCAGCCCAGGCTTTCCATACCTACCATAGCACACATGGCCCTGCACACCAGCACGGGGTCCCTCCTATCTGTGGGCTTGAGGGAGCTCTCAGTCAGCAGGGAAATGCAGCAGTCCAGGACATTTTTCTCAAACTATTTTGGGAAATGAAGAAAGAGGCAGTTAAGACTTTGCCCTGTGTCAGAAACTTAACACATACCATCTAATTTGCATGTCACAGCCACCCTGTAGCGTAACCCATCTCCCCTGCCTACAGTCTCATAAAAAAGTCCACCACAGCACTGAAAATTAGAAACCATTTAAATGTCCTGCCACAGGACAGTAGTTAAGTAAGTTTATAGAGCTCTAGCATGCAGCCACTAAAAGGAAGTATAAGAAGTTTTTAATACCATGGGGAAAATTCCTTTGTAATCAAGTCAAATAAATGAAACAGGCCGGGTGCGGTGGCTCACGCCTGTAATCCCAACACTTTGGGAGGCCGAGGCAGGTGGATCACCTGAGGTCGGATGCTCAAGACCAGCCTGACCAACATGGAGAAACCCTGTCTCTACTAAAAATACAAAATTAGCCGGGCGTGGTGGTGCATGCCTGTAATCCCAGCTACTCGGGAAGCTGAGTCAGGAGAATCGCTTGAACTCAGGAGGCGGAGGTTGCAGTGAGCCAAGATCGTGCCATTGCACTCCAGCCTGGGCAACAAGAGCAAAACTCTGTCTCAAAAAAATAATAATAATAAAAATAAATAAATAAATGAATAAATGAAACAGGCTACAAAATTG
Organism: Homo sapiens; assembly: GCF_000001405.40. NCBI lineage: Eukaryota > Metazoa > Chordata > Mammalia > Primates > Hominidae > Homo > Homo sapiens. The sequence continues at coordinate 44,896,066 of NC_000003.12, read as the reverse complement.
TGAACAAATAGCATTACAACTATGTAAGCCTTAGTAATAGATAATAGAATAAAATACACTAAAATGTTAAGTCATTATCACTGAGGGAGGAGGTTATGAATAATTTTATTTTCTTTCCACATTTCTGTGTTTCCTAAGTCTTTTGTGATAAGCACGTTACTTTTGAAATTCTATTTACTGTAAGCCACTTTATCAAGATATCATTTATATCTCATAAAATTTACCATCTAAACTGGATGATTCAATCTGTAATTATCCATAAATATCTGTATATTTACAGAGTTGAAGTACATGTGTTACTTTTGTAACCTGAGGGAAAAACTACCAAAATAAAAGGAATAGACCACAATGTTTATGTTCCAGAAGGAGTCTGGGGGAGTTTTGTGGTTACAATTCTTTGAGATTCTTTTTATTTTTATTTTATTTTTTATTTTTTTGAGAGAGGGTACAGTACAGTGGCACAATCACTGCTCACTGAAGCCTTAGCCTTCTGGACTCAAGTGATCCACCCACCTCCCTCTCCAACTGCAGTCCCCCCTCCCCACAGCTCTGCCTGGGACTATAGGCATGCATCACCATGCCCAGCTAATTTGTTTATTTTTTATAGAGACCAGGTCTCCCTATGTTGCCCAGGCTGGCCTTGAACTCCTGGCCTCAAGCCATCCTCCCACCTTGGCCTCCCAAAGTGCTGAGATTACAGGTGTGAGCCTCCATACCCAGTCACTCTTTGGGCTTCTTAAAATCACCGCTTGATTTTCTTTTTTTCTTTTTCAAGATGGAGTCTCACTCTGTCGCTCAGGCTGGAGTACAGTGGCGCCATCTCGGCTCACTGCAACCTCCGTCTCCCGGGTTCAAGTGATTCTCCTGCCTCAGCCTCCCAAGTAGCTGGGATTACAGGCACGTGCCACCACGCCTGGCTAATGTTTTGTATTTTTAGTAGAGACGGGGTTTCACTGTGTTAGCCAGGATGATCTCGATCTCCGGGCCTCATGATCTGCCTGCTTCGGCCTCCCAAAGTGCTGGGATTACAGGTGTGAGCCACCGTGCCCGGCCCACCCCTTGATTTTCTAAGAGGGGAAACTCCCTAGGATTCAGGTGATTCCTTCTTCCCTACCCCTCCTGCGGTTCGTTTGGCTGTCTCCTTGCCAGCTACTCCCTTCCATTTCATTTCCCTCTGGTCCTCATGTGTGAGGAGAGGATGCTGAGGGCCTTCTAGGAATGAGTGAGGGTGGAGAGGGCACTCGGCGCACCTTGCACAGAGCACACAGTGGGAGCCTCGCCAGCTGGGAGTCCTTCCTCCCTTGTCCCTACTTCCATCCTGTCCTAGGCGTCCAGACCCAGGGGGAGGAGGAGAAACTCAAGCAGCTGTGAAATGCCTGGCATTTCCCAGGAGTTTTTTGTTGTCAAATCTTGGGGGAGGGGAGGTGGGAAGCATCTGGTGTCTGGCATCCTCACACCCCAGCTTCTCTGCCTCATGGCTGCACGAAGGCATTGGCCCTCCACTCAGCAGAGGCCTCCACACAAGTCTCTAAAAAACTCTCCCTCTTCTTTAGAGCTCTTTGTCAAGGCCAACATTCTAATTGTAACAGTGCTTCCTTGTAACAGTGCTTCCTTGTAACAGTGCTTGGTTCTTTGGTAAATACACTGGGAGGTAGGGGGTGGGAGAGAGCTGTTTGGCATGAGAGAGAGCCATGGGGGTGGGAGAGAGCCGTGGCGGGGTGGGGGGTATGGGAGATAGCCATGGGGGGTGGGAGAGAGCTGTGGCGGGGGTGGGTGGGGGAGAGAGCCGTTGGGGTTGGGAGAGAGCCATGGGGGGTGGAAGAGAGCCATGGGGGGTGGGAGAGAGCCATGGGGGGTGGGAGAGAGCCATGGGGGGTGGGAGAGAGCCATGGGGGATGGGAGAGAGCCGTGGTGGGGGTGGGTGGGGGAGAGAGCTGTTGGGGTTGGGAGAGAGCCGTGGGGGGTGGAAGAGAGCCATGGGAGGTGGGAGAGGGCCAAGGGGGGTGGAAGAGAGCCATGGTGGGGAGAGAGTCAAGGGGGGTGGGAGAGAGCCGTGGGGGGTGGGAGAGAGCCGAGGGGGGTGGGAGAGAGCCATGGGGGGTAGGAGAGAGCTGTGGGGGGTGGGAGAGAGCCGTGGGGTGGATGGGAAAGGCCATGGGTGACCTTTGTGGAAGGGCTTCTGCCCAGGACTCCACCCCATCTGTGCAGCCTAGGCAGGTCACCCCTCTATGGCCAAGTTTTACATGTATGAGGCTGGCGTTTGACCCGAGGTTCACAACCCTTTCTCCAGAACCTTTACTGACTACTACCCAGCTAAAAGGGTGGTCTAGCAGATGGGGCCTGGTGCAGCCACAAGACGACAAATCATTACCTGACCAAAGTTCCAGGGTTTGCATTTGATACTTCTGGCAGCCCCCACGTAATGGCAGCCCGTGTCATTGAGGATGTACTCTTTGCGCTCGTCCTCATCAGGCATGAAAACCATGTCCTCTGAAGCAAGACCACACATCCACAGAGGTTATATTCTGCCCTGGGACAGGAGCAGGCTTGCCAATGGGGACTGTCTGTGCTGGGGGAGATTCAAGGTCTTTGTGAGGGGCTTGGAACACCCAATGTTGGGGGAGGGAGGTAAGCGGGAGGGAAAGTATCCAAAAGAACTTCCCGAGCCAGCTGTAGGGGACTTCCCCTGGGAAAATCTGGAGCAATTTAAGCATGAGTTAAGAAAAGGATGAATCATAAACCACTGAAAAGAAAGAGAGAGTCCATGAGTCCATACAGATGGAAGAGAGAGGTAGATGGGAGTGAAGGGAGGACTCTGCCTACAGGAAATGCCAGGGGCTAGCAGGTAAACATGGTGGAGAGCTGGCCTTGGAAAATCACTGTGCAACCATCACAGTGAAGAATGGTTGAAGCAAGAACCATCAGTGGATGCTAAATCTAGGGGTGGAGAATTTTAATAAGGATCAGGATGTTTGGATGGTCTTAAAATGTGTCCACATAGACTACTCGTTAAAAAGAAAAAGATAGTAATTATATAGCAGAAAAACTGGACAACACCTTGACCAAATGATCACATTTAACATTCCCAATGAGGGGCAGGCAGTGCCTCCAGATATGATTTTCCAAGAAGGACATGTCGTTTACATAATATCCAGCAAGGACTGCGTAACCTGAATCTAAAGATGATGAATCATCAGACAGACCCAAATGATGAATGATCTGTTAAAAAAGGGGACTTCTAGTCCTCAAAAATATGTCAAAAAAGACAAAGAAAGATAAAGAAATTGTTCCAGATTAAAGGAGGTAAACATAACTACATGCAAAATGTGACTCTAGATTGGATCCTGTACTGGAGGGAAAACAATGCTATAAAGTACATGATAAAATCAAGTGACCGGCTGGGTGCGGTGCCTCATGCCTATAATCCCAGCACTTTGGGAGGCCAAGCCAGGTAGATCACCTGAGGTCAGGAGTTCGAGACCAGCCTGACCAACATGGCGAAACCCTGTCTCTACTAAAAATACAAAAATTAGCTGGGTGTGGTGGCATGTGCCTGTAATCCCAGCTACTTGGGAGGCTGAGGCAGAAGAATTGCTTGAACCCAGGAGGCAGAGGCTGCAGCGAGCCAAGATCGCACCATTGCGCCATTGCACTCCAGCCTGGGCGACAAGAGTGAAACTCCGTCTCAAAAAAAAAAAAAAAAATTAAAAAAAAAGTGACCAAACTGGAATATAGATAGTAGATGAAAGTGTTATGCTAACACTTATTTTTTTAATTATTTATTTTTATTTATTTATTTATTTATTTTTGAGACAGAGTCTCGCTCTGTCACCCAGGCTGGAGTGCAGTGGCGTGATCTCAGCTCACTACAACCTCCACCTCCCAGGTTCAAGCGATTCTCCTGCCTCAGCCTCCCAAGTAGCTGGGATTACAGGTGCATGCCACCAGGCCCAGCTAATTTTTTGTATTTTTAGTAGAAACAGGGTTTCACCATGTTATCCAGGATGGTCTTGATCTCCTGACCCTGTGTTCCGCCTGCCTTGGCCTCCCAAAGTGCTGGGATTACAGGCATGAGCCACCGCGCCTGGCCTATTTTTTTTTTTCCTTTTTTGAGACAGAGCTGGAGTGCAGTGGTGCAATCTCGGCTCACTGCAAGTTCTGCCTCCCGGGTTCACGCCATTCTCCTGTCTCAGCCTCCCTAGTAGCTGAGAATATAGGCGCCCGCCACCATGCCCGGCTAATTTTTTTGTATTTTTAGTAGAGATGGGGTTTCACCGTGTTAGCCAGGATGGTCTCGATCTCCCAACCTCGTGATGCGCCCACCTCGGCCTCCCAAAGTGCTGTGATTACAGGCGTGAGCCACCACGCCTGGCTGCTAACACTTAATTTACTGAAGTTGATAACTGTACTGTGGTTATATGAGAGAATATCCCTGTTCTTAGGGAATACACATTGAAGGGTTTAGGGGTTGTAAAGAACCAACTTATATGTAACTTACTCTCAAATGGTTCAAAAATAAAAAGCTTGTGTGTGTGTGTGTGTGTGTGTGTGTGTAGAGGAGGGAGGGAGGGAAAATGATTAAGCAAATGGAGCAAAATGTTAACAACAGGTGAGCCTGGATGATAAAGGGTATAGGTTGTTCATTACATCATTTTTGCCACTTTTCTGTGAGCTCAAAATCATTTCCAAATACAAGTTAAAAAAAAAGAGCTCCTTGGCTTCTAGCATGGGTACCTGATGGCTTTTGACTTCAAGAAGGCCCCAGGAGAGAGGGCAGGTGTGGAAAGGGTTGACATAGAATGTGCCGCATTTGAGGCTGCAAGAAGATGTCCAGCACCCTCTGGAGAGAAGCCAGTGCTGGTAATGGCAGAAGTAGCCTCAAGCACCATTTACATAAAGGCTCCAGTGTAGCCACAGGAAGAAATGAGGTGGGTACATGAGGAAGTGGAGAGAAGAGAACAGAACTAAGGGAGCAGAAGGGAGGAACCAACCACAATTCAGGCCCTGACCTGGAGCTGGCAAGGAAGAAGTCCTTGGTGGCCCCTCCCCACCCCCACGAAGGCAGCCTCTGTACAGTGGTGGAGGCAGAAGCCAGCTGGGGCAGGGCGAGGCACTGGGGAGAAGTGGAAACAGGGAATAAGGACCTCCATTCTAAGGGGCCTGGTCACAAAGAAAACGCTCCATTGGTGTCTGTGATCTGTTCCTGGGTCACATCCCTTAAACTAGTTTGCAAGTACCTTGAGAGCAAACAAAAGCTCATAGACTATGCATTGCACATAGCAGGTTTTGCCGGGGTCACCTGCCATTCCCCAGCAGACCTGAGATTCACAGTACCTTTACACCATGGGTTGAAGAGAAGGTATAGGATGTTTTCTTCAGACTTAAGGATGTGGTTTCCAGTTTTCACGTTTAGTTGGTACTTGCCCAGGATGGCATTGGGGGAACTGGTGACAGCCACTGTGACCTGAGCAAACCATAAGATAAGGTGGACATCTCCCCCTCTGGCCAGATCCCAAATCTTACAAATGCTTCCCAGAAGAATCCGTCAGTCCTAACAACTCATCCCATCTGGAACCAGCCTGGAGACAAGGAATGGTCAGGACCCTGGACAGCCAGGAGCGCCCCTGCAAGGGCAGGATGCATGAGACAGAAAAGCAGCTCCATACAGCATGAAGTTTTGGCACGTCTTGCAAGGGCCCTGGAGAGACTGGGCATTTTCACCTCCCTGAGATTCACTCCCTTCACCACTTGCTTCACCACAGCCTGGAGGTGATACCATCTCCAGGTTGTTGGGAAGATGCTGTGGATAAAGTACGCATAAGGTGCTGACATGGCTGGCTCTGTGTCCCCACTCGAATCTCGTCTCGTATTGTAATCCCCATAATCCCCACATGTTGAGTGAGGGACCTGGTGGGAGGTGATTGAATCATGGGGGCAGTTTCCCCCATGCTGTTCTCATGATAGTCAGTGAGTGCTCATGAGCTCTGATGGTTTTATAAGGCAGTTTCCCCTGCTCTTTCTCGCTCTCTCTCACCTGCTACCATGTAAAATGTGCCTACTTCCTCTTCTGCCATGATTGTAAGTTTCCTGAGGTGTCCCCAGCCATGTGGAACTGTGAGTCAATTAAACTTCTTTCCTTTATAAATTACCCAGTCTCAGGTATTCTTTAGAGTAGTAGAGTAGTACAAGAATGGACTAATACAGGTGCCTAGCCCAGTGTCTGGAACTTCAGGGGAAAGGTTAAATGTCAGCTGTCTTTTGGAGCAAAAAAAAACACCTTTCTCTTGGAATACAGGCAGCCAGAGTCCCAGAAGGCCATTGGTCCAAGGGCGTCCAGGCCTCTATCCAGCCTTTTAGGATAAATAATAGCTGGAGAGATAATTAGGATACATCAATATTGCTGTAGCCACAATGGTACCAAGAATAATAATTCTCATCCTTGTCACAATACACTTCCATTTGTGGTCCAAGGTCCTCCCATGAGATGCTTATTATTATAACTCATAGGAGCAATAGGCTCTCAGTTCAAATCCCAGCTCTACTCTTCCCCCTTTTTTTTGAGACAGAGTCCTTCTCTCTCACCCAGGCTGGAGTGCAACTGGCTTCTAGCATGGGCATCTGATGGCTTTTGACTTCAGGAAGGCCCCAGGAGAAAGGGCAGGTGTGGAAAAGGGTTGACATAGGATGTGCCACATTTGAGGCTGCAAGATGTCCAGCACCCTCTGGAGAGAAGCTGGTGCTGGCGATGGCAGAAGTAGCCTTGAGTGCCATTGCAGCATTGAACTCCTGGGGTCAAGTGATTCTCCCACCTAAGCCTCCCAACTAGCTGGAACTACACGTGCCCACCATCACTCCTGGCTAATTTTTTTTTTTTTTTTTTTTTTTTTTTTTTTTTTAGTAGAGATGGGGTAGCCCTGTGTTGCCCAGGCTGGCCAGCTCTACCTCTTACTGGCTGTATGACCTTGGCTGATTACTTAACCTCTCCTGTGCCTCAGTTTTCTTGTTTAAAAGTTTGGAATGATAACAGGCCCCCTTCTTTGTGGGAGCATTGTGAAAATTAAATGAGCTAATAAATATAAATGTTTAATTGTCATTATTTTGCTGGTGGGGAAACTGAGGTTCACAGAGGTAGCCCAAGAGGTGGAGCTGGGATCAAACTCACTGTGCTACAACTCCAGAATCCACAAGGCTAACTCCCCATACCCCTCTTGTGGCAAGAGGGAGGAGGTTGTGCCCTCACTGTTCATTACAATGGAGCTCAGGAGAACCAGCCTTCCAGGGTGCAGGAAATGGCCTCCACCTTGATCTGGCTGGTGGTCCCACAGCTGTATTCATATGTAAAAATTCATTGTGCAAACCATTAAGATTTGTGTCCTTTATGTGTGTTATATGTCAATTAAAAAAAATTAAAAATAACACTTTTTGAGTAAAGAAATGCAGCTCCTGCCCACAACCCATGCCCACCTCAGGAGAGATTTTCATGATACCCTGAAAAACACTCAGATGCAAAATTGGGGTTGAGAGTCTGGGATCTGGATGGGAGGGAGAGGAAGGAAGAGGCCGGGGCACTAGCGAGGATTCCAGCAGCAGCTGGCCCATTCATCTCATTTCCACCAGCAGATTCTGCTTCCACAAAAACCCAATGTAGTTGCCATTTTTAAATCATGGCATTAGCTTAGCATTAAACTTCTAGGAATTTAGCCCAAGGAAATATCCATAAACCAGTCCAAAGATCTGGCCGAGACATGGTTCTTTACAACACTGGAAGATTGGAGACAACTGTGAACACCCAGTGCTCCCAAAAAGGGTGGAAAACCAGCCACCGTAAGCCACACACTCGGGCAGAAGCCACTGTGGAAAACATCCATTAGGTCTTGTCAAGTGAGTGAAGCATGAGATGGACCCCCATTTTGTATTTGACCATGACACAGAAAAAGCCTGGAAGGAAGGATGGGTAACTTAGTTGGTGGAACCATGGGTTATTTTTATGTACTTCTCTCCGCTCATGTCCTCCAGTGAACATTGTTCCCTTTGAAATGGAAAGGGGAAGGGTGACATGTAGGAGGTTTGGCCACAGCGATACTGTGTGCTTGGAGGAGGCTGAGTGGGGAAACAGACATTTGGAGCCATGGCCCCTCTATCATGCTGTGCTGTGGATGGCTTTAAACCATGTTACCAGCTGACAGGTGAGGAAGGGGATAGGGGCTGCTCACATTAGGAGCATTCCGCCAGAAGCCAGCCAGCCCACCCGCCAGCCCAGTGGGTGCTCACCTCTTTGCCAGACTCATTTTGAAGGGTTGCCTGCCAGTTGTAGTGGTCTGAGGGCGTCCTCGGGTCGAGCACCACCAGGGTGTGTTTGGCGATGCTAGGATTCGGCCCTGGAGACACCCAAAGGAAAACATTGGCCCAGCCATGGGCCACCCCCAAGACAATCTCCTCTGGTTCGGGCCCACCTACTGCCCACTCATGGAGCCCCCACCCCTCCTTTCCAGGCTCATTTGTCCCCTGGCTCCAGCCCCTCTAATTCTGCAGGGGCCTCCTTCTGCCCCACATGTCCAGTTTTAGTTTTCTGTTCAATTTAGATGAGCTTCCTGCCTCCTCTCCACGTCCTCCCTTTTTACCCATCAGATCCAGGTCTCCCTAGAGCTCCTGCCTCTGTCACATGCTCATTCGAGTTACCATTTGTTTAACCCTGCTGGCTCGTGCCACAGACCAACATGCTTGTTCACTCCACGCAATGCAGGGGAACTGCTTAACCTTCACTCCTCGTCTGGAGGAGGCAGATGCCACCGCCTACCCTGCAAGCTGTTGCAGGATCTTGTTTGAAAGGTCGGTCAGTTTATGTCATGAGCTCCAGGGACTACTAGAATCAAATCCAACCTCTTTCCATAGCCCACAGGTGGCCCTCAGTGAGGCTTCTCCCCAGCTCCCCACTTTCCTCCCTGTCATGACTGGGTTTCTGGTCCCCAGAGAGTTAGCTCATGACAAAGAGCATGTGACACAAGTGTTGTCTCCTCAGGGCCCTGGCACTTGCCGTGCTCATGGCTGGGAACACCCTGCTCTCAGCTCTTCACATGGTGGGACGTGGGTCTCAGCAGGGTCACTTCCCAGGGAAGCCCTTCCAACCCTGACAGAGTCAGCACCGACAGAGTCAGCCCCGCCCTGACCTGCTGCTTTCTGTCTTGCTGGAGGAGCCTCTTGTTTTTGGTTTCTTCATCATATCTGGCCCTGTCTGAAATTATCTTGCACTTTTGTTTGTTTACTGCTCTCTCTGCTAGTACAGTCAAGTCTAGGAGGCAGGAACTGCTTTACCTCTGGGTTCCCTGGCACAGAGTAGGTACTCAACAAATATTTGTTGAGTGAGTGATTCACACTATGTCATACATGGAGAGTGCTCAGTGCAACACCTGGCATGTGGCAAGTACTCAGGAAATTTTGGGTGAGGGAATGCACATGGACCCAGGGGTACTATAAAGTCACTGAAGTCAGCAACAGCACGGTCCCAGTCCATGCGTTGAGCAGGTAGCTCATGGCATGGCACACAGTAGGTGCTTATTTCATCTTGGATGAAGGGAATGGAGGCTGTTCTGACTGATCTCCACCAGCACGTTGGAGGAGACCCTAAGCCTGTTGTTCACTCAGAGAAGGAGCAAAAGGAGCGCTCTCCCAGGAAGTGCTATTGTATGCCATCTTGTAAAGTAGATCTACCTGATCTAATTTTTTTTTGAGACGGAGTTTCACTCTTGTCGCCAGGATGAAGTGCAATGACACTATCTTGCCTCCCTGCAACCTCCACCTCCCAGGTTCAAGCAATTCTACCTCAGCCTCCCGAATAGCTGGGATTACAGGCACCTGCCACTATGCCCAGCTAATTTTTGTATTTTTAGTAGAGACAGGGTTTCACCATGTTGGCCAGGTTGATCTCGAACTCCTGACCTCAGGTGATCTGCCTGCCTCGGCCTCCCAAAATGCTGGGATTACAGGCATGAGCTGCCATGCCCAGCTTACTTGATCTATTTTTAAAACTTAAAAACAACATTAAAGAAGTAAGACCCTCCTCCATTATCCCACCACCTGTCACAAAATCTAATACATTTTCTCTCTTCCCCTAGTTGTACTTATGCACATATATTTACCTAGCTATAACAAATGCATGAGCCATTTCCTATTATCTTTGCAACCAAAATATGATATTTTAATCATTATTATTGGCTTGCCTCCAGCCCACCCCGCTATGGCATCAGCATACCTCAGTCCTATGATTCATCTCTACAAAATGTTCCAGACCCCACCACGGCAGATGCCCGCTGAGTCACCTCCTCTCTCTGCTCTGGCCCCTCCCCTGCTTAGCCAAGGAATCAGAGCCTCACTATGTGCCAGGTCCTGACTGAGCTTCCCATTCTATTCTCTTCACACCCGCTATTATTCCCACATTACAGATGGAGAAACTGGGGATCAGGGAGGGTAAGGCACTCCTGGCTCAGACTGACCAGAAAGGGCCACTCCAGCATCCACAGACACTTGTGATCCCTCCCCAAAGCCCCATGAGTAGGGCCCCGAGGCTTCACCTGTGCTGAATTCCAGTTTCAGTTGGTGGTAGGATTGTAGGGGCTGGTTCAGCACCAGCCGCAGGTGAAACACCTGTCCTCGCCGGAACACAGGACTGCTCGTTTGGAACTCCCATGTGTGGTGAGAAACGGCGTTGTCCTGATTCAAGAAGTCAATGTGGAGAACTTGCAGCTCTGTCAGCAACGCAGCACATGTGGAAAGAGAGCACAGAGAATGTTTATTCCCTGATCACCTCTTTCTGGGTTCAAAATCTGAGAGTGCATTGAGGTGGAGCTGGGCTTTAGAGTCGGGCATCCCTGCTCCACCTCCAGCTGGTTATGAATCTGTCTGAGACTCAGTTTCTTCACCTGTAAGACTGGTGTGCACATACCTACCTTGTGGGATTACATGGGGATGAGCTGAGAGCAGTGGACTCAAGTGCTTAGTCATGTAACCCCGCAAAATAGGTAAGTGCACGCCCATCTTACAGGTGAGGAAACTGAGTTTCAAACAGGGTGAGTCTGTGAGTGGCTGTTAGGCAAGTTTCCCACCCCAACTCCCCCTCTCTGCAGACATGGCCTCAGGAACAAACCTGGTGCCAGGGTGTTCTCCGTCAATCAACACAAAAGCTGAAGGGAAAGAGGGGAGCGGGCAAACTGAGGAGGGAACAGATGAGCCCTGGGATTGCTCCCCTTCCTGTTCAGCCCAGACTCCCATCAGCTTCAAGTCAGACACCATCCTGAGGTGAGAGTTCACATCCTGAAGAGAAGGGTGGGGTGCAAAGTGGCTGGGGTGAAGCCTTTTTATCCAAATTGAGGAGGAAGCACCAAGGAGCTCCCATGATCTGAGGCCAAGACTACTTGCATTATAAATGGGATTTTTAAGGCCAGGTGCAGTGGTTCACGCCTCTAATCCCAGCACTTTGGGAGGCTGTGGGGGCGGCGCATCACCTGAGATCAGGAGCCGAGATCAAGCCACTGCACTCCAGAATGGGTGACAGAGTGAGACTCCATCCCCCCCAAAAAAAACAGGGGATTTTTTTCTTCAATGCTAAAGTGAAAAGTACATTCAGTAAAAGAAATAATCTCCACATGCATAATACACCCTTTTCTGTAGCACATGTATTTCTCACCATGTGTCTGTTATAATGACATTTCGTATTACCTCAGCTTGAGACCCAAACCCCTCCCCTTTATCTAAAATTCAAACCATTCCCAGGCTCATGAGTCATGAAGGGAAATGTGTTTTGGCTGCATGCTGAAACCACCTGGGGGTTGTAAAACTACTTATGTTCTCCCCCAGCGATTCTGATACAATTGTTCTGAGTGGGGCTGAGCCTCTATGTTTTCAAAGCTTTCCAGGCAATTCGAGTGTGCAGAGGGCATGGTAAAACACAGACTGCCAGACCCACCCTGAGTTTCTGATTCAGCACATCTGGGGTGTGGCTGAGAATTTGCCTCTCCAGCAGCTTCCTTGATGACGCTGTGCTGCTGGCCCAGGGAGGCACATATGGAGAACCCCTAGATTAGGAAGCCCCGCTGTGGCCTGTGAGGTAAAGTGAGGTGAGATGCAGGGACCTTCCTCTGCTCCTGAGGGCTCACCCACAGAGGAAACCCATCCTCTGCAGAGATCAAGGAGGCCAGCCATGGAAACTGGGCTTTCATGACTACAAAATAGGTGGAGTGGTCACGCCCACATCAGATGCCTACCTTGGGGATGCGGCCAGTGATGTGTTTGGAGACAGCACAGCTCATTCTTGCTGGAGTGGCTTTGGGATTGGGGTCTGGACAAGTGTTCTCCAGGAAGGCAAGTCCCAGCAAGTGGCCTTCCCTTCACACTGCGCACAGGGCCTGGGAACCTGCTGCCTCCAGCAGGGAGGCCCACCTGGCAGACAGACCTACCTTCCCAGGTGCTTCCCCTTCTTGGGCTGAAACCTTGGGGTGGGCCGATGGCTAGCTGGAGCATCTTAGCCCATTTGTGCCACTGTTATGGAATACCTGAGACTGGGTCATTTAGAAAGAATAGAAATTTATTTCTCACAGTTCTGGAGGCTGGGAAGTCCAAGATCAAGGCACTAGCATCTGGTGAGGGCCTCTTGCTGCATTGTAACATAGCAGAAGGCAGAGGGCGAGAGAGGACCAACTCCCTCCTTCAGGTCCCTTTAGAGGGGCACCTCATCTCATTCACAGGGAAGAAGCCCTTATCACCTAATCAACTCTTAAAGGCCCCACCTCTTAGTATCACCACATTGGCAACCCCTGAATTTTAGGGGGAGACATATTCAAACCATAGCATGCTGTCAGGAGCTGCAATCCTGAAAGGCTTCTTCATTTCCCTGGACAGCAGAGCTCCTGCTGTGGGACCCAGAGCCAATCGCAAAGCAATCACAGCTGGAAAAGGGCTTTAACAGTCCCTCCCATGTTCTGACTTATTCCTGCTCCCCCATGGACTGGGCAGGTGGGTGACCTGGGTTCCCAAGGGGTAAAGGTATAGGTTTTGGTACCAGGAAGCAGGAAAGAGCAGTTAAGAAATCCAAATCCTAAATGCAGTCATCTCTGTGGAAGCTTCTTAAGACCTTATCTCCCTGGAATGGTAAACATAGTCCCTCCCTTGGTGGCTAGTGTGCACATTGAGTGCCTGGCACATGCCTGGCACACAGTAGGCACTCGACAAAATGCAGGCCATCATTAATGTTAGGCAGATGGGCATATAGTGGGTTGAATGGTGGTCCCACAGAAGATATCTCCACCTGGAGCCTATGAATGTGACCTTATAGAAATAGGGGATTTTCAGGTGTGATTAAGGATCTTGTGATTATATTATCCTGGATTATCCAGGTAGGACCTAAATCCAAGAATAAGTGTCCTTATAAGAGACATGGAAAGGCAAGGGGAGGGTCATGTGAAGATGGAGGCAGAGACTGGAGTTACACAGCTGCAAGCCACAGAACACCTGGAGCCACCAGAAACCAAGAAAGACAAGGGAAGATTCTCCACTGGAGGCTTCTGCAAGAGCAGGACCCTGCGGACATTTTGATTTTGGATGTCTATCTTCCAGAACGAGAGAATAATAAATTGCTGTTGTTTTAAGCAGCCTCATTTGTGGTCATTTGAATGCCCTAAGAAACCAACATACAGCACATAACAGATGGCCAGTACTGGAGCCTCCTCCCTCACCCTCTCCTGGGCACTGCTCTGTGACCTGAGCACTGCTTAAGGCAGATCTGGGAGGCTGGAGGAATCCTGGAACTACAGGAAGCCACACTGGGGCTGTCTTTAAAAAAATGCCTTTGGAGTCACATACCTGTAATCCCGGTTACTCGGGAGACTGAGGTGGGAGAATCACTTGAGCCCAGGAGTTTGAGGCTGCAGTGAGCTATGATTGCAGCTGTGAATAGCCACAACACGCCAGCCTGGGCAACAAAGTGAGACCTCAACTCTAAAAAAAAAAAAAAAAAAAAAGCGTTTGTATTTTTATTTTGTAGCTATTGCACTTGGATAGATGGTCAAAATTGATATACCAGTTTAATGCTTGCAGTGTCATAAATGCAAGATGACCAGGGAAACCTGCAAAGAAAAAGTGTCAGTGGAATACAATGTCCTTGTTTCTTGCCACCAATGTGTGGGTTGGAGTTTAAATTATTTGAGTATTAAAAAACAAAAGTCTCTGCAATGGATAATTTTTGCTATAACTTTTGCCTATGAAGCCTCTGGAAAAAAGGAGACAACATAAAAGACAAGCAATCTCCAGATGGCGATATACTTTTGGAGTTTTAAAAAGCAAAGTTGCTTTTAAACTAAAATTAGCATTAGTTGCTAATGAGCTCTTGTGAAATTGTCAGCCTTAGAAGCTTATGATTTTCCAGTCTGTATGTATATTTTTGAGTGGGTCAAGTGGGACTCTTGAAATGACAAGAAAAAACGCACTTAAGAGGATCTTGGTGACTTTATAAGAAGAGGAAGACCTGAGCTTACCATGTGATGCCCAGCACCACCTTGGGACTCCTCAGGGAGTCCTCGCTAGGAAGAAGGCCCTCACCAGATGCAGCTCCTCGACCTTGGAGTCTCAGCCTCCATAACTGTAATAAATGAATTTCTTTTCTTTATAAATTACCTGAGTTTTAGGTATTCTTTTATAAGCAACAGAAAATAAACTAATACAATTTCCTTCTCCTTCCTTCTGGTAAGGCAGTTTGATTATTAAATACAGCTTTCCCCAGAAAGGGACTGACCTTTTCTAGGCTGCTCAATGAATAAATGATCAGGACAAAAAATAGTGAGAGGTTATTTAAGATTACTTTGATTTTTTTTTTTTTAATACAGGGCCTTGCTCTGTCACCCAGGCTGGAGTGCCGTGGTGTGAACACGGCTCACTGCAGCCACAACCTCCTGAGCTCAAGGGATCCTCCCACTTCAGCCTCCAGAGTAGCTGGGACTACAGGTGTGCACCATAGTGCACTTCATAGTGGTGATGAAGTCTTACTATGTTGCCCAGGCTGGTCTCAAACTCCTGAATTCAAGCGATCCTCCTGCCTCAGCCTCCAAAAATGTTGGAATTACAGACACGAGCCACCACACCCGAACTACCATTTTGAAAATTTTTGAAAATTCAGGATTTTGTCCTGACCAATTCCAGAATATGATGTGTTATTCTGGTTAGGTTGTATTAAAATATTTTTCTGTAAAAATGCTTTTGTCCCTCTTGCAAACAACCATTCCAGATGAAAGGTCTGGGTGAGAATAAGAGATTACTAAAAACAAAAAGAAAATAAAGTTATGATTGCTGAATGAATGAGATACACAGAGAAAAAACATGTCACAACTAATTGCTAAAGGAATTAAACACATCCTGTGTGACACTGGAGAGGACTCTTGGAAGACCTGCCTAGCTCCCTCAGGACCTCACCCCAGCAGGCTTTTCCCTTTGCTGATTTTTCTTTGTACTTTTTGCCACAAGAAATCACATTCCCCCACCCCCCAGTGTCCATATTGCTGCCTGAGTCTACTGCCACCTGCCAGCAGGCACTCCTGGAGAGTCTCCTTCCCAGAGTGCTTGTGGGAGCACAGCCCCTGCAGAATGCATACCGGTTATGAAAAATTTCAAACATCACCTCTTTCTGTAGAGGTCTGGGATTCCCCCATACTGAGAAAGTAAAATAAACAGTTGTCCTTGGCTCATAGGCAGAAACTGGCTCCTAGTCACAGTTGTCACTGGTTTAGGGGATAAACGCCAATCTTCTTTGGAGTAATTCATTCTCCACCAAAGTTTTATGGCATTCCCACAGATAAAGTCACACTCAAGGTGAGCTTATAGCCCCAAATTTTAAAACACAAAATACACTATTTCAGCAGAAACCACACAAGTATTCGTCCAAGAAATCAGATAATATACAGACTATAAAATAACGTATATAGACTATGGACCAGGCACAGTGGCTCACGCCTATGATCCCAACACTTTGGGAGGCTGAGGCAGGGGGATCCCTTGAGCCCAGGAGTTCAAGATCAGCCTGGGCAACATAGAGAAACCCTGTCTTTAAAAAAAAATTATTTAATTAACTGAGAATGGTGATGTGCACATGCAGTCTCAGCTACTTGGGAGGCTGAGGCAAGAGTATCTCTTGGGCCTGGGAGGTCAAGGCTGCAGTGAGCCATGTTCACACCACTACACTACAGCCTGGGTGACAGGGTGAGACCTTATTTCAAAAAATAATAAATAAAATAAAATATTAAAAAATATAGGGCCGGGCACAGTGGCTCATGCCTGTAATCCCAGCACTTTGGGAGGCAGAAGTGGGCAGATCACCTGAGGTCAGGAGTTCGAGACCAGCCTGACCAACACGGTGAAACCCCGTCTCTACTAAAAATACAAAATCAAAATTAGCCGGATGTGGTGGCAGGCGCCTGTAGTCCCAGCTACTTGGGAGGCTGAGTCGGGAGAATGGCGTGAACCTGGGAGGCAGAGCTTGCAGTGAGCCGAGATTGCGCCACTGCACTCCAGCCTGGGCGACAGAGTGAGACTCTGTCTCAAAAAAAAAAAAAAAAATTAGCCAGGCTTGGTGGCACATGCCTGTAATCCCAGCTACTCGAGAGGCTGAGGCAGAAGAATTGCTTGAACCGGGGAGGCAGAGGTTGCAGTGAGCCGAGATCACGCCATGGCACTCTAGCCTGGGCAATAAGAGTGAAACTCCATCTCAAAAATAAATAAATAAATTAATTAAATTAAATAAACTATATATATATATATATATATAGAGAGAGAGAGAGAGAGAGAGAGAGAGACCATAAAATAGCCAAGTCAAAAATGGCTAGGGACCTAAGAGAATAAATCAGAATGATGAGAAAGGAATAAGCCACTATTAAGAATGACCAGATAAATTTTTTAAAACATAACTTCTAAAAATGAAAATATGGTTCTCAAAATGAAAAAAACTCACAGGTTAAACAGCAAATAGACATAACTGAAAGAGAATCAGTGAACTAGAAAATAGACTGGAAACAAATACCTATAATACAACCTAGAGAAATATTAATAGAAGTAAATATGAAAAGCAGTTTAGAGACGCGGAGTCTTGGATGAAAAGGGCTAAACTATATACTATAGTTGTTCTGAAAGGAGAGAATCAAGAATGGGGAGCAGCAGCGAAGAGGTGATGGTTGAAAACTTTCCAAAATGAATGAGAGACATGAATCCTCTTATTTAGGAACCACAAAGAATCACAAATAGGATAAAGAAGAGGCCAGGCGCAGCGGCTCACGCCTGTAATCCCAGCATTTTGGGAGGCCAGGACAGGCGGATCACTTGAGGCCAGGAGTTCATGACCAGCCTGGCCAACATGGTGAAACCCCATCTCTACTAAAAATAAAAAATTAGCTGGGTAATGTGGCGCATGCCTGTAATCCCAGCTATTCAGGAGGCTGAGGTAGGAGAATCGCTTGAACCTGGGAACTGGAGGCTGCAGTGAACCGAGATCACGTCACTGTGCTCCAGCCTGGGTGACAGAGTGAGACCTCATCTCAAATAATAATAATAATAATAATAATAATAATAATAATAATAATAATAATAAAACAAAAGTAATAAATGCCCATTACAAAAATTAAGTTTCTCTCCCATCCCAGACTCCCAGATCCTTTCTCCAGAGAAAATCACTATAAAGTATCTAGGTATCTTTCCAGTTTTCTCTGCCATAAACCATTACTTTAGTTACAGAAACAGGAGCTTTCTCAATACACTATTCTGCGCCTTGCTTCTCTCTCTCTCTCTCTTTTTCTCCCTCTCTCTCTCACACACATGTCTTGAAATTTATCTCCTAACCACCCAAGTAGATCTTGTTATTATTTTCTTTTAATTTTTTTTTCTTTTTTTGAGACAGAGTCTCATTCTGTTTCCCAGGCTGGAGTGCAATGGTGTGATCACAGCTCACTGCAGCCTCGACCTCCTGGGCTGAAGCAATCCTCTCACCTCATCCTCCTGAGTAGCTGGCACTACAGGCATGCATCACCACACCCAGCTAATTTTTTCATTTTTTGTGAAGAAGGGGTCTCCTTATGTTGCCCAGGCTGGTCTCAACCTTGTTACTTTTTAGTAGCTATTATCCCCCTGGATGGACATGTAGACCATTTAAAATCTTATATGCTACAATGTACTTCCTTGTACATGTATCTTTGCACTCATGTGTGACAATATTTGTAAGAGAAATCTTCCAAAGCAGAATTGCTGTGTCACAGGATATGGGCATCTTTAATTTCAGCAAATGTTGCCAGAGAGCCTTCTAGCGACTGCACCAGTGATACTCCTACAAAAAGATGAGAAGATGCCTTTTTAAAGCTATTTACTATTAAACTTTTAATCTTGGCTAATCTGATAAATGAAAAAATGAAATCTCATTGCTGTTTTGCTTTTATATAACCTTTTTTTTTTTTAAGAGACAGAGTCTTGGCCTGTCACCCAGGCTGAAGTGCAGTGTTGCAATCATGGCTCACTGCAGCCTTGAACCTGAGTAGCTGAGTAGCTGGAACTACCGATATGCACCACCATGTCTGGCTAATTTTTATTTTTATTTATTTATTTATTTTTGAGACAAAGTCTCGCTCTGTTGCCCAGACTGGAGTGCAGTCTCAGCTCACTGCAGCCTCCGCCTCCCAGGTTCAAGCAATTCTCATGCCTCAGTCACCCAAGTAGCTGGGATTACCGGTGTACCCCACCACACCCGGCTAATTTTTGTATTTTTTAGTAGAGACGGGGTTTCACCATGATGGCCAGGCTTGTCCCTAACTTCTGATCTCAAGTGATCTGCCCACCTTGGCTTCCCAAAGTGCTGGGATTACAGGCATGAGCCACCTTGCTGGGCCACGGCTAATTTTTAAATTGTTTTGTGGAGACAGGGTCTCACTATGTTTTCCAGGCTGGTCTCGAACTCCTGGGCTCAAGCAATCCTCCTACCTCAGCCTCCCAAATTTTGGGGATTATAGGCATGAACCACCATACCTGGCCTGCTGTTTCAGTTTTATTTCATGACCACCCTCGTTACAAGTAAGGTTGAGCATCTTTTCATATATTACAATTTATATTTCTTTTTCTTTGAACTACCTAATACTGCTCTTTGTCCATGTATATTTTGGGATGTTGGTCATTTTCTTATAGATCTGAGAGCTCTTTTTATACTACAGAACAGCATTTGCTTCTCATATGTGTTGAAAGTACCCTTCACAGTTCCATTACCTTCTGACTCTGGAGGTTTTGTCTTACACATATTTTTAATTTTTCTGGAGTCAGTTTTACTGTTCTTTTCCTTTATGTTTCTAGGTTTTCTATTTTCCTTTGTAACACCTTCTCTACTCTAAGATTATTTTTCATATTGCCTTCATTTTCTTCTATTGCCTTTACAGTTTCGTCTTCGACCTTTCTGGGATTCGTTGTGGGATAAGCCATGAGATAGATATCTGGCTTTGTTTTTCTCTAAATACTAACCAGTTGTCCTAATACCATAAAGTGCACAATTTCTCATTTCCTCCATTTATATGAAATCCTACCTTTATCCCACACATATCACCATCTTCCAGGTCCCTATTTGGATGTCCTGACCTCCTAGAGTGGTTGGAAGAACAAATGAAATCATATTCATGAAAACACCATGGAGTCATCACAACTTGCTAATGTTGTAAGGTGGCATGTGATGGTTACTTGCACAAGCCCATCAGAAAGGACACCTCAGGGAGCGTCAGCTCCCCTCACCAACACCCCAACACTGGTGGCCAGGAGATGACTGTCTTTGGTGATTTAGACCTTGAGAGTAAAGTCAAATTGTGCCCAGCAGGGAGGCAGCATAGTGTGGCATGAAATGAACACACGCCGGGTTTGTGTCCCAGCTCTGCCACCCATGGCTGGGACCTCAGTCAAGTCATCAAACCTCCCCAGTGAACAGGTCACACCTCTTGAAAATGACAGTGTGGGTCAGGACTACCTTTCCTTCAGGTAGTCCTCAGTAATTTATATAGTGCTTTCACGGGATTGATGTAACCTGCCCAAAGCCACAGGGCTATTTAGACATGAATCTTCTCTCAAATCAGCAGGTGCTTCCCATCACACCACACCACCCTTTCTCAGTCCTAAGGACTCTGTACCCTCCAAGACTGAGTCTAGCTGAGGCGTCAGCCATCTAAGGAGGAATTCAAAACTCTGTGGCCTTGGGACTAAAAAGAAGAGTCTGATTTATTTCGCAATGTCACCCTCCAAAAAAGAAGGTGGAAACTAGGAGGGTCTGGCTTAGTCCCTTTGCAGAGTTTCAAAGCAGCCATTCCTTGGCTTATCAAGCAGCTTCTCAAGCAAGAGAGAAGGCTGCTGAGCAAACCCTGCTGGGAGGTTACAGAGGGCTTGTGGGCTGGGGAGTCAGCAGAGGGGTTCAAACCCAGCCTCGTTGTTCCCTAGCAGCACCCGGACTCCCTGAAGTAAAACTGAGGGCTCTGGTGTCTGCTCTTGGTGGTGGTAGGCGGCTGCATCCTCATGGGACACAGAGCCTGGCACATGACTCCGCTCTGCTATTCCCCACTCTGAGAAGCAATGACACTGCTGACAGCAGCAGACAGACCCTCTGCAGTAGGGAAATCCATCAGGTGACCTTGAGAAAGGACAGGACACATTGAGAGACATTCTACAAAATAACTGGTCTGTACTCTTCAAAAGTGTTGAAGTCACAAAACTCCAAGAATGACAGAAGAACTATTCCAGACAAAGGAGACCGAAGAGGCACAACAACGGAATGCAAAGCCTAACCCAGGATTTTCTTCTGCTATAAATGACATTATTGGGACAGTTGATGAAATCTGCATAAAATCTGTGGGTTGGATAACAGTATTGAAATGGTGTTCATGTCCTGGTCTTCATAATTGTATTGGTTACGTAAGAGAATGTCCTTGTCTTTAGGAAATACACACCAAAATATTTAATAATGTAATATCTGCAACTTACTCTCAAGAGTTCAAAAAATATATATTTGTCTATCTATCTGTCTATATCATCTATCTGTCCACTGATCGAGAAGGATAAAGCAAATGCAGTAATAATTTAGGGAATCTGGATAAAGGATATATGGAAATTCTTCTTTTTATTCTTGCAATCTTTTTGTAAATCTGAAATTATGCCTAAATGAAAAGTTTGTGGGTTTTCTAAAAAGGGATGAGACAGAAAGCAAGCAGCACCAGGGCCACAAGTCAGGGTGAGAGGGCAATGGCCCCAGGCACCCGGCAGAGGCAAGAGAGCAGTTTAGGGCCAGCTGGCTGAAGGGGCATGTGGGGCTCCATGGAGATTTCACCCACTCACCTTTTGATGCATCCATCATCCCTTCAGATTCTCTCCTGCAATGCCAGGGAAGACTCTATCTCTGATGCCTGGTGCTTCCACACAGTCGGTCCTCAGGGGAGGAAACAGCCCTTTTTATGTGATCCTGGGCTAGATGTGGCCTTGCTATGGCTGCCAAGGGGCGGGGTTTGGGAAGGCGATGTTGATTAGAAATAATAAAATCCCGGAATCTTCCATATCAGACCCAGGAAATCAGGAGCCAAGATGAGCTGATGTAAAAGGGACAGACAACGGACAATGGCACCTCCTTGTCTGTTATATGAGCCTAACAGTGGGTGACCAAAAGCCAGGACCCTATGACCTACACCACATGTGGCCTGACATTCTGGTTACTATCAAGCTTAAGTCTAGGAACCCAGGCTAACCTTTACTGACTTTAGGGTTTTCTTCTTCTTCTCTTTTCTTCAAGTTGAAAAAGTAAGAGATGCTTGTGAGTTTTTTGTTTTACATTTTGAATATATAATGCATCCACATGGTTCAAAATGGAAAAAAATGCCCCCTGTCCACCTTGTTGAATCCTACTACCAGTTTCTTTTAGATCTTTCCAGAGATGTTGTATGCACTGAGAAGCAAATAATGTACTATTATTATTATTTTGTTATTTAGTTTTTATTTCATAATCATAAACTTAACTCTGCAATCCAGCTAGGCATGGAAGGGAACAAGGAAAACATGGAACCCAAAGGGAACCGCAGCGAGAGCACAAAGATTCTAGGATACTGGGAGCAAATGGGGTGGAGGGTGCTCCCCTGAGCTACAGAAGGAATGGTCTGGTGGTTAAGATAAAACACAAGTCAAACTTATAAGAGCTGTCCACAGTCAGCAATGGTGATCTTCTGGCCGGTCTTGCCATTCCTGGACACAAAGCACTCCATGGCCTCCACAATATTCATGCCTTCACCTTGCCAAAGACCACAAGCTTGCCATCCAACCACTCAGTCTTGGCAGTGCAGATTAAAAACTGGGAACCATTTGTATTGGGTCCAGCATTTGCCATGGACAACATGCCAGGACCTGTATGCTTTAGGATGAAGTTCTCATCATCAAATTTCTCCCCATAGATGGACTTGCCACCAGTGCCATTATGGCGTATGAAGTCACCACCCTGACACATAAACCCTGGAATAATTCTGTGAAAGCAGGAACTCTTATAACCAAATCCTTTCTCTCCAGTGCTCAGAGCACAAAAGTTTTCTGCTGGCTTTGGAACCTTGTCTGCAAACAGCTTGAAGGAGACGCAGGTCTAAAGGCTTGCCGTCAACGGTGATGTTGAAGAACACGGTGGGGTTGACGATGGCTGATGTTACAGGGCTCCTGGCGGCAGTGGCATCTGCAAAGCAAATAATGTATTATTTTGTTTTATTTACACAATGAGAGCATATCACTGCATTGCCCAGGCTGGTCTGGAATGCCTAGGCTCAAGGGATCCGCCCCACCTTCACCTCCCAAAGTACTGGGATTACAGGTGTGAGCCACCACGCCTGGCAAGATGGAGCTGTTCCTATTGCACATGGAGAGGTGGCCCAGTCTTTTCACAGCTGCACATATTCTGTTTGTGTGGATGGTCCCTAATTTATGTAACTCACCTCCCACCCATAGGCATCTGGGTTGCTTCCAATATTTCCTTATTACAATCAGTGTTGCAAAGAATAAGGTTATACAGAGATCATTTTACCCTCACATGAGTGTATCTATAGGAAGAATTGAATGCCTTGAAGTGGAAATGTTGGGCCAAAAAGCATAAGCTTTTGTAATTTTAATGGCTATCTGCTCTGCTCTCCACAGGGGCACTTGTGGTATTTTTCAATGATGTTATGTCTACTGAAAGGAGCCAGCCTGGCATAGTAGCAGAAATGCCAGAGGAAGAGAGGAGACTCCTGACACTGAAACCCCAACACCACAGTAACTTGCCGTGTGTCACTGGGAATGTTGTCTTCATTAGCTCCTTACCTGAAAAGTGAGGGGGCTGAATAATGATGCCAACGGTCTCTTCCAGACCAAAAGCCCAGGGATGGGCAATTGCCTTTGCTGGCTTTAAGGCAAGCCAGAGAGCAATGACCCTGGTTACTCTGAATAACAATAATGAAGTCAGAGGTTTTTGCTGTTCTGCAGGCAAGCATCTCAGCACCGCATCCCTAAATATAATAGAACAAACCAAGCCCTGAAGTGCACATGGCATTTACGAAAAGTCTTGGCTGGGTTCTGTCTGCAGAGAAGCCCTAGGCCCTATGATTACAGGCTCAGGAGTGGGAGAAGGATGCTTGCTTTTCTCTGTATTTCCTTTTACATCATCAGAATTTAGCACCATGTGCATGAATTACCTATTTAAGAATAAATTCACTACTTAAATGGAAAAAGCCTCTAAATAAAAGTCCTGGCCTAGGGGTGAGAGGGTCCGGGTTTTAGTTGCTTCACCTCTCTGAGCTTCTTTCATCATTTTTGACAAATAAGGGGCTTGTGCAAGATGAGCTTTCGCCAGTGCCTTCCAGGCCAGAGAATCCAGGGTACCAGAGTGAGTATAAAAGTGTCTAAAAGAAATAGACTTTGGGTCAGACAGAACTGGGCCTACATCCTGGGTCCTCTACAGATCCACTGTGTGACCTTGGGAAGTTACTTCTCTGTGCCTCTGTTTCTTCATCTGGGAGGTGGGAAATAATAACACCCACGCCACAGGTCAAGTGTCTGAAGCAGGATGCTGTGAAGAGGCAAAGGCATTCAAAATTCTCTGCAAGAAATGAGTTACACCGCGGACCTTACAAAGGACCCCCCCCATCCCAACAACCTCATTTCACAGCTGGAAAAAGTGCAGCCTAGAGAGAGGCAGCCACCTGGGCATCAGGAGAGGATCCCCGTGAGCCTCCCTTCCCTCTTCCTGCAGCAGAACTTCCGGGCCTCAGCAGAGTCGGCCCTTATTTAGTTCCTTGTGCATGTGGCATTTTATCTGTCAGCTGGTCCCAAAGGATCATCTTTTCTCATGTTTCCTGTCTGGGGCCACAGCTGACACCATGGTCTAGTCACAGGCCACTGGGGCCATCAGCATCCCCCTCCCCCACCAGCTGCTGAACTGCAGCCACTGTATTGCACTAGCACCTGGTGGCCAACTCCAGGCATATTGGGATCAGAGGCAGCCCACTCAAGACCCTCTGCTCTCTGCTCTCCAAGAGGACCAGACACAGGCCCCACCATGGGACAGGAGGCTCTGAATGTGCTGTCCCAGAAAAGTTGGCATGGTCTACACTTCACATTAATCCACAGATGATGGAGCTGGGGAGGAGGGAGAAAAGGAAAAATCAGGCAAGAAGAGCCTGAAAACCACCAGGTAAGGTGGGGAACAGAAGACACGTTTCAAGATGAAGTTCATAGAGGACCTTAGCCAGGAATGGAATCTTCTCATTTTGTGTCCCTAGCCCATAGCATGGCACAGAGTGCTCAGCAGATGAGGGAATGCATGAATAAATGAACAAATAAGCAAACAGGACAGGGTGCTCAGGTGGAAGCCTGGGAGCGGCCCCATGCCTGTGCCTGTGGGGCAGGTGCCTCCTGCAGAGGTCAGGGGAGGCTGTGTCCTCTTCTCCCAACGCATGCTGGGAGTCCCTTTTGGAAGGAAAGCCCAATACACATTGGTTTTGGGGATTCAAGCCTAATCCCTGACCCACCTCTGCATCCACCCCCCAATTCTGAGGATGAAAGAACAACTGAGGCCCTGTTGGACTCTAGGCACCACAGCTGCTGTTCATGGTGCTAAGCTCGGAGCTAAATCATAAAGATAGGCATCCTGATGCATCCCCGCCCCCTTTTTTTGTGTGGAGACAGGGAGGAGTTAGTAAATACGCATCCACAGATTTGTGGGAGCAAAATCTTTTCTTCTTATATCTGAAACTATAAATTCATCTCTCATCTGACTCCTATTATATATGTAAACAACTTTATAGGAGAAAAATAAAAGAATCCAATAAACCCCGAAGTCACCTCTTTTTAAGCCACTCCTAGCGCTTGCCATTGTACACAAATGTGTTTACACTGCATGGAGCAAACCTGGCACTTCAGGCCATGCCTGGCAGGCTGCCTTGTGGACACTGTCTAGGATCCGCCTATTTCAAATGCTCACCCCTGTTCGTGGGCACGTGATATTCTACCATATTTGCCTAACCATTTCTCAACTATCAGGCAACTAACTGCTGCTAGCAGTAATGCAGCTAGGAACCCTGTTGCCTAAATTGTGTATTTTTTTCTTTTGAATTTTCCCCCTGGTGTAGCATTAGGTCTAACTGCATAGGGGACTGACTTTTAAACTCTGGTGAGGGGCTACCCTGTGAGGGACCATGCTGGTGACAGTCAGGACTCACTGCTGCAGGCCTCCAGGCAAGAAGAACTTTGGGGACCCTATTGAAGACCAGCAAGGGAACACGGAAGCAGTACAGACAAGACAGGCTCTCAGCCAGGCTATCTGGGGTCCCATCTCAGCTCAATCTATGACAAGTTGAGTGGATTTGGGGGAAATCTGAGCCCTCCAAGCCCTTGTTTCCCAAAGGAACTGGATGGCTCTGGAATTTGGAGTAATAATTATCTGCCCAGTCCAGCCCTGGAGCCAATTCCACTGGAACCAACATGGTCTGTCTCACCTCCCACCCTAACCTATCTGATTCACCACACCTCCAGACTCTGGGCTGGGCCCTGCTATTCCTTATCCAGGCCCAAAGAGCCCAGAGCACACATCGGCTAGCAAAGACGATCTTGGGGTTTTCTTGCTAAACAACAGCAGTAAGATTTGTATGTCTAATGATTGTTAAATGTGATCGTTCCCATTTATCAGTGAAGTATTGTCTAAAAACATTTATGAAACCTTACAAAAATTCAAAAAAAAACAGCAATGAAAACTTACATCTCCCTCATCAAGTTCAAGAAATAAAACTTATGGGTTATAACTGAAGCTCTCAGCCCCTTATATATCCCTTCCCAACCCCAATTTCCTTTCCTCCCTCCCCAAAGTAACCACCACTCTGAGTTTGGTATTTAAGTTCCCTTGCATATTTAAAAATACTTACTAAACGTGAATATCTAAAATAATAAGTAGTATTGAAGGTTTTAAATTTTTTTGTAAAATTATCATACTTAACACTCCCTTCTACTTTTTTTCACTCTACATTATGATTTTGAGATTTTTTCATGTAATTTTTCCATGTAATTCATGCTTGTCACCACTGTATAGTGTTCAATACACTGTATGCTATAACTTCTCTATTCTCCCATTGATATTAGATTGTTTTACATTTTTCTCAGTTATAAACACTGCTGCAACAAGCATGTGTGTTCATGTCTCCTTGTGCACAAGTGAGAGTTTCCAGGACTGGAATTGCTGGCTCAAACAGTAGGCACATCTTCTGTTTTGTCAGATGATAGTAAAATGTTTCCAGAGGGTTATACTAATTTATACTTCCAGCAGTAGCACATGGGAATTCACAGTGATCCACAACATTGGCCTTGCTTGTTCAACTTTGTAACTTTTGCCAATCTTGTATGAAATGGCATCAATGGCATCTTACTGAGTTCCCCCTAGCTTTATTGAGGTATAGTTTATATCCAATAAAATTCACCCACTTTAAGTATAGAATGTTAGTTTTATACAGTTGTGTAATGACCACTATGATCAAGATGTAGAAAAGAGCCATCATCCTAAAAAGTTCCTTCTTGCCCTGATTCCCAGCCCTAAGCAACCACTGATCTGCCTTCTGTCACTGAAGTTTTGCCTTTTTTTCTTTTTAATTACATATAAATGGAACTATATGGTATATATTCTTTTTGGGTCTGGCTTCTTTCACTTAGCATAATTATTTTATGATTCTCCTTGTGATAGCATGTATCAATACTCTCTTCCTTTTTACTGAAGAGTAGTATTCCATAGATGAATATGGATGGCCATTTGGGTTGTATCAGTCAGCTCATGCCGCCATAACAAATACCACAGACTGCATGACCTAAACAACAGATATTTATTTTCTCACAGTTCTGCAGGCTGGGAAGTCCATGATCAATGTGCTGGCAAATTCAGGTTCTGATGAGGGCCCTTTTCCTGGCTTGCCTTCTCTCCTTCTTGCTATGTCCTCAAATGACCTCTCCTCTGTACATGTTATCTCATATTGTATCATAGTTATATCAGCAATTCCATTCCTAGGTATATACCCAATAGAATTGAAAACATGTTCACACAAAAACGTGTACACAATTGTTCAAAGCAGCATTATTCTAATAGAAAATTAGAATAGAATAGAAAAGGGAAACAAGCCAAATGTCTATCAAAAGATGAATGTATAAACATAATGTGGTAGATCCACACAATGGAGTATTATTCAGTCATAAAAAGGAATGAATAACTGATTCATGCTACAACATGAATGAGCCTTGAAAACACTATGCTAGGTGAAAAAAGACCCAAAAGGCCATATATTGATGTTGTATAATCCATTTATATGAAATGTCCACAACAGGCAAATCTATAGACAGAAAGTGGATCCTTGATTGCCATGGGCCTGGGGGAGGATGGAATACAAAATGACTGCTAATGGGTATGAGAATTTCTTTTGGAGTGATAAAAATGTTCTGGAATTAGCTAGCGGTAATGGTCGAAAACTTTGTGAATCTACTAAAATACTACTGAATTGCACACTTTTAAAAAGAGTAAGTTAAAAAATAAAATTAAACGAAAGGAATGACCTATCAGGCCTTTGAACCTGGATGTCAAATTGCCAGCTCCAAGCAAACAAAGTTCAATCCATCATCCAAGATGCACACCAAAAAGACAAATATTGATATAGTATTGATATAGTTTATTCTTATCAATAAACCTCTGAAATGAGGAAAATAAATACAGTGAACGTTTCCTCAACTTTTTAGATGACTATAGAGTTGTATCTTCCTGCTTTTTGAAGAATGACTGATCTTCCTCTTAGAAAAAATCTTACATCTTGTACAAATATACGTCTTCTACAAATACATCTTGTACATCTTGTACAAATACAGGCATATTTGTTGAATTGAGTGATAGGGT
The DNA here is from genome assembly GCF_000001405.40 of Homo sapiens. Taxonomy (NCBI): domain Eukaryota; kingdom Metazoa; phylum Chordata; class Mammalia; order Primates; family Hominidae; genus Homo; species Homo sapiens. The sequence continues at coordinate 44,867,613 of NC_000003.12, read as the reverse complement.
TCCACGTCAACACCAACCATCTCTATGCATTAAGCAAGTGTCTGGATGGGAGGCCAGGTCCTCTCAGGACAATGCTTGCTCCAAGATGGACTTCTTTCTGCCCTTTTCACTAACTGCCCAGGGAGGCCGACCACCAGCTATCAGCAGCCTTCAGGTCTGGCCTTGGCTGGGTGTCTGACCCATATGGTGAACACACCCTGGAAAGCCTTGAATATCCTTCAGCTTCTTCACTGGTAGAATGGTGGGGTCAGACTAGATCAGGGAGATCAACACTAGAGCCCCTAAGAAAAGGTAGGTGGCTGGTGACCAAAGGGTTCTGAGGTTTGGGCATGCTGAGTCACAGTATGGAACAGGCCCCTTACTGCAGGGCCTCTCTGAGTTTTCAGGTGTTGGTGTGGGAAGCAGGACAGAGGTAGGGACTGAGCTGAGCCCAGTCAGATCGGGCTGACATTGTGGTTCTGGCACTCCTCAGCTGTGTGATGTCAGGCAAATTATTCCACTTCCCCAAGCCTTAGTTTCCTCACCTCTAATACAGGAACAAGAGTAACTCCCTCACGGGTTGGCTGGGAGGCAATGTGTCAAAGTGGAGCTAAATGATTAACATTCTGTGAATTACAGCTTTGTCCTGGCCCCCATGGGAGCTCAAGGGTTTTGAAGAGCAGGAGTTTGCCAGCGAGAGGTGAAGGTAAAGGGAACCCAAGGCAAGGGTAAGAGCAAGTACAAAACATGTTGGCAGGACTGGACATGGTGGATTTGAGAATGGCTGACCTGCAGATGTCTGGGGGGACTCAGCATGGTGGGGCTAGCATGAGGGAGATGGGTACTAAGGAGTCATTGCGGAAGAGAACTCTTGTTGGAGTGGTGGGCTAGGGCCAGATCCCCATCAGAAGGAGCCGTGGAATGGTTTTAGTAAGCTCATTCTGTCAATTGTGCTGACCACAGTAAGGGAGGAGAGCAATGAAGGTGCTACATGGGCGAGGAGGAGGGTCTGGACAAGACCCTTCGCTCTCCTAGCCTCCTGGCTACCAGGTCCCTCTCAACTGCAGGAAATGTATGAAGAAGACTTGGGGCCAGAGATCAGACTCAGGAGAGCTGAGAGGGCCCTCGGACACCCCAGGGGAGAAGTGAGGCAGGTAAGTGCCGGGCTTCAGGCTCTGTGCTGGGAAAGTGTGCAGGCAGCACACAGCCCACTTTGAACTAGGAATTACATTCACATGGTCTAAGATACAAAAAGAACAAGGGGGCCAGGTGCAGTGGCTCACGCCTGTAATCCCAGCACTTTGGGAGGCTGAGGCGGGCAGATCACGAGGTCAGGAGATCGAGACTATCCTGGATAACATGGTGAAACCCCATCTCTACTAAAAATAAAAAAAATTAGCTGGGCATGGTGGCGGGTGCCTGTAGTCCCAGCTACTCGGGAAGCTGAGGCAGGAGAATGGCGCGAACCCGGGAGGCAGAGCTTGCCGTGAGCTGAGATTGCGCCACTGCACTCCAGCCTGGGTGACAGAGCGAGACTGTCTCAAAAAAAAAAAACCCAAAAAAACAAAAAAACAAAAAACAAAAAAAAACCAAAGGGGAATCTGAGAAAGAAAAGCAAATGACAGAAGAGCCCTAAAGGTAAACGCTAGAGGAACAGAGTGGCAGGGAATGGAGGGACCTCTGAACCACTTTCTTTCCCAAGTAAAACAAGGTCTCCAAAGGGAGGTCAAACTTTTCTCCTTGAGAGCACCAGGAGAATGAACAGACCCTGTGCAGTTCAAAGAGCCTTAGCCTGTGTGACCTCAGGAAGTAACCACAAGATCAAGCTCTAGCAGGTGTCAGAGCAACCGAAGCCACAAGGCTTCTGTACCTGCCTCACTCTCCTGCCTCCTCCACATTGGGATTTCAGCTCACTCTGGCTCCCTCTTACTCCAAAGGGAAGGAAAGAATTAAGATACCGTACCTGGTAGTTTTAACTTACAAAAAACGTATTTATTAATCCAGTTTTCCTCTTCTTGCCATAATACATAAGCATGACACAGATGGCCTGATACATCAGCATGGAACTGTCAGAAAGCCCCACCAGTCACTGCTTCTAGAGTTACATGACTGGCTTTTGTTTGGCAACAGGACAATAATTACAGCGTGGTTTCAAGTACCATACACAAAGCAGACCAACCCCAGGATCTCCAGCATCTGCGAAGGCTCACTGGGGTAGGCCTGGGAGGAAGAATCCAAAGCACTGTACAGATGATCAAAACACTTCCGGTAGAACACTGCTGCAGCTGCACCTCTCCTTACAGAGCCAGAGCCTGCTCCATCAGAGGCCTGCTTCCCTTGGCTGATGGTCAGAAGGCTGCACAACTGGATCGCCCTAGGATACAGTCCCACATGACATCCCAAGGCTGGGCCACCATCATGATCTTTCCAGCTGGTCCGTCTAGCCAAGTGGTGCTACTGCTGCTTGTGTGGAAGGGGCTTCCAGGTGGGTGGGAGCTTCCTGTGGATTAGGGTGAGTCCGCAGAGAATAAGGAACACTCCTCCCCACCACAAGACCTCCTGGCACTCTCCATACAGCACATAGCCCAGGAAGGCCTGCGAGACAAAGATAGCTGTGAGGGACTCAACTTCAGCAGGTGGGCACAACCTCACTCTCCTGGGACTGACTTCCTTCTAAGGGTGCCAGGAGGAAAGGTCTGGAGCCAGAAGCCTTGGGCTTGAAACCTAGCTGTCACCTTCATCAAGTCACTCTATTCAATCTCCCCTGCATGAGTGGAGAGGCTACCTCCCTCACTGCACTGGACCTCAGCAAAGTACACAAGAAAGACCCAGCAGATGCCAGCAGGTAGACACAGCAGGTACATGGTATTTGTTTCTCCCTCAACTCAAGATTGACTACGCTCAGCTCCATCTTGTCAACCTCAGACTACACAGGGCAGAAAAGTTTCTGGGAATCCCAACCCTCTAAATGCCATGGAGCCTTGAGTACACAGAACCCTAGGAAACAGCTAGGATGCACAGTGACTTCAGAATGAGGGCTCCACCCTGGAGGAACAGCAAGCAAGTAGGCTTTTTACTGTCAGGCTTCACTCATATCTAACTTAAGAATTCTTCCATGATTAGAATTACATTTGCTCCATGAATAGAGCACTCATCCAGGGGTCAAGCCACAGCCCAACCTCTGCTTCAGTTCCTGTCCTTTCTCCTGTCTGGGAAAGGAGGGGTTATCCAAAGACAACTCACCCAGAACCCAGATTTAGGACAAGAGCACCACACCCTCAGGCTACTCACCGAGCTGAGGATATTTGAAAAAGTCACTGTGACAGATGCAATGGCTGAAGACATGGAGAAACTGAGGCCCCGGCTAAAGAAGGTCCACATCAGAGAATTGGTGCTCGCCATCACAATAATGCCTAAGACGCATAAACCCATGCTCACCTGCAGGAGAAAGTGTCACTGCAGCCACGTCCACCCTGGGCAGCAACCTGCAGACCCCCTCAAAGCACACCCAGGACTGTGGTTGCTGGCACCCAGGCTCCTACTGAGCTCCCACTACAGCTCAGAGGGCCTCAGAGCTTTCCTGCACAGGGCTTCACTTAACCCTCAGTGGGCAGCAGACCCATCTTACAAATAAAGCAAATTCAGAGAAGATACTCATTTGGCCACCTTGCTGGCCATATGATCTTGGGAAGAAGCAAAATGCTAATCCAAAGCCAGTATTTTCTACTGAACACCGGCCCCTTATTGGTCCCACAATGACCAGTGCTTGAAGATCAGTCCCAGAGGGCCAAGTAGTTCTTACTCCGTAGGTAGTAAGCCTAGGGTAGAGTTCTTATTTCTTGAGATCAGGCAAAGCATGAATTAGCAATGTCTGCTCTGTATTCCCACCCCCAAATCCTATACAAGTTACAGCCCACTAAGGCTGACCCCCTCTGGGTATTCTTGAGCTTTTACTCTGTGTTAGGTCCTGGGCTGTGTTTAAGCATTCTCATTTATTCCTTAACTTCATTTTACAGATAAAGAGCCAGGGGCATTAAGTAACCTTCCTAAAGTGCTACAGCGGTGAGAGCCACCAGGCTTCACAAGCAGGCAGTGTACCTCCATGCTCTTAACTAGGGCACAGCCTTGCCTGAGGGAAACACCACCTCAGACTATTTAGTGATCCCAGACATCCCTTGGAGAACTTGCAGGTATTTTCTTTCTTTTTTTTTAAAGGAGAAAGTCTCAAGAGAAGAGAAGATCTTTAGAAGCCTCCTACACAAAGGATATGCAGTCCCCCTTGCTTGGTGGTGAGTTAGAAACCTGCCTGGAGACAAGGCGGCGGGGGGGGGGGGTGCGGAATCTAAATATACTTATTACTTGTAATGGTTTCTCAGCAGCTGAACACATAGTGTCTTGAGAAAAAGGTGCTTGCTTATAACTTACACCAGGGTGTTCAATTTTTTGGCTTCCCTGGGCCACACTGGAAGAACTGTCTTGGGTCACACATATAATACACTAACACTAATGATATATGATGAGCTAAAAAAAAAATAATAAATCGCAAAAAAATTCATGTTTTAAATTTGCAAATTTGCGTTGGGCCGCGAGTTGGACAACCTTGTCTTACACAAAGCAGCATATGGGCCAGTGGCAACCTGCTTAAAGGGTTATGAAGGTCTAGTTCCTGACAACAAACTTCACGGCCCATACAAAGTTATTCATTTTACTTTCGACCACTTACCCCATGAACTACACCCAATGGGATACTAACCTGAAGCATGGCAGCTACTACTGGATTAGCCCTAAATAGGCTTAACCCTAAATAATCAGTGACCACTGTCCAGGTCAGAGGCTAACCTTGGGCTGCAGACGCAATGAAACCCCTATAGCAAGCAGAGGCTGGTCTACGACGTGGGAGGGAGAGGCAGAGATACACCTTAGCAGACGCCAGGATGCAAGTTTAGGAGTTCTCAGCGTCAGGAAAACATCCAGAACGTCTCTGTCAGTATCCTCTTATGCCTACAGTATCCCAAACTCCCAATTTTCCTGGTAGTGGGGCAGACTGGTCATCTGGTCACAACACCCGTTAATTACGGAGTAAAGGGATGGGCAAGAGGCTTCTCACCTTAAGAGTCACGTGGAGAGAAATGCTCAGGCACAAGGGACTTAAAATGAGAGGTAGAGGGTGGATGTAGGAGGTGTAGTTCTTCCCCGAGAGCGAACTAGCCCAACCGGAGAAAAGGTTTTAGGTCCCTGGTAAGGGAAGAGGCCTCAGTCCCCGACGTCTCTTACCACCTACACTGGACGAGGGTTTGGCGTGATTAGAGGCGAAACACTCTCTGCCACCCCAGCTGACCGCAGCGCCGCCCGCGGCCCGGGGCCCCGGCGGGACAGACCGGCGAGGGTGCGGCGGCGCCCTGCGCCCACCCCCGCCCCACCCCAAGAGCCCCGCGGGCCCCGCAGCGCCCCTCCTCCGCCCAGCGGCGCCCCGCCCGCCCGCCCGCAGCAGCAGCACCAACAGCGCCCCGGGCTCGACCTCGCTGCCGAAGGCCAGCTTGGCGGAGGCGGCGGCCAGGGCCCCGAACGCGCCGGCGCACAGACAGTTGAATACGCCCCAAAAGCGGCGCCGCATCGCACCCGCCTGGAGGTGCGGAGGGAATTCCGCGGGGGTGTCAGGGTACGCGGTCGCGGACACGGCGCCGCCCGGAGGCCCCGGCCTCTCGGCCATGTTGCCTGCTGACACCGTGCCTGGCACCCGCTGCCCGCAGGGCAGAGCGCGCGCCGCGATTGGATGGCAGCCTCACGTGACGCGACGCTCCTGTGACGCCACGCTCCGGCAGGCCCCTTGGGAATCGCTCTCCGGCGCCTCGGAGGGGGCGGGCCAGGTGGCAGAGACCCTGGGCTGTGGCGGCCTCCGGCCTAACCTGTAGTAGGTTTGTGCTCTGGGGAGGACGTCGGGACCCGAGGCCTGAGGCCAAGCCGGGTACTGTGGACGCTGTGGTAGAAGGTAAACTTCTCGCGGCTTAGCCGTCTCCATCCCGGCCACCCGGCTCCCGGTGAAACTTATTAAAGATGCCTAACGGGCCCCGCGCCGGCCCACCGAGTCCATCCACGTCGACCAGGCTTCTCCGCTCCACCCTCCAGCCTGAGGACCGCCGGACCAAGAGATGCCTCGGCAGAGGGCGCTGGGGACCTCCAGACCCAGAAAGACGCCAGAGCCCCATATGGGGACAAGCGCATCACAGAAAACCGAAAAAATGAGGATCTGCGATGAGAGGAAGACAATGATCCATAATCAAGCCACGCAGAATCAACATGACTTCTAATCTCCTGTTATACTTACGTATGTTTAGAATGTTTCCGGCTGGGCGTGGTGGCTCATGCCTGTAATCCCAGCACTTTGGGAGGCCGAGGCGGGTGGATCACCTGAGGTCGGGAGTTCGAGACCAGCCTGACCAACATAGAGAAACCCCGTCTCTACTAAAAATACAAAATTAGCCGGGCGTGGTGGTGCATGCCTGTAATCCCAGCTACTCGGGAGGCCGAGGCAGGAGAAGCGCTTGAACCTGGGAGGTGAAGGTTGTGGTGAGCTGAGATCATGCCATTGCACTCCAGCCTGGCCAACAAGAGTGAACTCCGTCTCAAAAAATAAAAATAAAAATAAAATGTTCCCATTTAAAAAGTACACGTCCTTGAAAATAAAGTGTTGAAATGTATAAAGTGCTATTTCCACTCTCCAGGAAAATCAGTGTTAATAGAGCATTTTTCTATATGTCTATTTAGTTATATATAGTTAAAATGTTAAAAAAATTATAGAATATGTATATGCATTTTTTAAACAAAAATGATTTCACAGTTGAACATACTGTTTAGCAGCATTCTTTTTGTATCTTCTGTTTAGCAAGTTTTTATGGAAGTCCTTCCACACCATGCTGCTTCTCTCACAGGGTGGTTTTGTGGCTCAAATAAAAGCACGGATAAGGCCAGGCACGGTGGCTCACGCCTGTAATCCCAGCACTTTGGGAGGCCAAAGGTGGGTGGATTACGAGGTCAGGAGTTCAAGACCAGATTGGTCAAGATGGTGAAACTCCATCTCTACTAAAAATACAAAAAAAATTAGCTGGGTGTGGTGGCGGGCACCTGTATTCCCAGCTACTTGGGAAGCTGAGGCAGAGAATTGTTTGAACCCAGGAGGCAGAGGTTGCAGTGAGCCGAAATTGCACCACTGCCCTCCAGCCTGGGTGACAGAGTAAGGCTCTGTCTCAAAAAAAAACACGGATAATTTCAGTAACGCCAATATGGTACAAACTGTCCCATTTTGCAGATGAGGAAATTGAGGCTCAGAGGTCTCACTGCACCACTCCATTGAGTAAGGAGCTGCTCAAAGATGATACCCTCTGAAAGCTCTTATCAGGAAATCAAGAGGTGTTGCATTGATCAACTCTGCATGCTTTAAAGAATGTAAAGCAAATTTTCTTAGAACAAACGATGCCTCTACTAGCACTAAAGGTTAAGCATCTCAGAGCCACCTCCTCTGTAAAGCCGTCTCTGCTACTCCCCTACCTTTGTACCAGTCCTGTGGTTGTTCCTCTGGTTGTCTGTTTCTCTGCTAGCCTGCAAGCTCCTTGAGGGCAGGGACTACATCGTTGTTAATCTCCAGGTCCCCAGCCCTGGTGATGATGGCTGAAGTGATGCCATCCTCAGACACTGCTGGGAAGTGATTTCTGCCTCTAAGAAACTCCTGTGTACACACATCACCTAGGGATCTTGCTAAGATGAAGATTCTCATTAGGTCTAGAGCTAGACTGAATTTTGTTTGTTTTTAGAGGGAGACAGAGTCTCTCTGTCACCCAGGCTAGAGTGCAATGGTGTAATCATGGCTCACTTCAGCCTTGAGCTCCCAGGCTGAAGCCATCCTCTCAGCTCAGCCTCCTGAGTAACTAAGACTACAGGCAGGTACCATCAAGCCCAGATTATATATATATGTATTTTTTGAGACAGGGTCCTGCTCTGTCTGCCAGGCTGGAGTACAGTGGTGGATCATAGCTCACTGCAGCCTCAACCTGCTGGGCTCAAGTGATTCTCCCACTTCAGCTTCCTGAGTAGCAGGGACTATGGGTGCATCATGCCTGGCTAATTTTTGTATTTTTTGTATAGACAGGATTTTGACATGTGGCCCAGGCTGGTCTTGAACCCCTGGGCCCAAGTGATCCACCCACCTTGGCCTCCCAAAGTGCTGGGATTACGGACATGAGCCACCGCACCCAAGCCGCCAGCTCCAAAAATTAGATTCCAGCCCTCAAAACCCACAACAGGACCTAATTAACCTCGCCTTCAAGGTGTACAATAATAGAGTAAAGGCAGCCAAGTAGCAATGTTTTTCTGAGTTGCAATTAGTTGCCTCCACTGTGAGAGAAACCCCAGCCACATCTCCAGCACACAAGAACTTCAAAACGTCTGAACCGCAGTGGCCAGGCTTTCCTCCAGGACCGCCTCCCACAGGAGCTTGCTTAAAGTGCCATAAATCTGGCCACTGGGCCAAGAAATGCCCACAGCCCTGGGATTCCTCCTAAGCCGTGTCCCAACTGTGCGGGACCCCACTGGAAATCAGACTGTCCAGCTTGCCCTGCAGCCACTCCCAGAGCCCCTGGAACTCTGGCCCGGGGCTCTCTGACTGACTCCTTCCCATATCTTCTCAGCTTAGCAGCTGAAGACTGATGCTGCCCGATCGCCTTGGAGGCCCCCTGGACCGTCACGGACACCGAGCTTCGGGTAACTTTTACAGTGGAGGATAAGTCCATCCCCTTCTTAATCAATACAGAGGCTACCAACTCCACATTATCTTCTTTTCAAGGGCCTGTTTCCCTTGCCTCCATAACTGTTGTGGGTATTGACGGCTAGGCTTCTAAACCTCTTAAAACTCCCCAACTCTGGTGCCAACTTGGACAACGTTCTTTAATGCACTCCTTTTTAGTTATCCCCACTTGCCCAGTTCCCTTATTAGGCTGAAATATTTAACCAAATTATCTGCTTCCCTGATTATTCCTGGACTACAGCCACATCTCATTGCCACCCTTCTTCCCAACCGAAAGCCTCCTTTGTGTCTTCCTCTCGTATCCCCCCCACCTTAACCCACAAGTATGGGACACCTCCACTCCCTCCCTGGCA